>NC_000021.9:35814479-36124433 GCF_000001405.40 Homo sapiens | reverse complement strand
AGCTAAGATTACAAGTGTGCACCACCACACCTGGCTAATTTTTGTATATATATATGTTTTTTAGTAGAGATGGGATTTCGCCATGTTGGCCAGGCTGGTCTCAAACTCCTGATCTCAGATGATCCTCCCACCCCGGCCTCCTAAAGTGCTGGAATTACAGGCATGAGCCACCGTGCCCGGCCTATCATAAATTCTTGCCTGCATGTCTTAGTCCATTTGTGCTGCTATAACAAAATACATGAGACTGGGTAATTTATAAACAATAGAAATTTACTTCTTGTGGTTCTGGAGACTAGAAAGTCCAAGGTCAAGGTTCTAGGAAGTCTAGTGAGGGCCTGGTCTGTGCTTCCAAGATGATGCCTTGTTGTTTTGCCCTCCAGAGGGGATGGACGCTTTGTCTTCACATGGTGGAAGGGCAAAAAGGAGGGAAGCAGCTCCCTTATATATCTTTTATAAGGTCATTAATCCCATTTGTGAGGACAGAGCCCTCATGACCCAATCACCTCCCCAAAAGCTCCACTTTCTAATACCATCATCTTGGTGATTAGGTTTCAACATATAAATTTTGGGAGGACACATAATTCAAACTATAGAAGCATATATAAAGCTTAGTTTCCTTTTGGTACAGTTTGCTCTTATATTTATTTTTCTACCATCATAGGAGTTTGCTATGGTTTGAATGCTTCTCCCCTCTGAAACTCATGATGAAACTTAATCCCAAATGTAACAATATTGACAGGTGGAGCCTGTACGAGGTGATTGGGTCATTAGTGCTCTGTCCTCACCAAAGGATTAATATATCATGGATTAATGGGTTAATGGATTAATGGGTTATCATGGGAATGGGTTAGTTATTTTAAAACTGAGTCTGTTATAAAAGCCACTTGGCATTCTCTTGTGTACTCCTTGCCATGTGACCCTGTACCACCTTGGAACTCTGCAGAGAGTCCCCACTAGCAAGAAGGCCCTCACCAGATGCAGCTCCTTGACCTTGAACTTCCAGCCTCCAGACCGTAAGAAATGAATGTATTTTCTTTACAATTTACCCAGTCTCAGGCATTCAGTTATAGCAACAGAAAAGGGACTAAGATAGCCATCTTTATTGTTTTTGTTATCTGGTATTGCGTGTCTCTAAAGAGAATATAACTGGATTGTTAACTATTTCCTACCCTCCTTTGTTAGTGGCTTCATATTTTTTTATTATTTATTTATTTATTTATTTATTTATTTATTTATTTATTTTTTTGAGACAGGCTCCCTCTGTTGGCCAGGCTGGAATGCAGTGGCGTGATCTCGGCTCACTGCAGCTTCAACCTCTTGGGTTCAAGCTTCCTGAGCAGTTGGGACTACAGGTGTGCACCACCAAGCCTGGCTAAATTTTTGGTAGACATGGGTTCTCACTGTGTTGCTCAGGCTGGTCTCAAATTCCTGGGCTCAAACGATCCTACCCACTACAGCCTCCCAAAGTGCTGAGATTATAGGCATGAGCCACTGTGCCCAGACTTTTAGTGGGTTTTTAAAAATAGAAAGCTAATATTCATGGAACTCTTGCTCAGAGTCAGGTGCTGGTCTCCACACTTTACACTGACCTATATGTTCCACTCTAACAAGAGACTCACCCCATATCATGAGCCAAGCATGGGGGGAGGACCTTCTTGAAAGCAGACACTAAAATGTCTTGGTAGCCACACTGATTTTCTTTTCCCTTCATAGCTGTCCTGTTGCTTTTAGTTCTGTATCACCGCCTTCAGTGTGCCCAGCTGTCCACACCCCGCTATCCAGGTTCAAGAGAAGATCCCGTTGCACTCATTTTCCAGGGCCATTACACTTTTTGGGAAATAATTTTTGTGCTGTTGTCAAACAACAGTTATCCTCTGTTATTTAGCAACCCTTGTTCCTTGAACATTTTCTTCTTTAAAAAATAGTTTTATTGAGATGTAATGTGAATTAAATCCCATTTAAAGTATACAATTCAATGATTGATAGTATGTTCACAGAATTATACAACCATTACCACTATTTTGGGACATTTTCATCACCCCTAAAACAAACCCCATAGCCATTAGCAGTCATTCCCCATTTCCTTCCATGCCTTCATCCCTAGGCAGCCACTAACCTGTTTTCCATTTATATAGACTTACCAATTCTAGACATTTCAGATAAATGAAACAGTAAGATGTGGCCCTTTGTGACTGACTTTCACGTAGTGGGTTTTTTTTTTTTTTTTCTTTTTTGAGACAAGGTCTCGCTCTGTTGCTCAGGCTGGAGCCCAGTGGTGCAATCATAGCTCACTGCAGTCTTGACCTCCCTGGGCTCAAGTGATCCTCCTACCTCAGTCTTCTGTGTACGTGGGACTACAGGGGTGCACCACCATGCCCTGCTCATTTTTTGTATTTTTTTGTAGACACAAGGTTGCACCATGTTAGCCAGGCTGGTTTCAAACTCCTGGGCTCCAGTGATCTGCCCACCTCAGCCTCCCAAAGTCCTGGGATTACAGACATGAGCGACCACAACCAGCCTCTCTTAGTATGTTTCAAGGTTCATCTGTGTTGTAGATCTTACTGGCTTTTAAAGTTAACATTTAGTAAGTTTGATTCTTGATAGGATTTATAATTAATTTTTAATCATAGAAATATTCTTAAAAATATTAATTGAACATAAAGTTGATACAATAAAGGTGTAGACTTTGTGGCTTCAGGAATCAGTTTTTTTCACAATTGACTCTACATGAATATAATATTTTGTTGCTTTTTCAGAATTTTAAGTAAAACTAATATTTCCATATTGTATTTCGCTCATCTATGCTTAATCTAAAAAGGTTGAGTTGGTTTAAAGCATTCCTAAGAAGTGGCTGATGTAAGATGGATTAATTGATTCAGGGTCTCACCCTGTCACCCAGGCTGGAGTGCAGTGGCATGATCATGGCTCACTGTGGCCTCAACCTCCTGTCTCTCTCCAAGTTGCTGGGACTACAGGCATGCACCACAATACTCGGCTAGTGTTTTGTATTTTTTGTAGAGATGGGGTTTCGCCATGTTACCCAGGCTGGTCTCGATCTCCTGACCTCAAGTGATCTGCTAACCTCAGCCTCCCAAAACGCTGGGATTACAGGCATGAGCCACTGTGCCTGGCCAAGATTTATTTTTTGAAATATCAAATTTCAAAAGTTTGAAAAAAAACTGTGGAAACTCTTTAGTCCCTTAAATTCTTTATATCTAAATATAACATTATTATTATTATTTTTAGACGGAGTCTCATTCTGTCGCCCAGGCTGGAGTGAAGTGGTGTCATCTCCACTCACTGCAACCTCCCCCTCCTGGATTCAAGCAATTCTTCCGCCTCAGCTTCCCAAGTAGCTGGGACTACAGGCACCTGCCACCACGCCTGGCTAATTTTTGTATTTTTAGTAGAGATGGGGTTTCCCATGTTGGCCAGGTTGGTCTCGAACCCCTGACCTCAGGTGATCTGCCCACATCAGCCTCCCAAAGTGCTGGGATTACAGGCATGAGCCACTGTGCCCAACTAAATATAACTTTTAAAGTTAAGTCTGTATGTTAGTAACTTATTGCTACATAACAAGTTACTTCAAACTTTGTTGGCTTAAAACATTTATTTTCTCAGTTTCTGTAGATCAGGAATGAGAGTAGCTTGGCTGGGTAGTTCCGCCTCGGGGCCTCTCGTGAGCCATCTTGCTGTCAGCTGGGGCTGCGGTCATCTGGGGACAGAAAGCTGGTGGCTGGAGGCCTCAGCTCTTAGCCAAGAGGGCCTCTCCTTGGGTGGCCTCAAGACACTGCAGCTGGCTTCCTCCAGAGTGAGTGAACCAAGAGAGGGGGAAGATGAAAGCCAAACTGTCTTTTATGACCTAGTTTCTTCTACCATTCCTTCCCCATGTCTGCTGGTCACACAGAGCAAGTCTGATCCAGTGTGGGAAGGGCCTACACAGGGTCTGAAGAACAGAAGGCAGGGATCATGGGATGGTCTTGGAGGCCGGCCACCACAAGCTGGGCAGTCATCTGACTCCCTAGACTGGCAGTCAAAAAATCACTTACATTGCCCAGTAGGTAATACAGTAAAGATTAGGGAGGCGGAGCGTGGTGGCTCACACCTGTAATCCCAGCACTTTGTGAGGCTGAGGCGGGAGGATGACTTGAGGCCAGGAGTCTGAGACCATCCTGGGCATCACAGTGAGACTCCATCTTCACAAAAAATTTTAAAAATTAGCCATCTCCACAAAACATTAAAAAAATTAGCCAGGTGTGGTGGTGTGCACCTGTAGTCCTACCTACTTAGGAGGCTGAAGCAGGAGAATCCCTTGAGCCCAGGAGCTTGAGGCTGCAAGTGACCTATCATCACACTACTGCATTCTAGCCTGGGTGACAGAGTGAGACTATGTCTCTAAAAAATTTTTTTAAAATTAATATTGCCAAGCACAGTGGCTCATGTCTGTAATCCCAACACTTTGAGAGGCTGAGGCAGGCAGATAGCTTGAGCCCAGGAGTTCCAGACCAGTCTGGGCAACATGGCAAAACTCCATCTCTTTTAAAAAGACAAAAATTAGCCAGGTGCAGTGGTGCACGCCTATAGTCCCAGCTACTTGGGAGGCTGAGGTGGGAGGATCACTTGAGCCTGGCAGGTGGGGGTTGCAGTGAGCCAAGATCATGTCATACCACTGCACTCCAGCCTGGGCTATGGGAGTTAGACCCTGACTCCAAAAAAATAAAAACAGAAACAAAAAACAAGAAAGAAAATAAAAGAAAGAAGGAAAGAAAGAAAAGAATACTGCATGGATCATGTGAAAATATCTCATATGTATGTACAGATACAAATGTGTATTGAAAAAGTGTATGCTTTTAAAGCAAAAATTTAACTTTGGAAAAGTGAGTTTAGGAATTTTTTACTAGTAGCTACTAGTCAGCATTATTAATATAAATTTAATTCTAAAAAATTATAGTTACTAGAATAATATTTACGTGTACTTGAGGAATGGCTTGAGTGTTATTTTTGAAATACTGTTCAATGAGGTAGTAACATTGTGGCTAGTGAGCACTTAATGTTAATGTTACCAGCCTGAATGAGATGTTGCCATCAACAGAAACTTTCAAAGACTTAGTACAGAAAATTGTTAAGTACCTCACTAATATTTTTCACGCTGATCATACTGCAAAACACACATCATTTTCCAATGATATTTCGTGTTGGGTGAAATTAAATGTTAAAATGTTAGTTTCACATGTTTCTTTTTTACTGCAATGTGCTACTACAAAATTTGAAATGACATGTGATTGCATTTGTAGCTGAAATTCTGCTTCTTTTGGTTAGTGATGATTTGAAATGGAAAAGTTTGACTGGACTCAGAATTCATTGACAATATCACAGGACAATGTCAATTTGTGAATGAAAAGAAAAGCTATTAGATTTAAAGACTAGACTATTGCTTAGAACTATGAATTAAATAGATTAAATTATCTGAAATCTAGTTAATGGCAAGAACAGAAAATGTTTAAAAAATAGGGATAAACAGTCTCCTGTTTGTTCCCACCTACTTGAGCAAACACATTTCCCTTTTTTTTTTTTTTTTTTTTTTGAGATGGAGTCTCGTTCTGTCACCCAGGCTGGAGTGCAGTGGCGTGATCTTGGCTCACTGCAAGCTTCGCCTCCCGGGGGTTCACGCCATTCTCCTGCCTCGGCCTCCCAAGTAGCTGGGACTACAGGCACCTGCCGCCATGCTCGGCTAATTTTTTGTTATTTATAGTAGAGACGGGGTTTCACCGTGTTAGCCAGGATGGTCTCGATCTCCTGACCTTGTGATCTGCCTGCCTCAGCCTCCCAAAGTGCTGGGATTACAGGCGTGAGCCACCATGCCCGGCCTGCAAACACATTTTCTAATCAATGGTAACACTAAAAAAAAAAAAAAAAAAAAAAGGAAGCGATCATCTTTAAAAAGTTATCTTGATCAGGAATTGCATCTAGAGAGTCCTCATTATTCATGAACTCCATTTTGTGAATTCAACTACTCACTAAAATTTACTCGTAACTCCAAAATCAGTGCTCCTGGCACTTTTGCAGCTGTTTGCAGGTACGCACAGAGTGGCAAAAATTTTTATCACCTAACACGCACGTTCGCAGATGAAGTCAAACAAGGGGACACCCTGCCTTCTTGTTTTGCTCTGATATTGTAAATCAGTGTCCTTTTTGTGGTCTTAGTGCCACATTTTTCACATTTTTGTGCCTCTTGGTGGTGATTTTTTTTTTTGGTTAAGACAGAGTCTTGCTCTGTGACCCAGGCTGGAGTGCAGTGGTGCAATCTCGGCTCACTGCAACCACTGCACTCTGGGGTTCAAGCAATTCTCCTGCCTCAGCTTCCCTAGTAGCTGGGATTACAGGTGCGCACCACTACGCCCAGCTAATTTTTGTATTTTTAGTAGAGATGGGGTTTCACCATGTTGGCCAGGCTGGTGTCAAACTCCTGACCTCAAGTGATCTGCCCACCTTGGCTTCCCAAAGTGTTGGGATTATAGGTGTGAGCCACTGTGCCTGTTCAAAATGGCCCCATGCAGAATGCTGAAGTGTTGTCCAGCATTCCTTGGCACAGGAAGGCTGGGATGGGCCTTTGATAGGCTTCGATTCAGGCATGAGTTGTAGTGCTGTTGGCTGTGAGCTCAGCATGAATGAGTTAACAATACAGTCCATCCAGAAAAAGGAAGAAGACTGCCAATCTGTGATGAAGCTATGGAGAAGTGGCTACATTTGTGGATTCCTGAGATGACGACCCATTTAACAAAACCAACCAAACATAGCAGACAGCACTGTGAAGCTGAAAGCCCAAGAAACTTCCAGTCACATGATACAGGATTAGAACATTGTTAAACCCTTCTCAGCCACTGCTGGTCAGCAAGCGTGTTTCAGAAGGTGACATGGAGTGAAAAACATCAAGTTGCAGGTGAGGCATGTTCTGCAGATCTGGAAGAATTTTTAAAATACCTGCTGAGTGATATTTTAAAAGAGTCCTGTGGAAGAACAGGTTTTCAATGCTAATGAAACTGGTTTGTTATGCAAGGAAGTTGGCAAATGAACCTGTACCACAAGTGGCATTTCAGTTTATAAAAATGTGGCCAGAGGCTCATAGGAACTTAACCCTGTATTTCCACTAGGAACAATAATTTAGTATTAACAGATTCAGTGTTTGCAATGACTTTATAGAACATAACTGTGGTGAATAATGAGAATCAGCTATTTCAGGCATAAAGCCTGATATTTAAAATATTAAATAATATAAAGCCTGATATTATAAATAAAAAAAATCAACTTCTTCAAAAAAATTAAAGACTTAGAAGTTTTGTATAGGCCAGGTATGGTAGCTCATGCTTGTAATCCCAACACTTTGGGAAGTTGAAGTAGGAGGATTGCTTGAACCCAGGAGTTTGAGACCAGTCTGGGCAGTAATAAGAGACTCTAACTCTAAAAAAATAAAATAAAATTACATGGGCGTGGTGGTGCACACCTGTAGTCCTAGCTACTTGAGAGGCTGAGGTGGGAGGATCCCTTGAGCCCTAGAGTTTGAGGGTGCAATGAGCTAGGATCACGCCACTGTACTCCAGCCTGGGTGACAGAGTGGGACCCTCAGTTAAAAAAAAGTTTTATATAAATTCAATGTCAATATCTTCTCCTGTATGTGTGTTTGTGTGTTTAATAACTGTATGTCGGGTGTGGTGGCTTACACTTGTAATCCTAGCACTTTGGGAGGCCGAGGCAGGTGGATTGCTTCAGTCTAGGAGTTTGAGACCAGCCTGGGTAACATGGTGAAACCCTGACTCTACCAAAAGAATACAAAAATTAGCCAAGTGTGGTAGTGCTTGCCTATGGTCCCAGCTACTTGGGAGGCTGAGGCAGGAGGATAGCTTGAGCCCAGGAGGTGGAGGCTGCAGTGAGCTGAGATCATTTCACTGCACTCCAGCCTTGGTGACAGAGAGAAAGCCTGTCTGAAAAAACTAACAAAACTATATAATATAAAGAATATAGGCCAGTCATGGTGGCTCACGCTTGTAATCCCAGCACTTTGGAAGGCTGAGGTGAGAAGATCGCTTGAGCCTAGGAGTTCCAGACCAGCCTGGGTAACATGTAAGACCTCGTCTCTACTAAAAATAAAAAATTAGCCAGGTGTGGTGGTGTGCACCAATGGTCCCAGGTACTTGGGAGGCTGAAGCTGCAGTGAGCCGTGATCATGCCACTGCATTCCAGCCTGGGCAATAGAATGAGAACTTGTCTCATTTAAAAAAAAAAAAGAAAGAAAAAGAAAGTATTATTAGTAACATTTTCCATCAAGGTCCAAGGTAAATGACCTCAGTACCTTCAATTCACTTCAGTGTGTTATATAAATATTAATATATTTGTGTGTGCTATGAGATGAGAATAATTGGGAAGTATGACATTACAGACTTATTTGTAACTTATTTATATGTCTCAAATAGCCCCGTGACCATCCTTAATAGAACGATTAAATACTCATATGATGAGATGCTATGCAGCCATTAAAAAGAATGAGGCAGCTCTAAATATTGTAAAAGGGAAGAGGCTTCAAAATGTATTAAGTGAGGAAAGGAGGTGGGACACGGTGGCCCATGCCTCTAATCCTAGAACTTTGGGAGCCTGAGGTGGGAGGATTGCTTAAGGCCAGAAGTTTAAGACCAGCCTTGGCAACATAGACCCCATCTCTACAAAAAATTTTTAAAAATTAGCTGAGGGTGGTGGTGCATATCTGTGGTCCCAGCTACTCCCGGGGCTGAGGCAGGAGGGTCGCTTGAGCCACAGAGTTTAAGGCTGCTGTAAGCCATTATTGCACCACTGCACTCAGTCTGGGCAACAAAGCAAGACCTTATCTTGAAAAAAAAAAAAAAAGAAGAAGAAGATGATGCTGGGTGCAGTGGAGGCTGAGGTGGGTGGATCACTTGAGGTCAGGAGTTCCGGACCAGCCTGGCCAATGTGGTGAAACCATGTCTCTACTAAAAATACAAAAAAAAAAAAAAAAAAAAAAAAAATCCAGGTGTGGTGCTGTGCATCTGTAATCCTAGCTACTTGGGAGTCTGAGGCAGGAGAATTGCTTGAACAGGTTGAACAGGGGAGGCAGAGATTGCAGTGAGCCGAGATCACGTCACTGCACTCCAGCCTGGGTGACAGAGTGAGTCTCCGTCAAAAAAAAAAAAAAAAAGGAAAGGAAGAAAGAAGGAAAGAAAAGGGTACTAGTGTATTTATTAGTTTTCTATTGTTGCTGTAGCAAATGTTCTCAAATTTAGGGGCTTAAGACACAAACTTATTACCTTCTGATTTTGGGGTAGGAAGTCTGACACAGGCCTCACCTGCCTGGGATCAAGGCGCCAGCAGGGCTGCACGCCTTTCCAGGGGGCTAAGGAGAGAATCAGTGTTTTTGTCACCTGCATTACGTGGCTTCCTCCATCTTCAGTACCAGCAACTTTGCGTCTCTCTAACCCCAAAGTCACATCTTCTTCTGACTACAGCCTGGGAAGGTTCTCAGCTTTAAGGATTTGTTTGATTACATAGGGCCCACCTGGATAATCTGCCTTCTCAAGGCCTTTAACTTGAATCAGCTGCCCCGTCCCTATTGCCGTATCACATATTTACTGATCCCAGGCATTAGGACACGGACACCTTGGTGAGGAGGCTTTATTCCGGCTACCGTGGTATGCTATTATTTGTATCAAAGTATTTGCTTACTTAGACTGTCTCTGGAAGGGGACATGGGAAGCTGGTAACAGCAGTTGCTTCTGGGGAGGACTGGGTAGCTGGGGGATGTGGAGGCTGACTTCCCACTGTATCTAGCTTTCGTTCATTTGGGTTTTTAATCAGTGTGCATATATTTACTTGAAAAAGTGAAGAATTGGCCAGGCACGGTGGCTCATGCCTGTAATCCCAGCACTTTGGGAGGCTGAGGTGGGTGGATCACTTGAGGCTGGGCGTTTGAGATCAGCCTGGCCAACATGGCAAAGCCCCATCTCTACAAAAAGTTGGCCAGGTGTGGTGGCACATGCCTGTCATCCCAGCTACTCAGGAGGGTGAGGCAGGAGAACTGCTTGAACCCCGGAGGTGGAGGTTGCAGTGAGCCAAGATTGCACAATTGCACTCCAGCCTGGGTGACAGAGGGAGACTCCATCTCAAAAAAAAAAAAAAAAAAAAGTAAAAGTGAAAGTTTACAGCTCTTAAGCTACATGGTGGTGGTTCATTGATGTGGTGTGTTTGCTTTCTTGCTAGTAGTGGAAGTTATCTGAGAGACCGGCAGCGAATCTGTACAGGTCTGCAGCAGCCTCAACTCTTCCTTCCTCAGAAGAAAAAAATAGATTGTCATAAGGCAGGAAAAGAGACCGAGGCAAGTTTTACAGCGGAGTGGAAATTGATGAAAAAGATTTAGAGCAGGAATGAAAGAAAGGAAAGTACACTTGGAAGAGGCTTAAGGGGGCACCTTGGAGGTCAAGTGCTCCGTTTGACCTTGGACCTAGGATTTTACATGCTGCCCTGCTTCCGGCGTCTTGCACCCCTTTCCCTTCATTCTTCCCTTAGGGTGAGCCACCCGCATGCGCAGTGACCTGATTGTGCTTGGGAGGCAAGCATGTTTACCGGAGTTACGTGTGTTTACTGGAGCTGCAGGCATGCTCACCTGAGTCGTTCTTCCCGTTTCCGGTGGAATGACCCCCTAGAAGGTTACCCCCCGCCATTTTGCCTCTGCGTGTGTGTGTGTGTGTGTGTGTGGGGGGGGGGGGGGGGTTGTTTTTTGTTTTTTGTTTTTTTTTGAGTCAGAGTTTCACTGTTAGTTGCCCAGGCTGGAGTGCAATGGTGCAATCTCGGCTCACTGCAACCTCTGCCTCCCAGGTTCAAGTGATTCTCCTGCCTCAGCCTCCTGAGTAGCTGGGACTACAGGCGCACGCCACCATGGCCGGCTCATTTTGGTACTTTTAGTAGAGATGGGGTTTTCACCATGTTGGCCAGGCTGGTCTCTAACTCCTCACCTCGTGATCCGTCTGCCTTGGTCTCCCAAAGTGTTGGGATTACAGGCATGAGCCACTGTGCCCGGCCGCCAGTGAAGTTTTTTTTAAGATGCTTAGTACTGTATTCCAGATACCCGAGAATGTTACAGTAGGTAGCTAGTGGGGCATGAGCAGGGCAGGAGACAGCTCCCCCCACACACCAGAAATGTCAGGCGACCATCACGTGATGGGCCGGAGGTTGTCATCCTGCCTCGCTAAAATGATAATTGGTTGCAGCTGGCACCAGGGAGCGGCCGTTTCCCAGTAGATAGAAACAACTGAAATTGGTAGTCCGCAGTTGCGCTCCAGCCTGGGCAACAAGAGCAAAACTCTGTCTCACACAGAAAAACAACCCCAAAACAACAGCAAAAAAAACCCACGAAAAAAAACCACCGGCTTCCAACCTCTACTGCCAACCACCATGACAGTCACTAGATGGCGCCCTTTCACTCTTTCTGGTACCGCTGGTCACAGGGCTTTCTCCTTGCCTGTGCCGTTCATGTTGAACCCAGCAAGTATGGGTGATAGGCAGGCTTCACTGATTTCTGTACACATGTGAAGGCTGTTTCCTCCTCTGTAAAATGAGGGTTATAATAGTACCAGCTCATTATGAGCTGTACTAAGACTAAACGAGAGTGTACATAAACGTCTCTAAAAAGAGCATACCTAGTAAATAATCATTGACTAATGTTAACTATGGACATTAATGTCTACCTTCCTGGTTAGAAAGTTTTCCCAGGCCTCTCTTCTTCCTATGAAAGGGCAACTCGACCCAACCTTAGGGGACCCTTTCCTAACACTATCTTAATTCTGTCCCAGCCTATCAGTCCTTAGATGCCGCAAACATTTGTTTCAGGTAAGCAACAACTGCATTTTGTCTGTTTAGCTTTGTAGGCAATATTTAAATTCCAGATCTACATTCTGATTTTCCCAAATGGGGCCAACTCCAAAAAAAAAACAAAGTTTGTACCAAATGAAGTTAAGTTACATGATAAATCTATGGCTCTTGTGAACAGATCTCAAAGCAATTGCCTTCAGGTTACGATGGGATTTGTAAACTTTTTTTTTTTTTTTTTGAGACAGAGTTTCACTCTTGTTGCCCAGGCTGAAGTGCAATGGCACTATCTCAACTCACTGCAACCTCTGCCTCGTGGGTTCAGGTGATTCTCCTGTTTCAGCCTCCCGAGTAGCTGGGATTACAGGCGCCTACCACCACACCCAGCTAATGTTTTGTATTTTTAGGAGAGTTGGGGTTTCAACATGTTGGCCAGGTTGGTGTCGAACTCCTGACCTCAAGTGATCCACCTGCCTCGGCCTCCCAAAGTGCTGGGATTACAGGTGTGAGCCACTGCACCCGGCCAGTAAACCCATTTTTGATGGAACGCAGGCTAGCATCACATTAGAAATGCTACCCCACCCTGTCCTATGGGACATTTGTCATTTTGGGGCTTTGGTCCTCATTGATCCTTATTCAAGGATGTATCCTTCCTTCCTTCCTTTCCTTCTTCCCTTCTCCTTCCTTCCTTCCTTCCTCCCTTCACTTTCCTCCCTTCCTCCCTTCACTTGCCCCCTCCCTCCCTCCCTCCCTTCCTCCCTTCCTTCCTTCCATCCTCCCTCCCTCCTCCCTCCCTCCCTCCCTCCCTGCCTTCACTTTCCTCCCTCCTTCCCTCCCTCCCTGAATTCTTGCCTCCTCAGAAGAATTTGACTGAGGGGCATAAGGCAGAATAAGAGACCAAGGCAAGTATCAGAGCAGAAGCTAAAGATTATTAAAAAGCTTTAGAACGGGAATGAAAGAAAGGAAAGTA
This sequence comes from Homo sapiens, assembly GCF_000001405.40. Classification (NCBI taxonomy): domain Eukaryota; kingdom Metazoa; phylum Chordata; class Mammalia; order Primates; family Hominidae; genus Homo; species Homo sapiens. Next base: position 36,111,595 of record NC_000021.9, on the reverse strand, counting down.
CACTTGGAGGAGGCCCAGCTGGGCAAGTTGAAGGACAAGTGCCCCACTTGACCTTGGATTTAGGGATTTAGGTGCTGGCATACTTCCAACATCTGGTGCCTCTTCCCCTCATTCTTCCCTTAGGGCGAGGGTGATCTGCGTGCATGCGCGGTGGCCTGCTAGGCTCGGGAGGTGAGCATGCGCAGTGTGTTTGCTAGAGTTGTATGCATGCTCACCTGAGGTAGGTGTTCTTCCCTTTTCTGGTGGAATGTACCTGGAAGGTCATATGCCAGTTAAACTCTGCTATTTTGCCTCTTAATGCACATGATTGAGCCCACTCACCCAATTCCTGAGATCTTATCGGGAAGCTGCCAATCACCAGTTTCAGGTGTTTTTTTAATCTGTTGGGAAACTGTCTTTCCCTGGTGCTGGCTCAGACCAGTTATTATTTTAGAGAGGCAGTGGGACAACTGCTGGACCATCACCTGACATTCCTGGTGGGGTGTGGGGGCCTTCTCCTGCCCTGTTCATGTCTGACTACTACCCTCTGTAACATTACCTGGCATAGATTCCAGCTAAATATGAGTTCCTTTCTGGTAACGACCAAAATGAGTGATTGAGGCACTAAGAAGAAGAGGGCAGGAATCGCCATGTTTGGGTGGACCCAGTTTCTAATGGCCTGCAATTGCATATCAAAGGTTGCCGGCCTGGCTCTAAGAGCCTGTGCTTTCCTGCTAGACAAGAAACATTTATGCAGCTGCTTTAAAAGAAAGAAACAAAAACTTCCCAAGGACCCCTTTTCCTCTCTATCTGCCTAAAATAATTTCTTAATAACTCCTATAACATTCCCCCCTGTGGAGATGTCACCCTAACTGCTGTTAGGAGGTTTTGGCTGATGACTCTTTCTGGCTGCTTCCTGCTGAAAAGGGGCGTTGAATGGGGAACAGCAGCGAGGGCTCCTTGTGGGGTCAACCTAAAGGTCCTCAGAAGAAAGGCCTGTCCATGAGTGGCTCAGTTTGCGGGACCATTTGGAGTTTGATCGCTTCTAGGTGAGAGGAAACAATTCAAGTTATAGTATTGAGTATACAGGGTCCAATTATTAATACAAGACATAACAGCAAGAGGGTGCTTATTAAAGGGGTTAACCAATTCCATAAAGAAGACTGGAATTCATTAAAGAGGGATTGTAGCCACCTGGGGCTGAAGTCTGCATTTTCCCTGAGCTTGTCAGTAATTTTGACTTTATCGTTAAGCCCTTGTAGATTTTGTTATAAATAAAGTTTCGGTGCCGCAAAAGACATAGCACTCGAATATAAAATTTTCTTTTTAATTCTCAGCAAGGCAATGTACTTCTATAGAAGGGTGCGCCCTTATAGATGGAGCAATGGCGAGCGCACACTTGGACAAGGGAGAAGGGGTTCTTATCCCTGATGCACGTGGCCTCTGCTGCTGTGTTGTTCCCCTATTGGTTAGGGTTAGACCGCACAGGCTAAACTAATGCCAATTGGTTAATTTAAAGAGAGTGACAGGGTGAGTGATTTGGCGGGAAAAATTGTTATGGCAGAGCAGGAAATCAGAATTCAGGGCAGAGCAGGTAATCGGAATGAGTCAGGATGGAGCAGGTAATCGAAAATGTTTGCGTTACGAGGAAGTTTACAAGTAAAAGGCAAAGAATGGAACATACTGACATATTGATTCTTTGAAGAGAAATTTAGAACTCATATCTAACAATCTCTCCTCTTGCATTTCCTTACAGCTCTTTCCCTTCAAACTTCTTTAACATGTCTTGGCTTAGTTGTTCTGCTTGATTTTCCAAAAGAAGAAGCTTCTCTGGATAAGGTGGAGGATAGTTAAGGGAGGTTTTAGTAAGTGCCGTTTTTATAAACCTCTGCACCAACGCAGACAAAACTCCTCAGACACTGGATTAAAGAAGGAAGAGGTTTACTTGGCTGAGAGCATCGGCAGACTTGCATCTTAAGAGCTGAGCTCCCTGCAAACTGAATTCTTGGCCTTTTTAAAGGCTTACAACTCTAAAGGGGTCCACATGAAAAGGTCGTGATAAATCCAGCAAGCGTGGGGAACGTGACTGGAGGCTACATGCATCAGCTAACAGAACAGAAAGTTTTGCAATGCTTTTTCATACAATGTCTGGAATTTACAGATAACACAAGTAGTTTAGGTCTGGGGTTGATGTTATTATTATTACCTTTTTAACTCCTAGGGCCAGGTGGTGGTGCCAAGGTTGTCTGGCTATTTATCTTACTTTTGCTTCTTTCCAGCTTTTTGCTTTCTCTCTTTCCTCCTGTCTTGTGAACTAGGCAAGGTGGTGGGAGGAGGGCAGCAGGAGTTGTAGCGGTCTCCTTCCTTAGTGTGACACAACACCCGACAAGAATAAGCACACCTATGATGGCTGCGATGGAAGTAAGAATTGGGGCTACTATTCTTTTCCATTTACTGAACCACTTTTCCAGCCATCCTGTAAAGGGGTCATTTACCCCCGAGTTATTGGCTAACTCAGGATAGAGCAGTCAGACCTTGCAATGCCTTTGTTATACTTCCATTAGGGGCGGTGTTGTTTGGGATGAAGTTACAACATTGATTTTTAATTATGATGCAAATTCTTCCTTTTTCTGCTAATATCATGTCTAAGGCTATCCTATTTTTCCCAAGCCATCTGGCTAGTAGCCCCTAATTGCTCAGCTATTCCTTTAACAGCATCTCTAGTGTAGTTAATGGATGGCTGTTGGTTGTAATAGATGTAGTTTATCCAATTTACATTTTATTGTCACCCACCAAAATATTGACTCAAATCCTGCAGCTATTTGATTTCAGGCTTTAAATTGATCTGGTATTCCCTGTGGGACTGTAATTATGTCTAAATAGATGTGAGAGTCAAAAGACCCATAAGGGGCTTCTTTTGCTTTATGATATCTTATTTTTCCTTTCTCTGGTTGATGAAATGCCAGCGTGAAAGGGATAGCCAACTGGACTAAAGCAAGTGCCACTTCAGTTACTCGGCAGAGTGTCCAGTAAAGGTCCATCATAATACCACTACACATCTGCTCAGGGATGAGTAAGGGCTAATTGGTAAGCTCTTGAAATTTCTTAATCTCACTGCATCCCTTCAGGACTCCAAGGAACGCTAAGTTTCCTCCCGGTCCTGAGAGACACGAAGTGAACTTAGTGTTGGGAGATGGAAGCTGGATGGCCCTTGGGGGCTGACCCGCAGGGTGTTGAACTTCGGGATGTAGCAGAGAGAGAGCTTGGCACGACTTGTTACCCCAGGCTGAATAATCCTGGGAAAGATCTGCCATGCAGGCCATGCCCAGTCAACTAGAGGGCCACCCTAGTGGAAAGGGGACAATCTGGGCTTCTGGCCTGTCATGTGCACAAGCATAAAAATTGCCTTTGTTTAACGTGTGGACAGAATATTTAATCAATTTTAACCAGGCATTTACATTTTTATACCCTGTTTTAATGGCTATGGTTTGCCTTAGGTCTCCTATTTCTACTACCGGGACCTTGCTTTTGTCATTTGGCATGAGGTGAGTCATAGTTTGATTTTGTAGGTTTGGGAAAGGGGCAGCCATAGGAGGTGGAGGAGGGAGAACAAAGCCCACCTTAAAGAAGCCCATAGGATCCTTTCCAGTGACCTCTGCTCCTAAACCACAGAAGCGTTCTAAAGTGGGGTTAGAGTTGCTAGTGGTAGGAATAGTAATGGATATAAGCACTGGGTAAGGAAGGGAAAGGAAAAGATAGATAGACTAAGCTTTCCTTAGCTTTAATTTGGTAGGGCTTGATCCAGGAACAATGGCCCATGATTCTGAGGATAATGGTGCTTGCTTGACTCATGTGTGATGTGTCCATCTCTTTCCAACCTTACGAACAGCAGTCTCAGTGGTTAGCAGCACAAGGTAGGGTCCTTCCCGGGCTGGCTCGAGTTTCCCTTCTTTCCCCTCTTTGATGAGAACGTGATCCCCAGGCTGATGCTGAGGCACTGGAAAGTCCAAAGGCAGCACCTGTGCTAAAAGACCTCTGTTTTAAGGGAAGAGAAGGTGGAGGATAAACCGAGTATATAATTTCTAAGAAATTGATCTTTTGTTTTAAACGTGGGGATATCAACAGTGGACTTTATAGTCCTTCATGCTTTCTTGTTGAGAAATTTTCTTTGGCACCTATTTTTATTAGTTTTTAGACCAAAGAAGGCCAAACACCATTTTGTATTTGACAATGCTTCCTGTATGATTTTTATACCAGATAAGCTAAATTTCATCTTTATATTAGTGTGTTATTAATGTTAAACTTAATTTTAGTAAAACCTTGTAGACATATTTATCCAATTTTTAATGTCTGATCATAATGTAAGATTTTTACAGACTCTTTTTAACCTTTTTATAATTTTTGTTAAAGAGCAGGTTAGTGCTTTAAGAAAAACCTGTTGTGCTTTTATTTTAATGTCCAGTTCACAGAAAAACTGGATGATACCCCTTTAACTTCAGCCAGTATGATTACACACAGAATTTCCTTTACAATTAACATTTCAAAACTTGCTTAAACCTTTAAAACAAAATGTATTTTTTTAACCTTTTAATGTAGGTAAAAATCCACATTCTTATGCCTCCTTGTAATCCTTTTACCAAAAGTATATTCTACTTTCCTTACATACCTTGCACACAAACTCTTTCTTCAATAGTTTTACATTCAGGAGGCCTAATTACTTTTAAATTATACATTTCTTGCATAAATTCCCTTTTATAACATTTTTTCACGACTTTCACAGACAATTCTTCAACATGCCTCAACTTTCTAACTTGTTGCCAACATCCCTTTCTTTAAACAACCAGTTAATTTACTTTAAGAATTTACCATAACATTCCTTTTTACATAAATTCTACCCCCCCCCCTTTTTTTTCTCAAATATGATAACCATTCTTTTCCCAAGTGAACTTCATGTCTGTGTCTAAGGCCACAAGATTAGAAGTTAGGATAATACATGTTACACTGTTAACTTTTAGCAAACTTTGCTTTTGTTGAAAACCTTGTATGTTTGGGATTTCAATTATTCTTTGCTATTAATAAGACCTCGTTCAGTCCCTGTTAACTTAGAATTTGTATAGATGGCTCCTTCCTGATTCTGTAAGTACTTTAAGGCTTGGCTGAGTGCAAACAGCTCCCACGTTTGAGCAGACCAACTACTGGGCAATTTTCCTAACTCTGCTTCTACAAGAGTTTCCTTATCACTTACTGAATATCCATCGTGTCTTTTTCCCTCAGTCACCTGGGAGGAACCATCTATCATCCTGTCCTGAAGGGAGTTCCTCCTAGGTGTGATCTGAACTTTCTATGGTAATTAAGATTTAGATCCCCTGTTAGGAAACCTGCTGGGTTAAGGGAATTTTCAGTGGCTAGTGTTAAATCATCTTTTTCTAATAGAATAGCCCCAAAAATCACAAAACTTACTAACTTACTAAAATCTCAAAACTTTAAGATTTTTGAGTTAGTAAGCTACCTTTATGCTTTTTTGACTTAGGTAGTTCTGAACTGGTGAGGTGTGCTCACAATGAGGTTTCCTTTAAAAGTTATTTTTCTACTTTCTTCTGTTAGCAAAGCAGTTGCCACTACAGATTGAATGCATATGGGCCATCCGTGGGTTACTGGGTTAAGGATTTTTGATAGGAAGGCTACGGGTTGTCAGTGGCCTCAGTGCTTTTGGGCTATGCCCTTGTTAACACTGGCAACAAGGTGGTATTGGAGTGTTATAGGGTCATGGAGAAGACCTTCAATCATTAATTACAGGTTTTAAATTTACCCTGGCTTTTAAAGGAATAGGTTACACTGTTTTCTCTTTACTACTTCTCTCTCTCTCTCTGACTCTGTCTCTCAATTTCTCTCTCTTTGACTCCCTTTTTGTCTCTCTGTCTCTTTCTCTCTCTCTCTCTCTGCCTCTTTCTCTCTCTCTCTGCCTCTCTTTCTCTCTCTCTCTGCCTCTCTTTCTCTCTCTCTCTCTCTGTCTCTCTCTTTGACTCTCTCTTTCTCTGCCTCTGCCAGCCGCTTATGCCGCTGTTCTCCCCTCTCCTTCCCCTTTCCCTAGGGGAGGGACCGGCAGGAGTGGAGTTACTCTTTCTTCCCCTGAGAAGAAAGGCAAGGGGAGTCCTGAATATTTTTCTTGCTACTGGAGGTTTGTGTGAGGTTCATGAAACTTGCAGAAGACTCAACCCCTCAAACCAGGGGTGTCTCGCTTTGCCTGCCCTGGAAGGCTCAATCCCTTAAATCAGGGATGTCTTACCTTGCTGCTCTGGGAGGTTGACCTGTTTCCTCCCTTTCCCCCTCTCAAGGTCCCTTGCACACTTCCCACTTGTGTTGCCCTCTCTGGCTGCTCCCCCAAGGGAGAATTAGGCCCCTCTTAGTGTCGGTGTGCCAGTATAAATCCCACGGCAGGATCCGCCCTAAGCCATATGAGGTAGCTACGGAACTGCGGAGAGGTCCCACTCACTCTGTCCAGCAGTAGGTCTTGTCACCATCCACATGAACAACACCGCAGGTAGGGTTATTTGTGATCATTCATGCACACACACATTTAGCCCTCCGGAATTTGACCACCAAGGGAGTACTTTACTGGCTCCGGCGGCTTCTCCTTCCTTGGTCTGTGCACAGAGTCATCGCCGCAGATGTGAGGATCCTTTAAGCTAGGTTGCTGGCCAGTTTCTTTCAGCGTTGCAGAGAGCTCCGGTTATTCCTCGCACTGGGTGGTCCTGATTTCTCACCCCTGAGGCCACCACAAGGGGGCGGGGTGCGCCTCCTCAGGAGAGAGAACCGGAGACCGCCCCTGGGGGAAATGTAATCAAGGGTGAGCCCTGAAATTGTTATAAAGTTTCGGTGCCGCAAAAGAAATAGCACTCAAATATAAAATTTTCTTTTTAATTCTCTGCAAGGCCATGTTCTTCTATAAAAGGGTGCGCCCTGACAGATGGAGCGATGGTGAGCGCACACTTGGACAAAGGAGGGGAAGGGGTCCTTATCCCTGATGCACGTGGCCCCTGATGCTGTGTCATTTCCCTATTGGCTAGGGTTAGATCGCACAAACTAAACTAATTCCAATTGGCTAATTTAAAGAGAGTGACGGGGTGAGCGGTTTGGCAGGAAAAATGGTTATGGCAGAGTGAGAAATCGGAATGAGTCAGGGTGGAGAATGAGTCAGGGAGAAGCAGGTAATCAGAATGAGTCCGGGTGGAGCAGGTAATGGAAAAAGGTTGCTTTATGAGGAAGTTAAGTTTATAAGTAGAAGGCAAAGAATTGAACATACTGACATATTGATTCTTTGAAGAGAAATTTAGAACTCATATCTAACAATTTTCCTCTACTTTACTAGAGGTGTTAACCTAAGATATAGAATTTCCTTTTGGGGAGGTCTATGAAGTTCCTTGGTTTTATTTTCCCAAACAAAGAAACCTCTGGGTTATGGGCACCCTACTCACTTTCATTACCTGGCAGAATTTGCAGGAGAATTGTCCAGAACTAGCATATTGATCCAGGTTTTTATGTTAACCATCCCCCTTTGATTCTTCCAAGCTGCAGGAGATCACCACTTGATTCACAGGAATAAGCAGGGTTAGTCTAAAATGTAGGCGAAAAGCTTAAAAACAATTAATGAGACTAGGATTTAATGACAAATGTATGATAAGCTTTGGAGAACAATTTCTCTCTCCAGTCCTCATTTTTGGTAAAAACAAATTATGATAGGACTGTGTGGGTTGTTCGTAGAATAAACTTTAGTCTTATACTTGGCCTGATTATTTGCATAAAGTGCAGCAAGAATGGTTGTTTCTATGTAGGCCTTTGGATTGGCTTTGATGAAACTCTGTTCCACAAGGAATTTCAGATAAGATCTTTAAAGCTGAGCCCAGCCATGGGTTTGTATCCTCAAATACCTGTGAGTTGGGTAATCCTCTCCTCTTGAGGGTCTAAGATAAACTTGGAGCTGCTGGACCTGTTAGAAAATGACATTCTTTACTGACCACAATTTAGGAACCTTGTGCAGGAACTGTGTAGACAAGGTATGAGGCCAGTTCTCCTTAAGGGGCTTTTATTGGGTCTGCATGTCAAGCTTCATTCCTTAAAGGGAAACACACCCTTTCAGTCAAAGCCTTGGTAAAATAACCAGTTTTTTCAATTGTGTCCTGTTGACAAAGAAAAATGGATTCTTATTGCACTGATGCAAATATTGCCATAAGTTAAGAGTACTCACAGATAGTTTCCAAATTCTAGAGGAACCAGGCAGAGAAAAACAAACACACTCCAAATTTTGTTTACAGTAGTATACCTTACTCAATTATTAAAGGCCATAAATAGTTCAAAGTAAGTTTCCTTCACTCTGAAAAATAAAACAAGGATCAGCAATATTCCAAGCAAGAGTCAAAAAGTTGCTTTAACCTTCTGAGTGCTGTCCGTCTAGTTAAATCTTGTTTTGCTTGATATTTGTGAACATGTAAGCTCATTATGAGTCCCATACATTCTCTATTCCAATGTTACAATCTTCAAAGCTACTAAAAACCTGTATTTGAGAATGCCTGTTAAATTCTTTAATATAGCTTGATTATAAACCATCTTTTGAGAAGGAACAAAGCAAGATAACAATTGTCTGTGAATGACAAGATTTCCAGGATATTTATAGTTAACAACATGATTAACAAATTTATTCATTTCAGTGGTTTACAATAACTTTACCCTTAATTATGATTGATAGCATATACTTAGACATCAGAATTTTAGAAATCATATGTAATTTTGGAACATATAATAGTATTTTTTAAAATTATTTTTATGAAATGGAGTTTTGCTCTTGTTGCTCAGGCTGGAGTGCAGTGGCATGATCTTGGCTCATTGCAAACTCTGCCTTCTGGGTTCAAGTGATTTTCCTGCCTCAGCCTCCCAAAGTAGCTGGGATTACAGGCACCTGCCACCACACCTGGCTAATTTTTTTGTATTTTTAGTTGAGATGGAGTTTCACCATGTTGGCCAGGCTGGTCTTGAACTCCTGACCTCAGGTGATCCACCTGCCTCAGCCTCCCAAAGCACTAGGATTATAGGCTTGAGCCACTGTGCCCGGCCAGAATATATTAGTATTATTTAGCAAAGTATAACTTAAGATTGGACATCATTTTGGCAATCTCATGTGATTAAATATGTCAGATAATCCTGTTTATCTCTTTTCTGAATGTTTCAGGGGCCCTCTGAACCATCAAAAAGCCAGGCATCAGGAACGACAATTTTGAAACTTGAAGTCTGATTTTAGGATGCCTGTTAAATGTTCAAGGTTTAAAACACTTGATGTTATGAAATGGAATTCCAGATTGCCATACATTATTTCTTTTGCCAAAATGGTGACTTAAAAGGCAAAAACTGTTCGTTGGCCTTTACTATGACATGAAAATCCTGTTCAAACCCAAATTTTACCCTTGCATTAGTTTATTAATATTAACCCCAATTTGTTTAAATTAAACCTTATAGATCATTCCATCTAACCTTAACCAATTTGACCATGAGGTGAAATCTTTACAAACCTTTCATAACCCTTTTACTAAAGGACAGATTAGTGTCGTAAGACCTCTTTGCTGTGCTTTTATTTCAATGCTCAATTTATGAAAAGATCATATAATACACTTTTAAGTTTAGTTAATGTTCACTGTTGAACTTTTAGCAACTTTTATTTTTGGTGAAAAACCTGGTTAGTAATCTATTTTAATTATGTACCAGATGTGGATCCTAGGACTCAGACAGAAGTGCAGATAAAGTCTGACGTTTCAGCATCTAGGTCCATGTGTCCCAAGCCTTACCTATCTGAAAAGCGGGCAGTATACACAGCCTTGGAACATTTAGCAAACCTAGTATCTAAGCTGAATGATTTAGACCACCTATTTGTATTTTGACAACACTTGCATTTTACCAATAATCCTTAAGACTATTTTTATTTCTTAAAGTTATGTGAACTAAAAAATATTTGATTTAAGCACTTGTTTTTCTTTAAGCCAGTCAATTAGAGCTCTTTTAATAGACCTTACACACAACATGTATAGAGCAACACGAACAGACAGAAGATTCAGCACTTGTAAGATTTTTCATTTGCCAGTTTCTTAATTGGATTACTGGCGTCAGGGTGGAGCCCTTGGAGGAACAGTGCCAGGCAGCAAGCAGTAAGAGTGGTAAGACAAAAAATGGAGAAAAATAATTCAGTCGACTGAGAAGAAAAAAGCCTTTTACCAGAAAAACAAAATCCAAGAAGCAAAAAACATAAAGGCCTTTTAAATATATTTATAACTTGAATATCCACTTTTAATTAAGCTGAGCACTCATTAAGAAAAATCCTTTTAAATCCCTTGTGACTCGACTTTAGCCACAGGAAGCAGTTAAGATGTTCAGCTTTTGAAACCTCACAGGTGAAACTGACAAGTCTTAATTAGGTTTATGGCTTAATTAGGTTATGACTTAACCTTGAATGTACAAGGTATTTTCAAAGGGGTGATAGGCAGCTTTTGAAACTGTTACTGCAAAATTGTGACTGAGACAGCGAAAGAGATCTGACCCAAACAGCTGCATTTGTTTTCCAGCCCCAAGCTGTTCTTGCCCATCCCTGGGGGTAGTCCGAACCAACTTTGGGAGCAGCCTGGTTTATAATCTATAGTCTAAAACAAAGATGATAACAGCTCCTTTTCTTTTCTTTGGAGTCTCACTCTGTCACCCAGGCTGGAGTGCAGTGGCGTGATCTCGGCTCACAGCAAGCTCTGCCTCCCGGGTTCAACGCCATTCTCCTGCCTCAGCCTCCTGAGTAGCTGGGACTACAGGTGCTGGCCACAACAACCAGCTACTTTTTGTATTTTTAGTAGAGATGGGGTTTCATCGTGTTAGCCAGGATGGTCTCGATCTCCTGACCTCGTGATCCGCCCACCTCGGCCTCCCAAAGAACAGCTCCTTCTTAAGATATACTTCCCTCTTGCCTGGGGACCAGACCAAGAAACTAGCTATAAGATTAGAAACCATGGTTTAGGAGTCATGCATCTGGAGGCTACAAGATTTTGACCCTCCTAAAACTGCACTCAAGATTAGTGCTTAAGATATTTTGTAAATCCTGCCCTTGATGGATCAGGGGGCACCACCCAGATTGACAAACTGGCTTATCTGATTTTGTGGCCCTCACCCAGGAATTGAGTTAGCACAATATCGGGGGACCTGCCCCGATAGTCATGTAGGTTCTTTTCTATGTTCCTAAGCATCGGATGGCTTGAGAAATAAAGGGACAGAGTACAAAAGAGAGAAATTTTAAAGCTGGGCGTCCGGGGGAGACATCACACGTTGGTAGGATCCGTGATGCCCCACAAGCCACAGAAACCAGCAAGTTTTTATTAGGGATTTTCAAAAGGGGAGGGAGTGTGCGAATAGGTGTGGGTGACAGACATCAAGTACTTAACAGGGTAATAGAATATCACAAGGCAATTGGAGGCAGGGCGAGATCACAGGACCACAGGATGGAAACGAAATTAAAATTGCTAATGAAGTTTCCGGCACCATTGTCATTGATAACATCTTATCAGGAGACAGGGTTTTGAGATCAACCGGTCTGACCAAAGTTTTTTAGGCGGGAATTTCCTCTTCCTAATAAGTCTGGGAGCGCTATGGGAGACTGGAGTTTATTTCACCTCTGCAACCTCGACCATAAGAGACAGTACGCCCCGGGGGGGCCAGTTCAGAGACCTACCCCTAGGTGCGCATTCTCTTTCTCAGGGATATCCCATGCTGAGAAAAAGAATTCAGCGATATTTCTCCCATTTGCTTTTGAAGGAAGAGAAATATGGCTCTGTTCTGCCTGGCTCACCAGCGGTCAGAGTTTAAGGTTATCTCTCTTGTTCCCTGAACAATTGCTGTTATCCTGTTCTTTTTTCAGGGTGCCCACATTTCATATTGCTCAAACACACATGCTGTACAATTTGTGTACTTAACGCAATTATTACAGGGTCCTGAGACGATATACATCCTTCTTGGCTGACAGGATTAAAAGATTAAAGTAAAGACAGGCATAGGAAATCACAAGGGTATTGACTGGGGAAGTGCTAAGTGTCCATGAAATCTTTACAATTTATGTTTAGAGATTGCAGTAAAGACAGGCATAAGAAATTACAAAAGTATTAATTTGGGGAACTAATACATGTCCATAAAATCGTCACAATCCACGTTCTTCTGCCATGGCTTCAGCCGGTCCCTCCGTTTGGGGTCCCTGACTTCCCTCAACAGCACAAGAAGACAGACACCATTGTAAAATGATGGAGACTAAAACAAAGTATTGCCACTTGGTTACAGGTCATGTTGCCAAGGACATGAAACAAGATGGAGGCCTGCAGGCAAGTTTGTTACTGACTGTTCTGTTGGGTTGGCTTGAACAGCAGGCTTATGGGTTCCTGGGCCTGCATCCTAACCTGAGATACCCTTTCTTTGACAGAACCATACAGAAAGACATGCAAAGCACACCAGATTGTCTACAGCTTAAGAGCAACCTCACAAATCCTTTTTCATTAATTATACATTTACAGAGAATATACACAATGGTTCTTATTAACCCTTTTACTTGTTTGCACAGGGAGAGAAAAGCTGAAAGCCCGATCCGTAAGAAATTTTTACCCTTTTGCCGGCATATCAGGCTTCTGGGTTCCCTTCCCCCTAGCTCAACTCTAAGCCAAGCATTTTAAGGTTTGGAAAATTAACTTTTCCCAGGTTGGAAGAACATTATAAAAGAGATAGAAGCCGTTTTAAACCATGAAAGAAGGAAAAACACCACAGAAAGGAGTTCCAATTAGGGTTGTCAAGAGGTTTTGCCTCTTTTCCTATTGGGAATGGTGTTTCCCCTATTTCTTTGCCTTCCCTATTTTCTCTTTTCCCTTTTGGCCCTACTATAGGAGACATATTGCTCATCTCCAAAATTTTCTTCTGCATTCAGAGCTGCCTGTTTTAGCTGCAGTTAGAGTTTGGCTTAGGAGAGGCACAACATTCCTCCATGAGAGGTCAAATACCTGAGTTAAATTTTGGAAAGCTTCTATATATCTATCAGGGTCATCAGAAAATTGGCCTAAGTCTCATTTTACTTGTCTAAGGTTCTGCAGTGAGAAGGGGTGTTGAAGGGGCCCCAAATAAGGGAATCCTCAGATGGTTCCCCTGGAACTTGGTTTACTAATTTTGGGGAATTATTCTCTTTGGGCCTGCCTGATATGATTGCTAAAAGAGCTTGGTTGATTTTGCAACACCTGCAAAGGTCTAGTAAAAAGGCCAAGCCCTTGTGCAAAAGAAAATAAGCCACTTTTCTTCAAAATTTCAGGGTCGAAGGAGTCCCAGTGCTTTAAAATACACTCCAGGGGAGTACACGTTACTACCTTGTGAAGAGGGTGCCTGCTTCTGCTTCACCTTCAGCCATGATTGTAACTTTCCTGAGGCCTCCCCAGCCATGCAGAACTGTGAGTCCATTAAACTTCCTTTCACTATAAATCACTCAGTCTTGGTTATTTATTTATAGCAGCATGAGAACTGACTCATACAGACCGTAACTGCTCCACAAAGGGCTATGAAGTGGAGAATTTGTCCCTATCAGCATCCACACACCCTGTGGGCTCAGGCAGTCTTACTGGGTCTCATTTAGCATGTCTAATTAACATTGCCGGAAGGGCAGATTTACATGCCTTCTGCTTTATGATGCTAGGTAGGGGAAACATTTCCCCAGTCTGATACAATAACTATTTTAAAAGTCATTTAGGTAAAGGAGATACAACTACTTTACATTGTAAACCAAAAAGTATCTGAGACAGGTCTCAATCAATTTAGAGGTTTATTTTGCCAAGGTTGAGGACATGCCCAGGAAAAAGGAACACAAAACCACAGGAGCATCTGTGATCCATTATTTTTCCAAAGAAGGTTTGAGACCTTCATGATTTAAAGGGGAGGCCGGGAGTGGCAGCTCATGCCTGTTGTCCCAGCACTTTGGGAGGCGGAGGTGGGCGATCACTTGAGGTCAGGACTTGAGGACCAGCCCGACTAACATTGCAAAACCCTGTGTCTACTAAAAATACAAAAATTAGTTGGGCATGGTGGTGCATGCCTGTAATCCCAGCTACTTGGAAGGCTGAGGCACAAGAATCGCTTGAGCCCGGGAGGCAGAGGTTGCAGTGAGCCAAGATTGCACCATTGCACTCCAGCCTGGGTGATAGAACGAGACTCCATTTCAAAAAAAGAAAACAAAGATGAAGGGAAAGAGCAGGCAGGCAGTAGGGAAAGACAAGAGAAGAAAAAAAGTGAAGGAGGGGTGTGAAAAGAGGCAAGTGGTTACATTCTTTTGCAGCTTTAATCAACATTCTTTGAATCCACATGTTACTGTGGGTAGATAAATAGTCAATTATGCATTCATCTCAGGCTCAGTGAATCTGCATTAATATGCATTTGTCTCAGGTAGGTGGAGGGATGACTTCTGGTCCTGTCTTTGTCCCCTACTTGCTAAGATAAGCTATTAACTTACATTGTCAGGGAGAAATTCAACAGAACTGCTTTAGGGTAAGGATCTTAGGGCCTGCAAGGAATTTCCTTGTGGGCAAATTGTGAGAGAGCACCCCTGGGGAGGGATGTGGGCTTTTATCTTTGTAGGAACAAAAATAGGCAGTTTTGTGTGACTCAGTTCCCAAGCTTGACATTTCCCTTTGGCTTAGTGAGTTTGGGGTCCCAAGATTTTATTTTCCTTTCACAGACATAAAACCTGTTGAAACATTCCAACTTTCTTAATTCTATCAACCCTTGCATCTTTATGTTCTGGTCCCAGGCACCTTTTCTTGTCCAATCCCAGACCATTTTACCCTTCCTGGTGAAAAAGGCTTTGAGTCCCCAGCAGGGGTGCTGAACCAAGGAACCCTGGCTCCTTTCATCAATCTTATCTTGATGAACATTGTCGCAGGCAATTCTTCAGCTCTCTCATTGTAATCTCTGCCCTCATATTTTTTCATAAATCTCTCCAATCTAGGGTAAATATGGCACTGATTTGGGGCCCTTGGAGGACAAATGTTAGAGGACCAGCTGGGGCTCTCTTTGGTTTCCCAACTTTCTTTTTTTTTTCTTAAAACCCTCATACAAACACCCAACTTTCAATAGTGTTGTATTAAGACCTTTATTTTAGTGCCAATTTCCATTTTATTCATTTCATTTCTTTCTTTCTTTCTTTTTTTTTTTTTTTTTAATTTTGAGGTGGAATCTCACTTTGTCACCTAGGCTGGAGTGCCATGTGATCTTGGCTCACTGCAACCTCCACCTCCCAGGTTCAAGTAATTCTCTGCCTCAGCCTCCCGAGTAGCTGGGATTACAAGTGCCCACCACCACACCCAGCTAATTTTTTTTTTTTTTATGAGATGCAGTTTTGCTCTTGTTGCCCAGGCTGGAGTGCAGTGGCGCAATCTCAGCTCACTGCAGCCTCTACCTCCTGGGTTCAAGCAAGTCTTCTGCCTCAGCCTCCCGAGTAGCTAGGATTACAGGCATGCACCACCACACCTGGCTAATTTTGCATTTTTAGTAGAGATGGGGTTTCTCCATGTTTGTCAAGGCTGGTCTCACACTCCTGACCTGAGTTGATCCACCTGCCTCGGCCTCCAAATGTGTTGGGATTATAGCGGTGAGCCACCGTGCCTAGCCTTCGTTTCATTTCTTAATAACCATCTAAAGATTTCCACCCTGCTGTGATGGGTTCCATGATTTGCCCTTTCTTTTTTCTCTTAGTTTCAACCCATCAATGATTTTTAAGTTTTACCTTACTTTGTAAATAACTGCTTAAAAATCCCCACCTTTTTGGGATGAGTCCTTTGACTCCCCCTTTTGCCCTCACCATTTTTTTTTTTTTTTTTTGGAGACAGAGTCTCACTCTGTTGCTCAAGCTGGAGTGCAGTGGTGTGATCTTGGCTTGCTGCAACCTTCATCTCCTGGGCTCAAGGAATTCTTGTGCCCCAGCCTCCTGAGTAGCTGTGATTACAAGTGTGCACCACCACACCCAGCTAATTTTTTGTATTTTTAGTAGACACAGGGTTTCACTATGTTGCCCAGGCAGGTCTCAAACTCCTAACCATAAGTGATCTGCCTGCCTCGGCCTCCCATAGTGCTGGGATTACAAATGTGAGCCACCATGATCCTGGATGCCTTCACCATTTTCTTGTTAATTAGCCTAATGTGTTTACTAGCATCTGTAAGACTCTTGAGGAGAAGTTGAGACAGCAGATTTGATAAGACCTCCTGAACTGTCTTTTGGTTTTGCAGCAATGTTACTGGAAAGGGGTCCTCATCCAGACCCTGAGAAAGGATTCTTGGATCTCGTGCAAGAAAGAATTAGGGGTGAGTCTATAAAGTGAAAGCATGTTTATTAAGAAAGGAAAGGAATCAAGAATGGCTACTCCATAGACAGAACAGCCCTGAAGGCTGCTGGTTACCCATTTTTATGGTTATTTCTTGATTATATGCTAAACAAGGGGCAAATTATTCATGCCTCCCCTTTTTAGACCATATGGAGTACCTTCCTGACATTGCTTGGAATAAGATATCTCTAACATTTTTTTATTTTCAGTGGTTTATTTAGTTCCAATAGTGACACAATCCAAAAGCTTCTTTCAAGCCTAGGTGGGAATTTTCCACGTTTTTTACCATGTAAGCAAAAGATATTCCTAAAAAGGGTATAGAGGAGGCATCTTCATGATCCCCCAAAATTCACTCTTATAAATAGACTTAAGATACCAAAAGATGGCCAGGCACGGTGGCTCACGCCTGTAATCCCAGCACTCTGGGAGGCTGAGGTGGGCGGGTCACCTGAGGTCAGGAGTTTGAGACCAGACTGACCAACATGGAGAAACCCCGTCTCTAATAAACTACAAAATTAGCTGGGCATGGTGGCACATGCCTGTAATCCCAGCTACTCGGGAGGCTGAGGAGGGGTATCACTTGAACCTGGGAGGTGGTGGTTGTGGTGAGCCGAGGTCACGCCATTGCACTCCAGCCTGAGCAACGAGAGCAAAACTCCGTCTCAAAAAAAAATAAAAATAAAACATAAAAAATAAAAAAAAGATAGCAAAAGATGACAAAAGCCCTGTAGGAATGGGACCTTTTAAGACAAAACTCCCATAAGAGCCTGATACGTTCAGAGTGAAAAGTGAGCTTTTTAAAATATTATGTGTCTTGGACCCTCAGAAAATCAGATGAGGACCCGAAAAATCACATTTTCTGGATGGCAGAGACTAAGAGTATCCCCCCTTAGTCACAAAGTGAAGCTCTCAAGGACACGAAACAGGAAGAGTGGGAAACTTCATCTGGTTTTTGTTTCAGGGACCCACAGTAAAGTTTGTCTTAACAGACATTGGTCCGGTCAGAACCACAAAAGACTGACCAGGCTGCAGTGCCGTTTTCACAGCAGGCTTACAGGGGCTTACAAGAGTTCTAGGCTCGTATTCTACCCTATGGTACCCCCTTTTATTGTTACTGAAACCCTAGAGGTTTAGGCTAGGTCCCGCTTCTCACTGCACAGAAAGCTGCTCACTGAGACAGCCAGTATTGCTAGGCTTTAATTGGGTGCTGCAGCAGAGGAGATGGGAGATCAGTCTCAAATCTGTCTCCTCACTCACTAAAGATAGGAGTTTATACAGCAGAAATGTAACAACATGCAGGAAAACAGGAATTAGGAAGGGGTAGGAAAGGGACCTTGGTCAACAGGCAGCAGGTGGTGGGTCAGTCAATCATAAAGGGAGAGAGGTATGACATTTCATTATTCAGGTGTGGTGATCCGATGAGTTTCAATTCTTTGATTCTATCTGGGAGACCTGATGGCTGATTTCTTGAGAAAGGAACTCAGATAAGATGAATGTAACTTTCTCAAGTTTCAAGATTGGAAAGGTAAATTTCTATGTTTCTTCAAAAGAAACTGTAAACATCTATGAGATGGTGAACTGTAAAGTTCTGTGGAATAATTGGGTCAGTTTCATTCTGACAGAAGGACACAGAAAGAAGAAGCAAAGTGGCAACAAAAAAGGATATTAGAGGAAAAGGGATCAAATGATGTGAATACTCATAACACAAAATACCAGAGTTACAGCAGAGTCACCACAGTGCAAGACTAGTTACACAAATCCTTTTTTCCCATAATCAAAACTTTGCAGATGAGGTTGGACATGGTGGTTCACACCTGCAATCCCAGCACTTTGGGAGGCTGAGGCAGGAGAATCACTTGAGCCCAGGAGTTTGAGATCAGGCTTGGCAACATGTCAAAACTCCATCTCTACAAAAAATACTAAAAATGTTACCTAGGCATGGTGGTGCATGTCTGCAGTCCCAGCAACTTGGGGGTGCTGAGGTGGAAGGATCACTTGAGCCCTGGAGGTCGGGGCTGCAGTGAGCTGTGTTTGTGCCACTGCACTCCAGCCTGGGTGATGAAGTGAGATCCTATCTAAAACAAAAACAAAAACAAAAACAAAACAAAAAAAGAACCTTGGAGATGAGACAGTGATTTTTACCATCCACCCAGCTGGAGTCCACAGAGAGCCTGGCTGGTGAGAAATTCCTAGTTCTTGGCTGGCAGATCAGGTTCCTGGGTTCTCTTCACTGTGGGTTCCAGAAGAGAAGAATGGCTTTGTCCACTCTGCTTGCTGTGCCACACTGCAGGAGTCATAGGCCCTTGGCCCCCTAAAGGTTCACTGAAAAAAATCACTGGTGTGAAGCAGATGATGAGTAGGAAAGGCATGCACATTTATTTAACATGTGTACAAGGGAACCTTCAGAATGAAGACCTTAGCTAACCTTTCCTAGATTCAGGCTAGAGAAAGTCTGGCAGGGCTACTTTAAAATATGTCAAAGATATATATTTTGGCCAGCCTGGGCAACATAGTGAAACCCCATTTCTACCACAAATACAAAAAATTAGCCTGACATGGTGGCATGCACCTGTAGTCCAAACTACTGGGGAGGTTGATGTGGGAGAACCACCTGAGCCTGGGAAGTCAAGGCTGAAGTGAGCTGAGATGCACCACTGGACTCTGGCCTGGACAACTGTAGCCTCTTCTCTTTGAGAAGAGTCTGTCTCAAAAAAAAAAAAAAAATATATATATATATATATATATATATATATATATATATATATATATATATATATATATAATTTTTGGGGGGGTAAAATAATTTTAAAAATTTTTTGGGAGGGTAAAATATTGATTTATCTTAACCAGCCAGTGTTCCTAGGGTTGAAACTTGATTTTCTGCAGCTGCAGGGGTTTTAATCAACATGGAGATGTGGTAAGAATTGGTCAAATCTAACAGAAGATGGACTGAAACAAAAAAAACAGAAAAAGCAATAGCAAAATTTACATATTGCTGGGACCTCTGAGTATAAAGGAGAAGTTATAGCCAGTTGTCAGTAAACCTTGACCTTCAACTACCAAATCCCCAAATGAAATCCCAAACCACTTCCTTGCCTGGAGATGGAGCCCAAGCTGAAGACTGCTCTTTGTTGGCATGGAAGCAGCAAACTCACCTTCGTTATTGGAAGTGAGCAAACTCCTTTTCTAGAGGAGTTTCCTGGCAAAATAAACCTTGAATCTCAAACCAAAAATTTCAGGAGATCAGGGAACCTCAGGAGAGAGAGCAAGCTTCTGAACCTTTGCAATTTGCATAGTCAGAGGGAATCTCTTGTTGGAAGGAGAATTGCTGCAGGTCAAAGGAGCTAATCTCTTCTCCGTAATCCCTTCATGGTTACCAAAATTACAACCAAAATGAGTGACTGAGGCACTAAGTCTCAAACCACCAAGGTTTATTGAGCCAGCTTGAGGATGCACAGGGGAAAAACACGAGTCATAGAATCAGTGGCTGGTTTTTCCAAGGAGGTTCTTAAAAGATTTAGTATTTATTACATTTTCCTTAAAAAAAAGGGGTTGGGGGCAGCAGTGAGGCAAATGATTACATACTTGTAAGACTTTAGTTAGTGCCCAGGAAATCAACATTTTACGTAAGATAAGGTGAAGATTTGGAGAAATAGGAAATAGAAAAGGCTGAGTCTTGGGGAGGGATGAAGGAATGATTAGTTTCATCTTGTCCTTGTTCTGTGCCTGGGAAGTTGAGCTAGTAGTCTTTTGCAAAGACTGGTTTCTGTTTAGTCCTTATGGAAGAAAACCTAAGTACTGTTAGCGAGAGAGTAGGTATAATGAGGTGTGTTTGATCTCCTATCTTATCATGGCTGTGAACTCAGCTTTCAAGGTTTCTCTGGAGTCCCCTTGGCAAAGAGAGGATCCATTCAGTCAGTTGAAAGGCTTAGAATTATTATTATTATTTTTTTTTTGAGGTGGAGTCTCACTCTGTCACCCAGGCTGCAGTGCAGTGGCACGATCTCGGCTCACTGCAACCTCCGCCTCCTGGGTTTAAATGATTCTCCTGTTTCAGCCTCCCGAGTAGCTGGGATTACAGGCATGTGCCACCACGCATGGCTAATTTTTTTGTATTTTTAGTAGAGACAGCGTTTCACCGTGTTGACCAGGCTGGTCTCGAACTCCTGACCTCAAATGATCCGCCCACACTCAGCCTCCCAAAGTGCTGGGATTACAGGCATGAACCACCACGCCTGGCCGAATTTTTTTATTTCTCATTGGGAAACACTTTTACTGTCTTCTTTCTCAGGTCCATCCCCACTTTCTCCTCAAATACTCATGGTGAAATGTCTACCAGTCTTATTGGGAGGGGTGTGTGTGTTAATCTGTAAGGTATAACTCTTGTTAAAAGTGGAACTAAAATATCATTATTTCATGTTTTTTTAAAAAAATTAACTCTTAGGGCACGGTGGCTCACGTTGTAATCCCAGCACTTTGGGAGGCCGCGGCGCAGAACACCGGAGGTCAGGAGTTTGAGACAAGCCTGGCCAATATAGAGAAACCCCATCTCCACTAAAAATACAAAAATTAGCCGGGTGTGGCGGCAGGTGCCTGTAGTCCCAGCTACTTGGGAGGCTGAGGCACGAGAATCGCTTGAACCCGGGAGGCGGAGGTTGCAGTGAGCCAAGATCATGCTATTGCACTCCAGCCTGGGTGACAAGAGCAAAACTCTATCTCAAAAAATAAAATAAAATAAAATAAACTCTTAATCAAATATCCAGCCAGTATTTAAATTTCCACAATTATCTCATTTTTAAAATACATTTTATTTGCATTAAGATCTAAATAAGGTGCATACACTGTATCTCTTAATCTACACGTTTCCTACCATTATTTTTGCTTTTGTAGCGGTTTGTTTCTTCAAAATTTCTTCTTTTGTCTTGAAAAGCAAGTTTAAAGCTTTATGATGCATACAATTTTTGTAATTAGAAAATGTTTTAGTCTGGACATGGTGGCACATGCCTATAATACCAAGCACACTGAGAGGCCAATGAGGGCAGATTCCTTGAGGCCAGGAGTTGAAGACAAGCCTGGGCAACACAGCAACACCCATCTCTACAAAAAAAAATACAAAAATTAGCCAGACATGGTGGTGCATGTCTTGTGGTCCCAGCTACTTTGGAGGCTGAGGTGGGAAGATCACTTAAGCCTGGGATGTCGAGGCTACAGTGAGCTGAGATCATGCCACTGCTCTTGAGCCTGGGCAAGAGTGAGAGCCTGTCTCAAAAAAACAAAAACAAAAACAAACAAAAAAACAAACAGAAAAAAGTTTCAGAGGAAAAATAACCTATAAAGGAAATAAAATTCACCTATAATTTTATAAGTTTCTTAAACATTTTTAATATTGGCAAAATACTTCATTGTGTGACGTGCTGCAATTTAATGACTGCTATATTTTTGGACTCTTAAGTTGTGTCCAGTTTTCTCTTCTGGTTAATTGTGTATCAGGGATTATTGTGTCTATAAAGCATTATGCACATCTGATTATTTCTGTGGGAGGATAAACTCCTGGAAGTAGAATTAACAGTCACAGTGTATATATGTATATAAAAAAAATCTAAGGCTGCTGAAGCCTGTTGAGAAAATTCTTCATAAAGACTTGTATTTGGGCCAGGCATGGTGGCTTACACTTGTAATCCCAGTGCTTAAAGAAGGCCAAGGCAGGAGGATTGCTTGAGGACAGGAGTTTCAGACCAGTCTAGACAATATAGCAAGACCTCTATTGCTGCAAAAAGTAAAAAAAAAAAAAAAAAAAAAAATAGGCCACTGTGGTGGTGTGTGCCTGTAGTTCCATCTACTCTGGGTGCTGAGATAGGAGGATCCCTTGAGCCCAGGATTTTGAGGCTGCAGTGAGCTGTGATTGTGTCCACTGTACTCTAGGCCTAAGTTACAGAGTGAGACCCTGTTTCAAAAAAAAAAGAAAAAAACCAGACATATTCATAGTCAGGTATCTTAATCCATTTTCCATTGCTTATAAGAGAGTATCTGATAGTGGGTAATTTATAAAGAACCAATTTATTTCTTATAGTTCTGGAGGCTGGGAAGTACAAGGTCAAAGGGGTGCATCTGCCTACTTGCTGGTGGAGACTCTCTGTAGAGTGCTGAGAGGGGTGAGCATGCTAGCTCAGGTCCCTTTTCCTCTTATAAAGCTTCCAATCCGACTCCTGTGATAACCCATTAGTCCATGGATGGATTAATCCACTCATGGCGCAGGGCCATGAGCCAATCACCTCTTAAAGGCCCCACCTCTCAGTACTGCCACACTGGGGGTTAAGTTTTTGTTTGTTTGTTTGTTTGTTTTTGTTTTTGTTTCTGTTTTCTGAGATGGAGTCTTGCTCTGTCACCCAGGCTAAAGTGCAGTGGCACGATCTCGACTCACTGCAGCCTCTGCTATCTGGGTTCAAGTGATTCTCCTTCTTCAGCCTCCCAAGCAGCTGGGATAACAGGCACCTGCCACCATGGCCAGCTAGTTTTTGTATTTTTAGTAGAGATGGGATTTCACCATGTTGGCCAAGCTGTTCTCAAATTCCTGACCTCAAGTGATCCACCTGCCTCGGTTTAACATGAGTTTTAGAAGGAACAAAAATTAAAACCATAGTATCAGGAGTACAAGAAAATAGCACTTCTACCACAGTCTTGCAAATACCAGGTATTAAAAACAAAAACACAAACTTCCCAAGTTGACACATAGTCTGTTTGTTTCAGTTTATTATTAATAATGAATTTGGGAAATAATTTCTTCATATTCTCAGTAGTCAATATTTCTTCTATCGTGAATTATCTGTTTAAGGTATTTGCCCATTTCCTATTGAGAGTTATATTGGTCAGGGGTTCTAGCTGTCTGTTACTACGTAACAAATTACCCCAAAATATATTGGCTTAAAATGACAACTATTCTTATGCTTCTGTGGGTCAGGGAATTCGGGCAGGACATAGATGATCAGTTCTTTTGCTTCATGTGGTGTTCATTGGAATTTCTTGGTGATATTTATTGGTGGCTGGGGTGGGCTGGAGGGTCCAAGATAATCTCAGTCACATGCCTGGTGCCCTGTGTGGGGGAAGGCCAGGCCCAGCCAGGTTGCCTCTCCATCCCTGAGCAGTTTTAGGACCTTTCCTTATGGAGGAGAGCTGTTTCTTCTTCCTTCCAAAACCCAGCATCCCTTTATAGCTAACTCTGGCAGGCCCCAGATCCTCCTGAGGGCAGCTAGCAGAGGGCCACGAGCTCTCTGAGAAATGTCCAGTCATCCACTAACTATTCAGCATTCAGGAACAGAGGAGCCATTCTCTGAAGGTTGCAGAGATTGTCGAATGAGGGACTGGAGGAGAGGGAAACTTCTAGTCTCTTCTTCTCTTAAGCTTCTCCCTCTCCCACTGCCTGATAAATCCCTTCCTTGGTGGGAAACATGAGCTCTCACTTGCCCACCCTCCTCTGTGTGAAAGGGCAGGCAGCTGAGGTATGGTGGCAACTGTTGGGTGCCTGAGTGTCTGGAAGCCTGGTGCTGAATGCCAATGAGGCCTTTCCACGCTGGCTGGCAGTAGGATGGAGGCTTGGGTAGGCTGGTACTTGGCATTGCATAAAAAGAGCAACAGATAACACTGTCTTTGTTTGCCGGCCATGATGTCATCTCAACACAGAAAATGACCCAGACCAAGGATACACCCTGGGAACAACTCCAGTGTCCCCGTGTGATGTAGGAGAAGAGTAGGGGACTCTTGGGGGCATGAGCTGTACCACTAGGGGGCTGGCTGAGGCCAAGCCTAATGTGTGCCTTAGTAACTTAAGAAAGGATGGCCGTGGATCAAATCTGAGGCAGAGAATCTCACTCAAAGAAAGACAAAAACCTTAAAGTTACTACATATAAAAATAAGCTAATGAGCACTACTGAATTATGAGAGAATTTACCACTGCTAGACCCGTGGCATTTAGAAATGCTAAAGGGAGTTCTTCAATCTGAAAGAAAAAACATTAATGTGAAAAGAGAAAGCAATTGAAGGTATAAAACCCACAGGTACAATTAAGTACATGGACAAACCCAGAATATTTTAATGCTATAAGTATGGTGTGCGGTCCACTCATCACTCTCATATGAAACCCAAAAGACTATCAAAAAATAATAATAGCAATAGCAACTAGTTAAGAGGTGAAATAAAATATATAAATTGAGACAATTAAAAGTCAAAATGTGTGGGAGGGGATGGAGTTAAAGTGTAAACTTTTTTTTGTTTTTTGTTTCTTTGTGATCTAAGTTGTCATCTCTTTAAAATAACTTGTTCTATCTCTATGAATTTTTTTTTTTTTTTTTTTTTTTGAGACGGAGTCTTGCTCTGTCACCCAGGCTGGAGTGCAATGGCATTATCTTGGCTCACTGCATCCTCTGCCTCCCAGGCTCAAGCGATTCTCCTGCCTCAGCCTCCCGAGCAGCTGGGATTACAGGCACCTGCCATCATGCCCGGCTAATTTTCATATTTTTAGTAGCGATGAGGTTTCACCATGTGGGCCAGGCTGGTCTTCGACTCTTGACCCCGTGATCCACCCACTTCAGCCTCCCAAAGTGCTGGGACTACAGGCAAGAGCCACCACACCTGGCCTCTAAGATGTTTTTTGTAAGTTTCATGGTAATCACAACACAAAAACCTATAATAAATTCACCAGAAATAAACAGCAATGAATTAAAACATATTTCCAGAGGAAATACCTTAACCACAAAGGAAGACAGTGAGAAAAGAAGAGAGGGGTTACAAAACAACCAGAAAACAACCAACATAATGGCAGTAGTATGTTCTTACTTGTCAGTAATGAAACAACATAAATGGACTCAGTTCTCCAATTAAAAGGCATAGAGAGGCTGAATGGATAAAGAAACAAGACCCATATATGCTGCCAACAAGAAACCCACTTTACCTATAAAGACACACATGGACTGAAAGTGTAGGCATGGAAAAAGATATTCCATGCAATTGGAAACCAAAAAACAGCAGGAGTAGCTCCACTTATATCAGATAAAATAGACTACAAATCAAAGACTAAAATGAAACAAAGAAGGTCCCTATGTAATGATAAAAGGATCAATTTGGCGAGAAGATATGAAATAACAATTATAAACGTATATGCAACCAACACTGCAGCCCTCAAGTATATAAAGCAAACATGAATAGATTTAAAGGGAAAGACAGACTGAAATACAATAATAGTAGAAGACTTTTAATGTACAGATTATTCAGATAGAAAATCAAAAAGGAAACATCAGAGTTAAACTACACACTACATCTAATAGGCCTAACTCACAATAGGAGAACATTTCACCCAACTGTTGCAGAATACACATTTTCATCAGTACATAGAACATTCTCCAGAATAGACCATATCTTAGGCCACAAAACAAGTCTGAACACATTCAAAAAAACAGAAATCATATCAAGTATCTTTTCTGACCAAGATGGAAGAAAACTAGACATCAATAACAAGAGGAACTCTGGAAATTACACAAACACATGGAAATTAATACAGGCTGGGCATGGTAGCTCATGCCTGTAATCCCAGCACTTTGGGAGGCCGAGGGGGACAGATTGTCTGAAGTCAGGAGTTCGAGACCAGCCTAGCCAACATGGTGAAACCCCATATCTATTAAAAATACAAAAATTAGCTGGGCGTGGCAGTGGACAAAGGCACTGGCTACTGATTGTAGGATTAGGGATCCTGACGATGAAGAAGCAGGGAAGCCTGAAGAATCCTTGGCAGAGGCCAGCACAGCTGGGACCTGGATTTTAGCTCTAGGTTTTATCCCTAGTCTCTCGTTGGCCCTAGAGAACCTAATTTCTAGGGTTTAAAACTTGAGCCTGGTTGGCATGGAGACCTGGGCTGAGGGAACCCTTGGTGTCTCTGGTATGTGGTGAAGTAGCTGTTAGAGATGGGACCCATGAATGTCAGAATGGTTATCCTTGGATTCTAGTTGGTCTGTGCATTTTTTTCGGGGGGGGTGGGGACTATGGGTACATGCTACCATGTCTGGCTAGTTTTTTTTTTGTTTTTGTCTTTGTTTTTAGAGACGAGGTCTTGCTGTGTTGCCCAGGCTGGTCTTGAACTCCTGGGTTCATACAATCCTTCTGCTTTGGCCTCCCAACAGGGCTAGGATTATAGGTGTGAGCCACACAACACCCAGCCTGGCCTGTGCATCTTGATAGAGCAGCAGCAAATCTGTGCACAGCAAGTTGGTAGTGAGATATCACCTGCTGGGACACTGAAGACTTCTTGCTCAAGCTGAAGCCAGCAGCTGATGAGCTCTGAGTGTGAGTGCTTGATGTTTTCCATCTGAACAGGGAGCAATCTGCCCTTGGCATGGAGTTTCTTGTGAGGGACAACTGCTTGGGAGACTGAGATCTCCCAAAAGCTGGTCTTGATGGCACTGATCTCAAGTGACCCTAAGTATTCAAATCACCTACACAAATTCTGCTATTGAGTAAGTTTGAAGCCCTTGCATACAACTGCTCCTGATTCTGAGGATACAATTACTCCATCCCAGCTGCAATGCTATAACCATAGTGCGTTTTGGATTAAAATGGCAACAGGCTGGATCAAGACTTTTTGGGAGGCCTGGAACTTTGTTCTGAAGCTTCAGTTCATATTGGCCAAAGAGGATTAGGAGTTCTATAATTTTCTTTGTCAGATTTTCCACACCTTGTCATGAGTGGGAGTCCCCACCATTAGGTGGCCTTCATAAGCTGGGTTCAGAAAGTTGTTCTCCAAAATTAGCAACCTGAATCTTGTAGGATATACATTTTTGTAGGCTTGTGGACTGCCTCCTGGATTTGTGCCTTCTGTTTGAATCTTCAGATCTTCCCCCTGTACAGAATAGCATCCCCATACTTGGCTTCCTTCTCCATCTTGAAAACAGAGGTTAATGCATCCATTCCAAGAACTCAAGAATTCTCACTGCATTGTGAGAGTCCCAGAAGCTGTCTTTTCTTTTTTTTTTTTTTTTGAGACGGAGTCTTACTCTGTCACCCAGGTAGTGCATTGGTATGATTTCAGCTCACTGCAACCTCCCCTTCCCGGGTTCAAGTGATTCTCCTGCCTCAGCCTCCTGAGTAGCTGGGATTACAGGCATGCACCACTGTGCCTGGCTGATTTTATTTTATTTATTTATTTTTTGAGACGCAGTCTCACTCTATCGCCCAGGCTAGAGCGCAGTGGTGTCATCCTGGCTCACTGCAACTTCCACCTCCCGGGTTCAAGCGATTCTCCTACCTCAGCCTCCCAAGTAGCTGGAATTATAGGCGTGAGCCACTGCACCCGGCCTAATTTTTGTATTTTTAGTAGAGACAGGGTTTCACCATGTTGGTCAGGATGGTCTCGAACTCCTGATCTCAAGTGACTCACCTGCCTCGGCCTCCCAAAGTACTGGGATTACAGGCGTGAGCCACCATGCCCGCCTCTAGAAGCTGTCTTCTTTTGTGTCTTTCACAATTGTCCAAAGACCAGCCCTGCCAGGGGCCTGTTTGTGTTTCTTGTGGTTGCAGTCCTTTAAGGCCTCTAGCATGAAGTGGAGGCACAGGAGGGACGGCGGGGCTCTAGTTCTCCTGAGCTCAGACATGGGGTTGGGGTGAGGACCAGCACCAGCAGCACTAATGATGTGAGCAGCGATGACGCTTCCAGGCCCCACACCTGTGACCTTGCTACCTCTGGTGCTTCTCCCTGATGTGTTCTTCCTTGACCACCCCCACCAAGCCCTCACCTAGTGAGAAAGCAGGTGATATCACATGGCATAGAGAGATGGGAGTAGTGACTTGAAGAGCTACTCTTTGAGGTTATGTTTTTTGCAAACGTGTGTGTGTGTTTTTGTTTTTTTGTTTGTTTGTGTTTTGCAACACAGTTTCACTCTGTTGCCCAGGCTAGAGTGTAGCAGTGTGATCTCGGCTCACTGCAATCTCCGCCTCCCAGGTTCAAGCAATTCTCATGCCTCAGCCTCCCAAGTAGCTGGGATTACAGGTGTGCCACCAGGCTCCGCTAAGTTTTTGTATTTTTAGTAGAGACAAGATTTTGCCATGTTCGCCAGACTGGTCTTGAACTCCTGACCTCAGGTGATCTACCTGCCTCGGCCTCCCAAAGTGCTGGGATTACAGGCGTGAACCACGGTGCCTGGCCCCAGCAAATGTTATACTAACTTATTGTCATATCTCCAACTTAACATGGTTTTGCATGGATAATTTCAACATGGCCAATGTTTTCAACACTTTCTCTAGCACTACTTGGAGAAGCAACTTACCTCCTTCACTGGCACTGGCTTACTGCAGTTGTGCTTCTGAGTTTTGGGTTGCATGGCAGGATCTTGTTGGAGATTGGGGAAAGTAAGGGAATATGTAATTTGAACAAACAACATCGCTATTCTTAAATTCTCTATCCCAGAATCATTGGCTATAAACAGTAGGAAAGAAAGCAAGTTCAAGGGTATAAAAAGACTTCTTTACTGCTTCCTGAATATTACAGAATGAGCTTTCAAAGACTCATGTAAGACCACCAGAAAAACCTGATTATTAAAAAAAAAAAAAAAAAAAAAAGAAGCTAACTTTATTAGAAACTTACTAAGCAAGGGAGCCACTGGCTGAATAATTCCACCCAATAGACTCCCCCAGGGTCTTGAGCTACGAGGTTTTATGTTTGGATGGTTAGTCATAGGGTGATCTTAGAGCAGAAGTTTATAATTGAGGTTTACATTATGGTTGGTCAGAATTTGTAAACTAGGAGAGGTGCTAACGTTGTTTGTATTTGAACAGTTTATGAGCTTATCTTTCTAAAACATGACTCCACCGAACAAACTGACACTCAAGGTGTTTGAATTTGAACCAATCTATCTGGATTTTAAGTCTGTGGTCTCTATATAATTAATCTGCTTGACAAGTTATAATTTCTTCACTTTTCTATTTCTGAGACATAATTTTTGAATCATATTTCAACCACATCTATGGAAGAGAAAACAACTTTGACTTACAGCACTGGATGGAATATTCATGGTTGGAAGTCACTTCAGTTTCAGTAGATATTAGGTCTTCTTGTTTTTGTCAATAAGATCATTGATAAAATAGCAGCTGTGTGGCAACATTTATGATTCTGTAGAAGTACATGTTTGATCACTGCAACACTGAAGAACTGTTTGGAGTCTACTTCTCAGCCAGGAACCAAATTTGCACAATTTAAGCCAAGAAAGCAGATACTATCTGCTCTGTTTGAAGAGCCCAAAGAACTGGATGTGGGAATATCGACCAGATTACTGAATTTTCTTTTTTTTCTGTTTTTTTTTTGAGACAGAGTCTCAATCTGTTGCCCAGGCTGGAGTGCAATGGTGTGATCTAGGCTCACTGCAAACTTCACCTCCCAGGTTCAAGCGATTCTCCTGCCTCAGCCTCCCAAGGAGCTGGGGCTGCAGTCGTGCACTACACCATCTCTACTTAAAAACAATACAAAATTAGCCAGGTGTTATCTCCTAACTTTTGTATTTTTTTAGTAGAGATGGGGTTCCACTATATTGGACAGGCTGGTCTTGAACGCCTGACCTCAGGTGATTGCCCACCAGGGCCTCCCAAAGTGCTGGAATTACAGGCATGAGCCACCACACCCAGCCCAAATTGCTGAATTTTCTAATGCCTTTATTTCCCAGATCTCTATAATATTAAAGATCATAGAAAAGACTGTAGGATGGAAGTTTAACATTCTCTAAGAAGGTGCCTGTTCTGCCTTGAGAAGGCAGTAGTATGTCTAGAATGACTCTTTTTAACCCACTGTCAATCCAGTCCTGTGAATTTCTTAGGCAAGGAGACCTCTGGCTTTAATCACACTCCCTAGTTCTCTGTCAGTCTCTGAACCAAGACACGTAGGGTTTTTTTGAGCCACTTTTTGGGCCTTCTGTAAAGTGTGAAATAGGTATGCCTGAAGACAGAATAAAGCAGCACGGAATTGTTCCTCAAAGGTTAAGATTTAGGGTTTTAAATTGAAGCTCACATTTTCTTTTCTTTTCTTTTTCTTTTTTTTTTTTTGAGACAGTGTCTTGCTCTGTTGCCTAGGCTGGAGTGCAGGGACATGATCAGAGCTCACTGCAGCCTTAAACTCCCAGGCTCAAGGGATCCTCCTGCCTCAGTCTCCCCAGCAGTTGGGACTACATGTATGTGCCACTATGGCCAGCTAATTTTTAAATTTTTTGTAGAGATGGGATCTCATTATATTGCCCAGGCTGGTCTTGAACTCCTGGCCTCAAGCAATCCTCCTGTCTTGGCCTCCCAGAGTGCAGGGAATATAGGCACGAGTCACCATGCCTGGATTCTTTATCTTGAATTAAGAGATTTGAAGACTTTTTTTTTTTTTTTTTTTTTAATGAGGGGAAATCAATGGGCCAAAGGGACCCAGAGAAATATCAGGAACTTTCCTGATAGTTGGCATCAGCTTATTGGGTTGGCACATCTCTGTCTGATTTGTGGGCAGTAGCCAATAAGCTTTTGTAGCATAAATCCACTATCAGTCACTGGAGGCCACCCAAAGTTCCATTGTTTGCCAAAATACCCCATGATGTTGTGTAATTGTCCTACAGCTTTGACACAAGTCAATACAAGTCTATTCCAGCACCAGACAGTGAAATGCAGACATCAGCACATAGTTCCATAGTCAAGGAGACTAAGCGTAAGTAGAAACCTTCCTTAAAGCATCTGTGTAAAAGCAGAATCTTTTACTTGTACAGTTAGTCCCATATCAGTTGGTTGCTTACAAGCTCTATTAGTAAGTTTGGTTGAAGTGCTAATTTCTATGAAAGGATACCCAAGTTTCATTTTAACGGAGACAGAAAATTCCCACTTTTTTGCATGACGTTATAAAGAGTACTTGGTTTTTGGCCATCTGGCTTGTTATAGTATTTGCCGTTTATACAACCAACTGATTCACTACAAGGGATCAGTACTAATGGAAACTGGGAAATGCTCAAAGGGATGTTGTATCAGTCCATTCTCTCCCTGCTGTAAAGCAATTTCTGAGACTGGGTAACTTACAAATAAAAGAGGTTTAATTGGCTCACAGTTCCACAGGCTGTTCAGGAAGCATGGCTGGGGAGGCCTCAGGAAATTTACAATCGTGGCGGAAGGCAAAGGGGAAGCAGGTACAACTTACATGGCTAGAGTAGAAGGAAGAAAGAAAGGGAGGAGAGGCCGCACACTTTTAAACAGCCAGATCTCATGAGAACTCTATCACGAGACAACACTGGGGGGATGGCGCTAACCCATTCATGGGAACCCGCCCCCATGATCCAATCAGTCCCACGAGGACCCACCTCCAGCACTGGGAGGATTATTGACATGAGATTTGGGTGGGGACATAGATCCAAAACATATCAAATGTGGACATAATTCCAATGGTTGGTTAAATTATGTTTAAGCCATGGAGTCACGAGGGGTAGTACAAAGGCAGTATTAGGAACAGGGGCCCACATGGGTGACATAGTTAGGAGATAACAAGTAGCTATTTGCAATCCAGAACCTTAAACCAGCAGAGAAAGGGAAAAAAAAAAAACAAAAAAAAACAAAGGTAAATAAGGAACGAAAGTAACTAAAAACAAAGGTATGTAAGGAACAAAAACGTGAAGACACGTACAGCAGTCAGTTGTTCTAGGCATTTGAGATCTCGTTCTAATGTCTCGGGAGGTGAATCAGTTTTCTCAGAAATGTTGACTATTTTCAGTGAGCAGCAAAAACTGTGCAGCCGGAGGGCCCTATGTTAAAGGAGGCTCCAGGGGTAAGGCGACAGAGGGCTTCAGGCACGCGGCTGCTGCTGCCACTGCTGCTCTGAGACAAGGTGGATGAGTCTGCTGCCGGATCAAGAAAAAGGTTGTCATAGCTTTTTGCTTCTAGGCTCCAGAGAACTGGGTAAAAATTGGAAGCCCTTCTGTATGAGTGAGCAGAGAGGTTCATAGTTAGCTAAGGCCAGAGTGGGAAGTTGTTGGAGGGTTAATTTCAGTCACAGGATATCTGCTTATGTTCGGGTTTCTGTTTCACTTTCCTAGGGCTGCCATAACACATGATCCGGGCGGGCGTGGTGGCTCATGCCTGTAATCCCAGCACTCTGGGAGGCCAAGGCAGGTGGATCACTTGAGGTCTGGAGTTTGAGACCAGCCTGGCCAACATGGTGAAACCCCGTCTTTACAAAAATACAAAACTTAGCAGGGTGTGGTGGTATGTGTCCGTAATCCCAGCTGCTCCTGAGCTTGAACCCGGGAGGCAGAGGTTTCAGTGAGCCGAGATCGCATCACTGCACTCCAGCCTGGGCAACAGAGCGAGACTTCGTCTCAAAAAACAAAACAAAATGAAACAGATAACCCCAAACTTGGTGACTTACAACGGAGATTTACTCTCATAGTTCTGGAGGCCAGAATTCTGAAATCAAGCTGTCAGTATAGCTGCATTCCCTCCAAAGTCTCTAGAGAGAAATCTTTCCTTGACTCTTCCAGCTTTTGTGGGCTGCAGGCTTTCCTTGGCTTGGGGCTACGGCCACATCCCTCTAATCAACCTGTCTTCATATGCCTGCCTTGTCTCTCTGTTTTGTAAAAAGACACTTGTCATTGATTTAGGGCCCACCCAGATAATCCAGGATGAGCTCAGCTTGAAATCCTTAATTACATTTGCAAAAATCTTTCTTCCAAAGAAAATATTCATAGATTCTGACACATGGACATATCTTCTTGGCAGCCAGCCTTCAATCTATTACTGTTCCCAAAAATGGGAATTCTGGCATAGATGACTGAAAGTTATAGAATTGTGGTGATTACAGAAAAGTTAGGGACTGACTTTCTGCAATAGCTAGTGTGACCCTAAATCTCCTGTGTTGTCTTTTAGTGTCAGGACTGGGCAGTTCCGAATGGTAAATCCTTGTGAGGGATGGACTTCCTGGGATAGTCCATATCCTAAGAAATGTACCTTGTTCTGCCAAAATTATACTTCACAGGGTATAGACACCTTCTCACCTATATTGGGATTATGGAGATCCGAGTAAGTAGCCCAGCTAATGGAAGGCATGGATTCTGACCCCGTGTCATGAACAACTCCTCTTGTACCTCCTTGTGCCTCCGTGTGTCCCACCAGATGCTGCTTTGTTTGCAGCCAAAGTGCCCAGTCCTGTTTATCTGAGACTAACACCTCGTACACATTATAAGTGGTATTGGGACCTGCGTGTACAGAGACGTCAATTCTCGGAATTGTTGCAGCCTGAAGGTGCCTTATGGCTGCAGGCCGGCATGGTTGCTCTGGGCTGTACAGCAGAGCTAAGTTCTGCATTCCAGTGCTGCAACTCGAGGGGCTGAATGTTCCAGAAAGTTTCCTAATGCCCCCACTCCTGGGTCTACCCTTTCCATGAGCTGTGTATTGGGTCATGCCAAGACACATCCCTCTTTTGATCCTAACAGAGCCAAGCAATGGTTTGCAGGGCTAAGAGGTCGGGCTCTCTGAAAGCAAAACTGGATGGTGATGGGTCAGTAGGGGGCCTGAGACAGGTGACAGTTGAATTAAAACTATTTTGGGAGAATCCCAAAGGGAGGAAAACATGTGCCAAGTAATTTTCTTGGATGTGCACCCATCACCCACTGCAAAATGCAGATGTTTGCTTTATCTTAAGATGCAATGAAATTATTTACACACTAAGTGCTTCTCAGGACATACATCCCCTTTCTTAAGAGAAACTGAAACTTAAGAATTAGAGAAAAAAGATGTCCTGTAATTAGACTTCCAGGCATGGGCAGGCAATCTCTGTGTGGTTCCTAGTATGCCCTCAAATGAGAGAGAATGTTTATGAAGCTCCTACTATGCCGTAAGCCATTTATTAGAATGTTTTATCTAATTGTTACATAACCCGTTTGCTAAAAGTGTCTGCATTTTTGTTTTATCCAAAGTCACAGTTAATATGTAAAATATATGGCATCTCCCCATGAAATGTGTACCCACAAAACAAAGGAATTGTCAAAGGTGTGTCAAGGTATAGACGGGCAATTGGATTCCTTCATTCGTCTTCTTCACTGTAACCCACGTGTTTGATCTGAGTGTGTTTGATTAGCGACTCTGAGATTAGCAGAGAGCCACCATCTCATCATGACTCTGCTTTACTCAAGCAGATCTGGCTGAACTGCCTGTGCCCTGCCACCGAGTCCACTTTCTCTATCAAAGTCAAGTTAATAGCTGGGCACCTGCTGGGTGTGGTTCCCTTTATGCCCCAACCAATCTTTCTTTCTTTCCAAAGAGTATTTGAAACTTCACTTTACAGACATAGAGCTATTCAGGTTTTCCATTTCTTCTTCAGTGAGCTTAGTGTTTTTCTAAATATTAATAAATGTGTACATTTTATGTAAGTTGTTAATTCCAATGATTTGAGGTTGTTAGTAAAATGCTCTTTTTTTTTTTAGACAGTCTTACTCTGTTGCCCAGGCTGGAGTGCAGTGGCATGATCTCGGTTCACTGCAATCTCCACCTGGGTTCAAGCGATTCTCCTGCCTCAGCCTCCAGAGTAGCTGGGATTACAGGTGTCTGCCACAATGTCTGGCTAGTTTTTGTATTTCTAGTAGAGATGGGGTTTCACCCTGTTGGCCCGCTGGGCTTGAACTCCTGACCTCAGGTGATCCACCTGCCTCGGCTTCCCAAAGAGCTGGGATTTTAGGTGTGAGCCACTGTGCCCAACCCCTTATTATCTTCTTATTAATCATAATGATGCTACTTCTCATTCCTGACATTGGTAATCTGTGTCTTTCATTTTTTTTTTCTTTTTCTGATCTCTCTGGCTAGAGGTTTAGCACTTTTTGTTTTTCCTCAAGGAACCGGCTTTTGGCTTCATTGATTTTTTTTTTTACCTTTATTGCTCTCTTCTGATTATACTAATTTTTGTTCTGATCTTTATTTCCTTTCATCTGCTCATTTGGGGTTTCATTTGCTCTTATTCTAGTTTCTTACCATGGAAGCTGAGGTCATTGTTTGAGACAGTTCTTTTCTAGTGTAGGCATTACGTAGTATACATTTCCCTCGAAGTACCGCTTTAGTGCCATCCCACAAACATTGATATGTTGTTTTCAGTTTCATTCAGTTCAAAATACTTTTGAATTTAACTTTCAATATCTTTAAAAAATTTTGTTGTTGTTGTTTTCTTAACTTTTGATATCTTTTCGACTAAGGGTGTTTGAAAGTGTATTTTGTTGGTTTCCAACTATTTGGGGATTTTCTAGCCATCTTACTATTGATTTCTAACTTAATTCCAGTGTGGTCGGAGAATATACTTTGTGTGACTCAACTCCTTAGTTTTAAAAGCTGGGAGAGATATTAAAGCATGTTTTTATGCAATGGTAATCTGAGAGGTGAATTTGGTGAAGGAAAGAAAGGGAATAATTACAAGAACAAAATGTTTGGGAGGGCAATAATGGACGAACCAGGACTCTGGTGGGGGTGCTGCCTGGGAAGCAGTGTGCCTCTTCTTGTAACGGAAAGGGGGGCAGGGTGTGCTGTCTGGTTGCAGGTATGTTGAACGACTCTCCTCAGGGGCATCTATTTCTTTTTTAGGGAACAGATTTGAGGACATCCTCCAGCACGATCAGTCTGGGAGATATGCGGAAAGAATAATCATCTTACAGAGTAGGAGAGTGAATTTACTAGGGGAAAAGACAACACTGGCTAGGAGAATTGCTTGTCTGTTTGGGATTGGGGTGGGAACATAAAAGAGTACAGTCAGCCTCTTGTTTCCTTTCTCCCTAGCAACATCATCTGTTAAGAGCTGCTAGAGCAGGCTGGCATGGTTATTAAGCATGGGGATGGGTGTTTTGCCAGACTCACACAACAGAGTGAAGGGTGCTTGCAAGGCAAGACTCGTAGCATTGAACTATGGCCCTGTTCATTCTTTGAGATATTTTGCATCTCTTTCTTAATTGTAGGTAACAGAGGTGCAAGTGCTGTCCTGTCTAGTGGTGACTGAATTGACGTCCTCCTCCCTGTAAAAACACCAGTTTTGTCGTCATTTGCAATTCAGCTCAACATTTGTTGATTCCATATAATCTGTTAGCTTTTCCTTTTAGCTTTTCCTTTGAACCAGTTATAACATTTCCCTGGTTCCCTTATGAGTAAAATACATTTTTTTGACTATTATTTTTACATCTGTATGACAGTCATGATTTTACCTTTTTCTGAAAATTGTATTTTAGCACCATGTACCTATCACCTGGTATAAGAAAGAAATCCTTAGCAATAAAGACGGAACCACGTATGTCCTCCTCCCCTCACCCTCAGAGGTAAGCAGGTACTTGAATTTGGAACAATGCTTTCTCTAAATCTCTTAAAGAAGTTAGGTGTTATTTTTAAGGTATTAAGGGAAAAATATCTTTGCAATACAGGTACAAATTTCTAAACTAGCACTTGAGAATACCAGTTTTGCTGCAGACGTGATTGTTTTCTGGTGTCTGTGTACAAAAACTAGGAAGAAATGAACAGCCCTACTGAAAGGTGAAACTTGTCAAAGTAAACCTCACTTTTAACCTAAGGGACTAGGCTGGGTGCAGTGGCTCATGTCTGTAATCCCAGTACTTTGGGAGGCCGAGGCGGGTGGATCACTTGAGGCCAGAAGTTCGAGATCAGCTTGGCCAACATGGCGAAACCCTGTCTCTACTAAAAATACAAAAGTTAGCCATGCATGGTGGCGGGCGCCTGTAATCCCAGCTACTCAGGAGGCTGA
The DNA here is from genome assembly GCF_000001405.40 of Homo sapiens. Classification (NCBI taxonomy): domain Eukaryota; kingdom Metazoa; phylum Chordata; class Mammalia; order Primates; family Hominidae; genus Homo; species Homo sapiens. The sequence continues at coordinate 36,074,440 of NC_000021.9, read as the reverse complement.
GGCAGGAGAATCACTTGAACCCAGGAGGCAGAGGTTGCACTGAACCAAGATTGAGACTCTGTCTCAATAAACAAACAAACAAACAAACAAATAAATAAATAAATAAATAAAATAAGGGACTCTTCCGAAGCAGTTTGGAGAATTAAAAAATAAATAGATAAAAATAAAATAAGGGGCCTCTCCTTCTTTTCACGGGTGATCGCTTTTTGTTTCTGTAAGCCTTAATTCTCACTGGTGAAGTGTGAGAGATCACAACACTGTGATTCTGTGGAAGAAACAGAATGGCCTGGGCATTTACTGGGTGTTAGACAGTAAACACACACTTCTCATTACCAGCAGGGACAGCGTCAGGCCCATTTACAGGAACTAATGACAGCAGGGGCTGTTCTCAACACTATTTTTTTTTTTTTTTTTGAGATGAAGTCTCACTCTGTCGCCCAGGCTGGAGTGCAGTAGTGCAATCTTGGCTCACTGCAACCTCCACCCCCTGGGTTCAAGCGATTCTCCTGCCTCAGCCTCCTGAGTAGCTGGGATTACAGGCGCCCACCATCACACCCAGCTAATTTGTTCTCAACACTTTATCTCAATACATATAATCCTATGACTGTCATCCCAATTTGACAGTTGAGGAAACAGAGACAAAGCCAGATACAGTATTCTGCCTGAGGTCAGGAATTCAGTGGGCAGAGCCAGAAGTTTCCACTGCCAACCCCCAGGTTTTGAAAGCTTTCAACAAACAGAAAAGTTGTTTTTTTTTTGCCTTACCTGTTCATCAGTCTTTGTATACTTTGCTGAAACACATGTTGTACACCTGGGGCATATGTTGTACACCTCATGACACTTCATCCCTACATAAATAACACATTCCTATGGAGATCTGATAGGTCCCTCATCAGCTCGGTGTTTCACACAAGTGCACACTCACGTTTCACACATAGCAACTGGTTGTTTTTCCCCAATGACTTTGGCTTTTTTAAAGAGACCAGGTCAGCTGCCTTTGCCGTTGTGGTACTATTTGTTTTCCTAGAGGCTGGGAAGGGCCAGAGCCAGCTATGCTCACAGGCTTACATGCTGTCAGCTTTTGTTACATAATGTGGATTTGGGGAGTTCCAATGCATTGTTTGACCTACAACATTGAAAATATTGACTAACTGGCTCTTTCTTTACTTTCTGGGTTTGCTCACCCCCAAGTTGTACTGTCCCTTCCCTTGACCTTTTAGGTTGATTGTACTTGAGACAAAGCTTATTTAGCATCTAAACAATCTGTACAAATGGACACTTATAAAGAACCATTTATTCATCTGTTGATTTTCATTCATTATTTTCATCAATTACAATTTTTCCTCTCCTGCATCAGAGGAAATCACAAAAGACCTGACAGATTTACGTAGTCAACTGAGTGCGTAGGTTGCTCAATTAGTAGTACATTAGTGAGTGCTAATTGATAAGAGATCATTTTTTTTCTTATATAAGGATATTTATGACATTGTAAATGCCCTTTGGACCAACTCAGGACAAGGTACAAAATGGGGCCCATGGATGGAGCTGTGAGCCCAGCTCACCACTGTTCAACTCTCTTCTCTGAAACAAATTGTCCATGGGGACCCTCAGCATCTGGGGGCAAAAGGGCCAAGTACACAGGGGTCTCTGCACCTTCTTCTGGGCTCTTGGTGGCCTTGGGTCCCGCCATGTCAGTTCTCACCCACCCTGGGCAGCAGGCATTCAGGAGGATCTTGTCCCCTTTCCTCTGCTCACTCAGTTTCCTGGCGTGGATCCTGGACAGAACGGTGACGCCAATCTTCGTCACCCCGTATGCGCTGCTGGGCCAGCCCTCCTTCTGGTGCACTCCCTTCTTTGTATCCTCCACAAACTTGTTCATGAGCCCCACCAGCTCCTCCTCAGTGATGGTCTCACTGCGGAACTTCTGCTGCAGCTCTGGGCTGCAGCTTTTAAGGGCTCTGACGCTCATGATGCTAGATACGTTCACCACTCTCCCTAAGATACACCACAAAGCATTATGTAGAAAGGTGTGCAACAATCCCGTAGAGAGGTGAATGCCAAATTTGCAGGGATTTTGGAGCAGAAAATTTTCATATGAGAGACAGTTACTGGTATGAGTTCTAAGAGGAATACGCATAGAAAGTGTGGTGGTAGTTGCATGAAGAAGTTCATTCCTGCCTTCGAATTTTGGCTGAGTAGAGTCAGGTGAGATTTGGAAGAGCTGCCCTTTGAGGTCCTGGTGAACCAGAGCCTTAGAAGTAGCACAACTTAACAGGACGACAGGACAGGGAAACAGGATAAAAGCTGAGAGTAAGCTGTACATGCAAGTACCCAACTCGAAGCCACACATTTAAATTTTTCTAAAAGTGGCTGCTTAATTGCTGTGTTATTTAATGGGTGGGTTCATCTCCTGTCCCATTACTTAGGGTAACTATCACAGCAGTTTACAACCAAAGACATGTGATAGTCATGTCCAGCACCTTCAGCACGTTGAAGGGGAGTTAAAATGGGCCCAGAGTTAAGCAGCGGCAGATTATGGACATCTCTGTGAACCATGCTAAGGGCTTGGACTTTCCTCCTGAAGGATTTTGGGAGAGGCATGACCATGCAGACAGTACGCAGGATGCTGGGAAAGGAAAAGAGGAAAAGACTCAAGACCAGAGGTGCCTTGTGAGGGTTTGCAATTGTCCAGAGGGACAGGTGAGGGCCTGCTGTAGAGCTGCAATGAGACGGATTCAGGAGGAACTCAGTGGGCACAACTCCTAGGACCTAGTAAATGATTATGAGGGGTGGGGCATGGTGACCTGCAGGATCCTGGTGGGTGGGTGGTGGGGTCTGTGTCCCAAACGACTTAGGGAAAAGGATAGGGATCCTCTGGAAATATCTTAGATTGTGGGGAAAGGCATCAGGAAGAGATGGAAAGGCAGCAAGACAACCATGTGGTTGGGAGCTTAAGGAGTGTTTCAGACAGGTGACAGGTATTAGAAGGGCCTAATGAACTGGTGGTAGTAAAGCCTCCACCAGCCTGAATAAGATCTCTCTGAAAGAGCAGAGAAAGGGTACAGGATGGACTCCCACGCAGAGGGGAATGGAGCAAATAAAGAGCATCTCTCAGGAGACGTTTGAGCTAAGACCTGAAGGATGAGAGTCAGCCAGGTGTGCAAAGACCAGTGCGACAGGGAGGACGAATGGCCATGGGAGTGGGAGAAGTGAGGACAAAGTCCTGAGGCAAAATGGCACATATCAGCTGGCAGGAGAAAAAGCACAGAGGTCAGTGCACGTGCAGCATGGAGAGGAAGCAGGAGCCTGCAGGAGAAATCCCAGGCAAGCAGGGGCCAAATCAAGCCCCAAAGAGAAGGTGCGCTGTTTCCCATCAGACTCACCTTGGGGTTTTATTAGAGGGAGTAATTCTGTGCACACATCTCGGGTACCAAAGAAATTTGTTTTCATCGTCACTTCAGCTTGAATATGAAAGGGTGTGGGATCAGCAACTTTTAGGAGAGAAAGAGAACATAGTTAATACATTGTACCCATGGGGTAAAATTCTATACAATGATACTAAAAAAAAAAAAAAAAAAAAAAAAAAACTTAGTGCCCTCTGCCTAAAGTAAGTCTGTATCTGGTTACAGTATTGTGCCAATGTCAATCTCCTGGTTTGATCATGTTCTAGTATTTTTGTAAGATGGCACCATTGGGGGAAGGAGGATGAAGGGTGCACACACTGGATCTTGGCATAACCATTTTTTCTTTTTGCAATTTGTCGTTTATTTTAAAATCAGTTCAAAATCCATCCAGTTGCCTTAAAGCTCAATTCAGAAAAACTGCAGAAAACCTGAAAAAGATCCCCAAGAGTCCCAGCCAGGGAAACACAAAGTTCCCTTTGGCTGGAAAACTCTCACTTTCTCCAAGGTTTCTGCACTCCCTGCATCTCCTAGCTCCTCCCTCTCCTCCCTAGGGAGGCGTTATGGACCCCGCAGACGCCAGGAGCCCCAGTGCATCGGTTCTTCTTCGGGGAGGCCACGTCCCCTCCCCATACCCTTGAAGGCGATGCCCGCGTTGTTGACCAGCACGTCCAGGCCCCCGTACTCCTTGCGCAGGAAGTCGCGCAGGGCGCGGATGCTCTGCAGATCGTCGATGTCCAGCTGGTGGAAGCGCGGGCTCAGGCCCTCCGCCTGCAGCTGCTGTACGGCCGCCTGGCCCCGCGTCACGTCCCGCGCCGTGAGCACCACGTCCCCCGAGAACAGCCGGCACAGGTCGCGCACGATGGCCAAGCCGATGCCCTTGTTGCCTCCAGTCACCAGCGCTACATGGATGCCGGACGACATGGCTGAACGGGGCGCGCGGAACACCTGCGTGGAGAACAGACCTGGCTCAGGCCCGGGAGCCCCGCAGCGTGTTCCAGAGACTGCTCGAGTCTGGCGGTCGTGGGCGCGCACCCGTGGGTTACACGCCCGGCCGCTGAGCGCGCAGGCGCAGGCCCCGCCCTAGCGGGGCGGGGCTGAACCATCCCTACCCCTCCCCACCGGAACCTCGCCGGGGTGCGGAGCAGGCGGAGAGCCAGCTAGCCTGACTTTGCAGAACCCGCAGGCCGAAGACCGAGGCTGGTCTCTAGCTACTGGCTGTTGGCTGCCCACGTGGCAGTGAAGAACCATTCCTAGTGGCCATGTGCCTAGATCTGAACTCACTGCTTGCCCTTGGTTCTCTGAGGGGTTTTCTTCATATTCTCCCAGCTGTTCAATCATTCCTAGTTGTGTTTGAAGAAATAGTACATTTGCATGGTTTTTTTTTCTTTTTTTCCTGGTGTTCTAAAAAAAAAAATACTGCAGGAACTGCAGTCTTTGGAGCTAGAGTTGCAGAAGAAACTGGAAGGAAATAACAGGGCATCAAGTTTTTGTTGATTTTCCCCCTAAGTATATGAAAACAAAGCTACTGACTTAGCCAGATTTTCCAATAATGGTGGGAAACATTCACTAAATCTTTATAAGGTTACTTCTCTGGGCATTTGCAGGGCCATCAGTTTATCTGTGCATAGGTGTAGGGGGTTTCACAGCCCTATTTTACACGGACAATAACACTCTAGGATGTACCTTTTAATCCCCATCTTAAAATGAAGAAACAGGGATCCATCCTCAGAATTTATAACTTAGTTCAGTGGTGGGAAATTGTTAGAGAAATGCCAGGAGTTTGGTCTAGGTCTGGTGGTTCACAGCACAGAAAGCCAGTCACTGAGACCCCATTATTGTCAGGGAAGAAGGCATTATTTGGGTGCTACAGCCTAGGGGGGAGAGATCAGTCTCAAATCCATCTTCTCAACTGATTAAAATTAGGATATAGCAGGGAAGAAATGTAACTGCATGTGGGAAAATAGCAGGAGTTAGGGAGAGATGAAGAGGAGTGGGTCAACAGGCATCAGGCAATTGTTGCAGGTGAGGGGTCTGGTGTCTGATTTTCCAGATGTGGTGATCCGATAAGTTTCAGTTCCTTGGTGCTATCTGGGAGGACTGATGGCTAGTTCCCTGAGAAAGGAACTCAGATAAGACAAATGTAAATTTCTCAAGTTTTTAGACTGGGAGGGTCAATTTGTTTATTCAAAAGAGACCAGGCCTGGCGCGGTGGCTCACGCCTGTAATCTCAGCACTTTGGGAGGCTGAGGTGGGTGGATCATGAGGTCAGGAGTTCAAGACCAGCCTGGCCAAGATGGTGAAACCCCATCTCTACTAAAAAAAAAAAAAAAAAAAAAAAATACAAAAATTAGCTGGGTGTGGTGGCAGGCGCCTGTAATCCCAGCTACTTGGGAGGCTGAAGCAGAGAATTGCTTGCTTGAACCCCAGAGGCGGAGGTTGCAGCGAGCCGAGATCATGCCACTGCACTCCAGCCTGGGCAACAGAGTGACTCCCTCTCAAAAAAAAAAAAAAGGAAAAAAAAAGAGACCATAAACATCTGTCCTATGGGACAATTGCATGGTTTCAAAGTGAGTGTTCCTCCTTCCTACTTACAAGGGAATTGGGAATAAGGTCAAGTTTCATTTCTGTGCTGTCCCATAGGTTGCCACTATCACAGGTGGCCATTTAAACATAAATTCAAATTAAGCAAAATTTGTAATTCAGTTTTTTAGTTGCACTAGCCACATCTCCAGTGCTCAATATGTGCATGTGTTAGTGGTCACTGTATTGGGCAGTACAGATTTAGGATATTTCCATCCTTGCAGAAAGGTCTGTTGAACACCACTGCTTTAAATAGATTGCAATTACATTGCAATTTCAAGGTAGGTTTCCAATCAGTTGCTTTAAAACAAGTTAATAATCAAGGAAAGACCCTTGCTTTTTTTCAACTGAAATTTTTGTCGAGCTAATTATAGAGTCACATGCAGTTGTAAGAAATAATACAGAGATTCCTTACCCTTTACTCAGTTTCACTCAATAGTAACATATTGCAAAAGTATAGTACAACATCACAGTGAAGATATTGACAACAAAACAGTCCACCAATCATACTCAGATTTCCCCAGTTTGATGTGTACTTTGTGTATGTATTTAGTCCTATATAATTTTATCAAATGTTGGTTTGTGTATCCACCACTATAGTTAAATGAAAATGTTTCTATTAGCACAAAGAGCCCTCCTGTTGCACTTTTATCACCAAACATACCTCTCTGTTACTCCCCAAACCAACTCTAATTCATGGCAACCACTAATCTGTTCACCATTTCTACAAGTTTGTTGTTTCAAAAATGTTACATAGATGGAGTCATACAGTTTGTAGTATTTTGTTTTTGGTTTTTTTTTTTCCACTCAGGATAATTCAGAGCTCTGTTTTGGATTTTCTTTCCTATCCCAGTGTGTGCGTGTTGGGTCTGTCATTGGCTGGGTTCTCTCCACTGCACTAGCTACTGTCTTCTGTAGCTGGTGTGAGTTAGTGTTAGAGTGGATGGATTAAATTTATTAAGAGGGCCAGTCAGCAATAGCACATGGTGTACAGGGAACTTTGGACAGGGTGAGGGTCCTGCTGTTTCAAAAGGCAAATCCTATGAGGACTATGAATCATGAGTTTGAGTCTGATTTATTTTTTTAGGACTGGAACCAACATAAGAATTGACAGGTACATTAGGCAGGATGCTCCGGAAAATATATAAAATATATATTAACAAGAATTTACTGTATGATAAAGGTGGTTTAACAACTAGTGAGGGAAAGAATTATTCCAAAATTAGCACTGGGGAAAGGGCATAATGATTGGAAAGAAAAAAGATCCCTTACAACATACACTAAATAATTTCCGAAGAGAGAGAAACAGTGATTTATAAATGAATCCATAAAACAACTAAAAGAAAACAAAAGTAAAAGTTTTATTTTCAGTAGGGGAAAATGCTTTCTTTTATAAGCATAAAAATAGGGGAAGAATCATAAATGTCTGATGGGTTTGACTATGGGAAACTTTTTGAAAATTTGTTTTTGAAAAGCATAATTTAAAGCCTGTGAATTAAGCTCTACTTGGATGGTTTTGTATTGTTGTCTCTCTTACATCTGGGTCTTGATTCTGGTGGTATGTGTGAAGAGCCTCCAATATGTAGCACCTTGTCTGGATTCTGAACAATTTAAGAAATAAAACAGAAATTTAAAGATGGAGTTTCCAGATCTCTGCTATTACTGCTATTGGCTAAATTGGAAGACATGCCTTAGTTGTGAGAATCAAAGGTCTGAGACTATATTGGATGCTATATAGATAAAGAATTTTATCACATCAATTAACCTGTGGAATGAATTCATATCTTTACTACCCACTGTTTTTTTTTTAATGGAACGCTTCATGAATTTGCATGTCATCCTTGCCCAGGCACCATGCTAAATCTTGTCTGTATCATTCCGGTTTTAGTATATGTGCTGCCCAAACGAGCACTACTACCCACTAGTTTAAAGCAACTAAAGAACATAGTTCCCACAAAAAAGAATGGAATCATTTCCTTTGCAGCAACATGGATGCAGCTGGAGGCTATTGTGCAAACGCAGAAACAGAAAACCAAATAACGCATGTTCTCCCTTATAAGTGGGAGCTAAACATTTGAGTACACAGGGACACAAAAGATGGTAACAATAACACCGGGGATTCCAAAAGGGGGAGGGAGGGGGTAAGGGTTGAAAAACGAACTATTGGGTACTATGTTTTCTACTTGGGAGCATTAGATGCCCAAACCTCAGCATCAGGCAATACACTGATGTAACAAACCTGCACATGTACCCCCGAATCTAAAAACAAAAACAAAAACAAAAAAGCCCAAAACACAGTTCCATGGTATATATTAAAAGAAAAGATGTTGGAAAATAATATTGTTAAATTATGAACTGTGAGGTTCTCCAGGTCGTTCCTTTGATTAGTTACCCTCACGGATCTGCTTGACACTGGCTGTGTTCCTCTTGCATTTTATGCTTGTTTAGGATATTCAATAAGCCTTTCTACAGCGGTAGACCATGGACTTTGAGACCTGGAATCAATCTGTGGCTTAGGTGCTTAGTAGTTATTTAACTCAAGCAATTTACTGAATTCTGTGAAAGATAAAGCCAGACACTAAGGTGGTAAGGACAGATTTTAGTCAATAATGAACTCCTGTAATAGGAAAGAGGGTCCAGTGGAAACAAACTTTCATTTGTACAGAGATGACTGTGCCTTTTAAAGGGAGAGTGAAGGATCAGGAAGTGGGAGGAGTTAGGGAAATGACAAATTGCCAAGGGTTGCTCAGTGGAAATGTTGGTTAGGCCAGCTGTGTCTGTTAGCTGGCAATTAGCAAAGTTGGGATTCTATTCTCCCACTATAAAGACTGAAAGACAGAGGCCGTATCATTTCTGATGATTACATTTCAGAGGAATGGCTTTCAGGTCCTTGAGAAAGACATTCTTTCTTTTTTTTTTTTTTTTGACACGGAGTTTCTCTCTTATCTCTCAGGCTGGAGTACAGTGGTGCGATCTCGGCTCACTGCAATCTCTGCCTCCCAGTTTCAAGAGATTCTCCTGCCTCAGCCTCTCGAGTAGCTGGGACTACAAGCGTGTGCTACCACGCACAGCTAACTTTTTGTATTTTTAGTCGACAAAGGGTTTCGCCATGTTGGCCAGGCTGGTCTCGAACTCCTGACCTCAGGTGATCCGCCTGCCTTCACCTCCCAAAGTGCTGGGATTACAGGCGTGAGCCACCACACCTGGCCAAGAAACACTCCTGGGTGGGAGATACATCTCAAAGGGACCGAGAGAATTCACAGCTCTAAGCCGTTTTTAGTAAATGCTTTAAGAAAGGGCAGTCAGGGGCCTATTGTCAGAAGTTGGTTATTACAAACACATTTTTTCTTTTTTTTGGCAGCTTAAACATTCTCAGGAAGGGGCTAGAGTCATCCTAGGGGTGATAGGGTCATCCTAGCCATGCAGCCTTGAGCTGTGTTAAAAAAAAAAAAAAAGAAAAAACCAAAAACAACTCACAATGTATAAATTTAGAAAAGGAGGCCGGACGCGGTGGCTCACGCTTGTAATCCCGGCACTTTGGGAGGCCGAGGCAGGCGGATCACGAGGTCAGGAGATCGAGACCACGGTGAAACCCCGTCTCTACTAAAAATACAAAAAATTAGCCGGGCGTGGTAGTGGGCGCCTGTAGTCCCAGCTACTCGGGAGGCTGAGGCAGGAGAATGGCGTGAACTCGGGAGGCGGAGCTTGCAGTGAGCCGAGATCGCACCACTGCACTCCAGCCTGGGGGACAGAGCAAGATTCCGTCTCTGAAAAAAAAAAAAAAGAAAAGGAGATGGGGACTTTATTTCTTCTAAACGGGTACAACCTGCAAGGTAGCCATCCTGGAGGCTGGGGAGCTGACTCCAGCAGAAACAGAGACGGGCACTTTGAAGGGGGAGGCTTTGAGGCAGGAGCTTTAGACTGAACAGGTTGGCTAAACTTACACATTCAACAGTTTACAGGAGGAGCTGTGAATATTCATGAAGGTGGTCCTGATACATGCATATTGAAGAAACATGCATGTAACATACGACTCATGTATATTCACTTTGGGATGGTGACTTGACATTTAAATGTATTACCATTAGGCCCTATCTGTCAAAAGGTCTTTCAGGACATCAAGGCACGCAAGTACACAGCCTCTGTAAACCAGAACCAGTCCATTCCATAGTCCATGATCTTCTTATCAGGAGAAAGTTGTTGAAATCAGTCTCTTGTCTAATCAAAGCTGTAGTTATGGCTTGTGTGTAAGAGTTAGAGAAAGAGGAAAGAAGCAAAAATGCGTTGGCAGTTAGAGACAGGTCTACTTTAGATGAAACCTGAGAGGCGCTCCTGGCCCATTTTGGTCAGGAGCTCTTTCTCTTACAGACTAAGAGTATGTATTGGTTTTAGGGTAAGGGGGCTTATCACAAGCTTGGAATATTTATGTGTGTGGAGAAGGTCATGGCAGGGTTGGAATCTCTCTGGGAGGAGCGGAGGTTATCTTGGGGCAGACATCTTTCTGGCCTGGAGGGGGGTTATCTTGGGGCCAGCATCTTCCTGGCCTGGAGGGGGCTTTATCTAGGGGCTAGCATGTCTCTGGTCGGGGAGGAGTTTGGAATCTTTCCGGTTGGAGATGTTATTTGTGGTGTGTGTAGGGATGTGGGATTGTTTGGCATCCATGTGGACTGGCGAGAAGAAGCAGAGGGTGTCTGTTTTTGTTCTAGGCATTCCCAGACAAAAGACAGAGACCCAGAATCCTCTTACTAAAGAGGATGGTCAAGTTGAGAAGAAACTGGGCGTCCCCAAGGTTTCCTCTAGCTTAGTTCTGCTGGTCCTCTGAGGACCGGACGGCCAACCTGACTTTTCCCGGGTACCGCGAGAAAGCCAGGGGAGGGCAGATCTTACCAGTTGGCTGGATTAGTGTCCGATGTTGGATGTTCCAGTTGGAATTGGCAAAGGGCCTCTTGGACTGCAGCCGCATGAGGAAGAGAGAGAAAGAAAGAGAGAGAGAGAAGGAAAGAGAGAGAGGGAAAAGAGAGGATGAGGGAAAAGTGAAGTGAGAGAAAAGATGGAGCGGGTGGCCCGAGACCCTCAGGATCCAGAAATTAGCTCAGGACCAGCTGTGGTTGCCCACTGCTTCCTGGGTTGCAAGAGAGCCTCTGCCCCCAGCACCCGGCCTGGGTTTCCGCACCAAATATAAGAGTTCAAGAAAGACGTAAGAACACTAAACGCGGCTGGCAGTTAGAGACAGGTTTACCTTATATGAAACCTGACAGGTGCTCCTGGCCTGTTTCCGTCAGGAACTCTTTCTCTTAGAGACTAAGAGTATGTATTGGTTTTAGGGTGAGGGGGCTTACCACAAGCTTGGAATGTTTATGTGTGTGGAGAAGTTCATGGCAGGGTTGGAATCTCTCTGGGAAGAGGGGAGGTTATTTTGGGGTGGACATCTTTCCAGCCCTGAGGGGTGTTATCTCGGGGCTATCATCTTCCCCACTTCCCAGATGGAACGGGGTTTATCTTGGGGCTACCATGTCTCTGGTCAGGGGGGAATTTAGAATGTTTCTGGTTGAAGATATTATTTGTGATTTATGGTCATGGTGACCTTAGCCATTAGGCTGATGCCCTTTGGATTTAGGCGGTTTTTGTTTTGTTTTGTTTTGTTTTAGCCAGAGTCTTGCTCTGTCGCCCAGGATGGAGTGCAGTAGCGCTACCTCAGCTCACTGCAAGCTCCTCCTCCTGGGTTCATGCCATTCTCCTGCCTCAGCCTCTCAAGTAGCTGGGACTACAGGCGCTTACCACCATGCCCGGGTAATTTTTTGTATTTTTAGTAGAGATGGGGTTTCACCGAATTAGCCAGGATGGTCTCGATCTCCTGACCTCGTGATCTGCCCACCTCGGCCTCCCAAAGTGCTGGGATTACAGGCGTGAGCCACCGCACCTGGCCTAGGCGGTTTTTTATTAAGGTGCACTTTAGAATGAGGGGGTTGTCCAAGATGGTGATGCTCTGTCATTGTGGAACAGGGGGTTAGTTAACATCTGGTGGTGCACAAGCGGTAATTGTTTTAATATTGCTTAGGTGGAGGTGAGTGCTTGTTTAGCTGCTAGAGAAAAAGAAAAAACTTGTAACCATTAGAACAGAATTTATTCTTGAAGTGACTTAACTCTTTCCTGGAATGGCCTTAGGTCTTGTTTATAATTTTTGTATCTTATTGCCACAAAAAGTCTGTTCCATCAGTCTCATGGTCTCTATTTTAACATCAATGCTGGCCAGTTGTATCTAAACTGTAAAAGAGAGAGGGTATAATGAGGCATGTCTGACCTCACATTCCATCAGGGCTGGGAACTAAGTTTCTAAGTTTTTTTCTGGGGCCATCTTGGCCAAAAGGGGTTCCATTCAGTCAGTAGGGGCTTAGGATTTGTTTAGTTTACAGCTGTTAGAAACTATGTTAGTGTTTAAATCTTTTAGTGTTGGGGGGCAGGGGTGAATAAAATCATTTGTGTTTAGAATCTGTAGTTTAAATAGGATTTGTGCTCCGTATGCTGAGCGCCGGTCCACTGGGCCCACTTTTCTTTCTCTATACTTTGCCTCTGTGTCTCTTTTTTTTCTCAGTCTCTCATCCCACCCGATGAGAAACACCCACAGGTGTGGAGCGGCAGGCCACCCCTTCACTATTTACATAGTATTTACATTGTATTAGATGTTATAAGTAATCTAGAGATGATTTAAAGTATATGGGAGGATGTGCATAGGTTATATGCAAATATTACACCATTGTGAAAGTTGCAGAATCAAAATGGAGTCACTTGTGTCAAAACCCTGATAAATGCAGCTGGGGAAGGCCTTGAAGGAAGGGTTCTCATGCACTACGCCTCATAACAAGAATTGTCACAAAAGACCCTAACCTTGCAGAAAGGCCCAATCTTAAACACAGAAAATCCTTCTGCAAGGACATCTGTCCAGCAACTTTGGACTGATGCTACCTTTGTTATTCATTCTTTTAGCCAAAGATAATTGATTTAAAGCAATTCATATAATCTTCATTTTCCTTTTAAAAACATCTCCTTGCCTCAACCTCCCCCAAAACGCACACAGTTTACTATGGCATGCATATTCCCATTGCAATGCTACTCCCAGATAAATCTCATTTTCTTTTAGGGAGCCTCTTTTGTTACTTAGGTTTACACCATTGTATACAAGGGACTTGAGCATTCTAATTCTGGTATCCGCAGGGTCCTGGAACCATTCCCCCACGGACACTAAGGGACAACTGTACTTGTTTTTCATGACAGAAAACATGTTTAGGAGTACTAATTTTTTTTCCCCCATAGAAGATTTCCATAGAAGGGTTTTGGAGAGAGACACCACAGGAACATGCTATCAGCATGATTTCTTCCTGATGTTATCCTTGACCACCCGGTAAGGTACTGTTTGCCAGGTTTCTCCACTGTAGTCCCCAACACCATTCCAGGCTGTACTCTTTGGAATCAAGTTACTAGGCATAGCCCATAATCAAAGTGGGGGTGGGTGGGGCAGAAATCGAGCTCCCGCTATTGGAAGAAGGGGTATTTAGATATATTATTTAGAATTTTCCTGTGAGGCGGGTCCTGGGGCCAGAATGAAACGGTGGAATGGGGGCGGGGATTGGCGAGCAAAGTGACTCGACCCGGCAAACCCAGCCTGGCAGGAAAGCCCGAGGTCTGGGCGAACAGGGCCGCGCGCCCTAGGTGGTTTAACTTCGTAAGGAAAGACTCCGCAGGCCGGCTTTTCAGTGCGCAGCTTGCTCGCCTGCGGGTTACTGGGTTTTCTGACCCCTGACTCGACGTAGGGGTTATGGGGCTGTGGGTGTGCCGACCTCGTCCCCGACTGTACTGGGCGTTGGCGGCGAGTCCGCGAACACTGCGCATGCGCGAGCCGGAAGCTGCCGCCCGCGGCGGAAGGGGCGGACCCGGGAGACTGAGGACTTGGATTGCTTAAGGACACCAGGCAGGCGCGACAGCCTTCAGCCTCTCCCTCTGCAGTTTTGGCCGGTTCCTTTAACTTGCCTTCATCTGGGGCTGTTTGGTATTTCCACGTGCCTTGGGCCCGCCCACTGCAGCCTCCATCTTGGAAGCGGCCGCCGGCGCCTAGGTGAGCTAGTAGGACTTCCGGGTCGGGCCTCCAGTTGCCCGGGTAACGGGAGCAGAGTCGGCGGGGTGCGTTCCTTAGTCTTTCATTCATCAGCGTAAAAAGAACTGAGTTTAGGTCGCAGGTCCCCTCCAGGGCAGGCATTATCGTGTGCGCTGCAGTAACCTCTCATCTTGTGGAGTCCTACACTTAGCGCATGTTGCTCCGGCGCGCTGCGTAAAGCTGAGGAGCCTGAGGCCCGAGGTCCGATGCTCGCCTGGCTGGCCTATGGCTGCGGGAGCGGTGTGTGTCGGACCGTAGGACGGCCTCACGGCTAGAGTTTGAGGACTATGGGGGCGGGGACGGTGCCTGTGTCTGTGGCGGTCACCGGGCTTCACGTGGTCCTCAGCAGGGTGATGGTGGACAGCTCGCGCGAGGGCCCGGGAGTCTTGGGGACACTTCCCGGCGCGGTCTGTGGACTGAGCGCTGGGACCCGCACCGAACCAGCCGCCGTTCGCCTCTGGAGCTGGACATGCCGACTTTCGTTAGGTCAAATAATGAACCTTATACTGCGGAAGTGCGGTATTAATATTGCCTGGAGTTCTTGTCTCTTGCTCATTTCTGCCCTCGTATGTTTTAGAAGTAGATTTATTTTTTATTTTTATTTTTTTAATTTATTTTTTGTGACAGAGTCTCGCTCTGTCGCCCAGGTTGGAGTGCAGTGGCGTGATCTCGTCTAGCTGCAGCTTCCGCCTCCTGAGATCAAGCGATTCTCCTGCCTCAGCCTCCCCAGTAGCTGGTATTACAGGTGCCTGCCACCACGCCCGGCTGATTTTTGTATTTTTAGTAGAGACGGGGTTTCACCATGTTGGCCAGGCTGGTCTTGAACTCCTGACCTCAGCCCGCCTCGGGCTCCCAAAGTGCTGGTTTTACAGGCGTGAGCCACTGTACCCAGCCATTATTTTATTTTTATTTATGTATTTATTTTTTTATTTTTTTGAGACGGAGCCTCGCTCTGTCGCCCAGGCTGGAGTGCAGTAGCGCGATCTCGGCTCACTGCAACCTCCGCCTCCCAGGTTCAAGCGATTCTCCTGCCTCAGCCTCCCAAGTAGCTGGGATTACAGGCGTGTGCCACCACGCCTAGCTATTTTTTGTATTTTTAGTAGATTAAGCTGTAGTCACTAGGTCTGCAAGATAAAACTGTTTTAGAGGGACTGATATAATGGGAATTCTGTTACTGTAGGGATCATGATTTAGCTCACAGTATAAACGTTTCATGTACAAAAGCACTTGAGAGAAACAGTTTACCAAAACATACATTTGTATACTTAAAGGTACAAAGAACAGTGATTATCATATAACTGGAAAGTAAATCAAAGAAATGTTTTTTATTTTAGATTGAGCATTTCCACAGAAATTACAGTTTTGTCCTTTTTGAAAAAATAGAACTGTATTTCAGAAAAAAGAAACTACAGTTTTAGCATGCAGAAAGGAAAAGGGAGAACAAGCCGGATCAGAAGACGAAAACTCTGCGGAAGTTCTGAATCAAGAGGAGGTATGGTTTTTCTTTTAGTACCAGTAATGAAAAAAGAAATCCTTTTGTGATTGCTTGTTTGTTCATACGTAGCTTTTCTTTCTTTCTTTCTTTTTTCTGAGACGGATTCTCGCTCTGTCACCCAGGCTGGAGTGCAGTGGTGTCATCTTGGCTCACTGCAACCTCTGCTTCCCCGGTTCAAGCGATTCTCCTGCCTCAGCCTCCCAAGTAGCTGGGACTACAGGCGTGAGCCAGCATGCTCGGCCTAACACATAGCTTTTCTCAAAGGCACACAGTGTTCAAAGAGAATCTTTCTTTTTTTTTTTTTTTTGGAGACAAGGTACATTCTGTTACCCAGATTGGAATGCAGTGGCGTGATCATGGCTTGATCTCCCAGGCTCAAGTGATCTCCTCCCTTAGCCTCCCTCCTGCCTCAGCCTCCCAAGTACCTGGGACTACAGGTACATGCCACTGCACCCGGCTAATGTTTTTTTAAATTTGTTGTAGTGACAGGGTCTATGTTGCACAGGCTGGTCTTGAACTCCTGGGCTCGAGTGGTCCTCCTGCCTTGGCCTCCCCAAAGCACTGGGATTACAGGTGTGAGCCACTGTGCCCAGCCCAAAGAGAATATTTCTTAAATAACACTCTTTTTTAATGGTGCCATTGTATTCTTTTAGATCCTGGTGGGAATGTGAAGATAACTAACTCATTGTTTCAACTGTCTTCTCTGGGGATGACTCCCAACTTTCTTTTTCTGGTCTTGACCTTCAGCTATCTGTAGGATATCAATGTTTGGATGTAAATTTATGACTTCAAATTCAGGGTAACCCTGTCTGAAGAAGATACTGTATCTTGTTCAATACAAAAGTGCTTGGCCATCTGGAAAGTCCTATGTAAATCCAACTGGATATGGTACAAGATATCGATAAGCTCACTTTTTTTTTTGCTGATGGAGGTCCAGTTGTTTGATCATCATTTATTGAAAAGACTATCTTCTTCCACTGATTTGCCTTTGCACTTTGTCAAAAATTTACGTGTGGACCTCTTCCTATTTTCTGTGTTGTTCCTTTGACCTATTTGTGTCTGTTTTGACAATATCACACTAATTTGATTACTGTAGCTTTATAATAAGTTTTAAAATCAATCTTTCAAAGATATTGGGGCTATTCTAGGCTTTTTACATTTCCACATGAATTTTGGGATCATCTTGTTAATTCCTGTATGAAAGCCTGCTTGAATTTTGATTAGGATTACATTGAATGAATATAGTCGTATGTTGCATAAGTATGTTTTGGTTGATGGATCACATGTACAGTGGTGGTCCTCAGATTATAATATTGTATTTTTTTTTTTTTTAAGAGATGGGGTCTTTCTGTGTTGGGCAGGCTGGGCTCAAACTCCTGGCCTCAAGCAGTCCTCCCGCCTTGGCCTCCCAAATGCTGGGAATACAGAAGTGAGTCATTGCGCCTGGCCAATACTGTGTTTTTATTGTAACTTTTCTATGTTTAGATACACCAATTCTTACTATTGTGTAAGTCTGTCTGACACATTTCATCAGACATGTTCTTTTAAAAATGGTAATCCGATTATATAGTGGTTTTAATCACCATTTGTTCTCTCCTTGCCTGATAGTGAATGAGAGCCACAAGTCTGAATTTATAGAGCTGAGGAAGTGGCTGAAAGCTAGGAAGTTTCAAGATTCAAACTTAGCGCCTGCTTGTTTTCCAGGTAAGATCTAGCCTTCAGCTGTCCTGCCCTTTCCCACACGAGAGCCAGGTAGACAGCAGGGGCCACTCTTGCAGGTGGGCCTCAGCAGATATTGTCCTTCAGCTGGTTTGCATGTGTTCCCCTTGGGTTGGAGGAGGAGTCCCCTGTGTATGGCCAGTTAATTGCAGAGCAGTGGGCTTCAGCACTGAACTGAGGTAGACTGACATTCTTCTCTGGAACTTGTGCTTATTAGGGAGGTTAGGTTAACATTTTGCCAGGCGTGGTGGCTCACATCTGTAATCCCAGCACTTTGGGAGGCTGAGGCAGGCAGATCACTTGAGCTCATGAGTTTGAGACCAGCCTGGCCAACATGACAACATCCTGTCTCTACTAAAAGTACAAAAGTTAGCCAGGCGCGGTGGTGTGCCCTGTAGTCCCAGCTACTCTAGAGGCTTAGGCAGGAGGATTGCTTGAGCCCGGGAGGCTGAGGCTGCAGAGAGCCATGATCATGCCCCTGCACTCCAGCTTGGGCGATAGAGTGAGACCTTGTCTCAAAAAACTAACAAAAAACAAAAACCACTTTCTTCTGGAACATTCTCTCACAGAAGTTGGGCAGCTTGCTATGGGTGTGTGCCTGCATACATGGCCACTCCACTCTTCCCACAGGTGGGCAAGAGATAACCACAGGGAGGACCAAGATGCTCTTTAAAAGGATTTGGAGTCTGCTGTAGCACAGAGATAGTGGTGGTGCAATTAGGGCCCCAAAATTCTACATCACAGGGCAGGCTGCATCTTACAGAAAAGTCAAAGCATATGCCACACAATGCTCCCCTTGGCCATTAGAATTATTATTCAAGTACCCATTAGGTAATTGAACTTTGAGCAAATTAACTTCCTCATATACCACACGCCAAGGCAAATGATTTCCCACTTGTGCCCCTTGCTGAGTGAGGTGATGTGTGTAAAGTTGTTCTCCATGAGTCAGTTACACATCATGACTTTGAACTAAAATGCTTGATTTGAGCCATTTTCTATTAAGGCCCCTTCTAGTTGATGGTCATGAACCATATTGTCAGCCTCTAAAATAATGCTTGACTTTCTGTTTTTGTGTGTCAAAGATGGTCAGTAAAAGCCACACCCTTAGATGTACAGAACAGAGTTTTTCCCCAGATGATCAAGAGAGTCAGTAGTGTCAGCAGTAAACTTGCCGTGTCTAAGGCCTGCCCACATCTCTGGTGTCATTTGCCCTAGGAAGGATGGGTTTAAAATCATCAAGCAGGAATCAGCAGATGGTTTAGATGGAATACCTGAGAATAGGTCATCTGTTTGTAATTTGGAGCAGTAAAGAGTTCCTATTTTTAAAAGTGAGCACAACTTGCCCTGGCCCCAGCCCCAGATTTCGGGTGATGCAGGTGGCTTGGCAGTGACCCGTGCCCAGTGCTTACAGTTCTGGGGAACCTTCTGTAAGTGCTTCATGTAGTTTTTAGCTCTTAATCAGTGTATGATAGGAGGTAACATTTCTGGGCTTCAGTCAAAATGTATGAACTCTGGGGAATTCATCTTAGTTTGTGGAGGGGCACAGGAAATCTCCTAAGCAGGATTCCATCTTTAGACTCTCTCTTCTTTTCTGCCTTGGGAACTGACCGCAGCATTTCCTTTCACCACCAAAAGCACTAGCCAGGTCAGGGCCTCCCATGTAGATTGATGATAGTGGAAATTTTGAGGCTTTGAGACATTTGTGATAAGCTTTACTCTCATGAGCTCCTAATGGCCACTTCTACTTTGCCTAGTATATCCAATATGAAAATGAAAGTAAGTGTAGATTACTATATGTTTTTTGATATTAAACACTATCTACCATATAAATATAGGTAAAGGATCTTCTAGATGTATTCCATAGGCCAGCTTTTGTTCATATATATGTTTGGAGAGAATTTCCACTTAGATTAGCACGTAAGTTTTTGGAAGGATAACCAGGTAGAAGAAAATCTTCCCATTAGTCATTGATTCTAGGAGGAGTTCTGGAGCACAGGGATGATTAACTCCACAATGGGGTACACAAAATCAATGAAATAAGTTAACACTAGAACCAGCTGTATAAGCAGACAGTGTCCTCCTGGGAGGGGAGATGAATTGGGACTCATCAAATCCAACTTGCTGGGAAACTGATGGAGGACTTGAGGCAGGAATTCCCACCATGAGCCAGGAGCATCAAATCCAACCTGCCAGGAAGCTGATGGAAGACTTGAGGCAGGAATTCCCACCATGAGCCAGGAGCATCAAATCCAACCTGCCAGGAAGCTGATGGAAGACTTGAGGCAGGAATTCCCACCATGAGCCAGGAGCATCAAATCCAACCTGCCAGGAAGCTGATGGAAGACTTGAGGCAGGAATTCCCACCATGAGCCGGGAGCATCAAATCCAACCTGCCAGGAAACCGATGGAGGACTTGAGGCAGGAATTCCCACCATGAGCCAGGAGCATCAAATCCAACCTGCCAGGAAACCGATGGAGGACTTGAGGCAGGAATTCCCACCATGAGCCGGGAGCATCAAATCCAAGTTGCGGGAAACTGATGGAGGACTTGAGGCAGTGAGCCACCGTGAGCTGGGAGCTCCCAGTAGTCCTGCACTGACTTGGCTGAATTATTTTCCCTCCCAGCTAAGAGAGGAAAGGTGAAGAACGATGAATTGGAGACGTTAATGCTCTAGGCCTCTTATGACCATGTAATACCTATGCCTGCCAGAAAAGCTGTCATCTGAGCATCCTTTCAATGTTTGTCTGACTGTTCCAGGAGCAGAAGCTTAGGCATGAAGGGAGAAACTTCTGGAAGTTGGTATTAATTTTTAAATAAAGGAATTTATTGAATTAATTGGTATTAATGCAGCTGCTGAGGTTACTATGGTGACTGTGCTCCAGCCGGAGCCTTGGCTCACAGGGAACAGCTGGAGCTGACCTACCCAGCTGAGCTCACCAGGTCATGGAGAGCCCATCTCATGGGTTACCTGATCAGAGAGGGGAGGATGTCTGCAGGCTTTGTGGGGACTTGAGTGGGGTTTATTGGCCAGTCGGCCAATCAAAGGGGTCTCAAGGTCTTCACTTGGGAGAGCTGAGTCTGGTAATGGGGATAAGTGGCCTGGGGCTCTAGCCTCAGAGGTTGGCTGGGCATTGGGAATAGCACCTTGTTAGCTGGTAGGCCCCAGTGGAGAGAGTCCAGCCCAAAGCGTCCTGCAGGAGGCCCAGCAGTAGGTCTGTATAAAGTCCACGGTGCTCTTTAGGTCTCACCTCTGAAGCTGACTGCCCTTCAAGGATTATAACTCACTGGAGGTCAAGACATTTTCTGGAATAGCTTTCTGACTCCCTGTTTCCCCTGGGAATCAAAGGCTGAGAGACATCCAGCTTCAGCCTTGTGTAATTTTGAAGTTCACATTTTTTTTTTCCATAATAGTTATCTCTGGGACCTTGAAGTTATGGTAGGATTTACTCTCTTTCTGTCTTTGCTTTCCTAGGTACAGGAAGAGGGCTGATGAGTCAAACATCCCTGCAGGTGAGAACTGTTCTTTGATCCTTGAAACCCAATGTAGATTTTGCTGCTTTGTTTTTGCGGTTCAAACGAAGTGAATTAAAAAAATTTCAGACATACAGTCATTTCTTACTTACCTAATAGATATATTTGAATATGGTTCTATCAACTAGGATTAAGTTTGTTGCAATAAAAGACAAGCCCAAAATTGAGGTGCTTAAGCAGCATGGAAATTTATTTTGTTCTCACTCATAGAAACAAGCTTGGAGTAGGCTGACCCTGGCTGGTGGGGCAGTCCCATGGCTGGCAGAGGCCCCAACTCCTTCCAGCTCTCTCATGTCCTTAAGGGAACTGCACCCTCAGGTCAGGTTGTGGGTCTTGGAACTTGGGCATCAGGAGAGAGCAAGCGGGTGAGGAAGGGCAGGCTTCCTTCCTTTAAGGAAATTCCAGTCCCTCTGTCCTTGGCCAGTGATCAGGTACACAGCCCTAGCCAGCTGCAAGGGAGGAGATCCGTGCTGGCCTTTCCCCAGCCACGTGCCCTCTAAGTAGGATTCCGTTAGCGAGGAGGGGGAGAGAAGGCGTGTTGGGATAGGCAACTAGCAATCTCTGCCACAGCACATGTTACATGTCAGATCACGTTTTCAGTATGCCAAGGGAGCTGCTGCTGTCTGTGAGGCAGTCGTGATGTGGCAGGTAGAAACCAGAGCTAGGGGAGGATGAGGCCTCAGACTTGGGCCAGAGTTGCCTTCAGCTGCCTGAGGCCCCAGCATGAGACCCCTCATACTCTTGGCTCCTGTTTCCTCACCTACAAAATGAGGAAGTAAATGACAGCCTCCAAGGTTTCTTTTCATTCTTCCAATGCTATTTTAAAGATCTCTAGCGCACGATTTTCTGTGAAGCCAGAAATTAATTTCTTCCTTTATTTAAAAATTATCTTATTTTAAATTCTCTATTTAAAACTTGCACTCAGATGTGTACATATGTTTAGGCTAAGGAATGGTATCTTTTTTTTTTCAGTAGATAAAACGTCCTTTTTTTTTTTTTTTTTTGAGACAGAGTCTTGCTCTGTTGCCCAGGCTGGAGTGCAGTGGCGCGATCTCGGCTCCTTGCAACCTCCGTCTCCTGGGTTCAAGCAATTCTTTTGCCTCAGCCTCCTGAAGTAGCTGAAATTACAGGCATGTGCCACCATGCCCAGCTAATTTTTTTTTTTTTTTTTTTTTTTAGTAGAGACAGGGTTTCACCATCTTGGCTAGGCTGGTCTTGAACTTCTGACCTCAGGTGATCTGCCCGCCTTGGCCTCCCAAAGTGTTGGGATTACAAGCATGAGGCACTATGCCTGGCCCAAAAGTAATTTTACTTTTTAAAAATGTTGTGTTAAAAAGAGAAGTTTTTAAAATATTAAAGGAAAGTATAGTTTCTTTAAAATGCAAGCATAGTCAGCAAGGGAATTCAGGTTATCTTTCCTAAACAGGTGAAAATCACAAACACAAGAAGTCCAATATATAAAGAATGGTATGTTTTAATGTTGTAATTCTATTACGCCGTGTTAATGTTTTCATCATTTAAAAATTTTTAATTGTAAAATATATGTAACATAAAACTTTTTTTTTTGTCATTAAGAAGCCTTTATTGGGTTATATTCACTTTGACCCTCCCACCAAATTAAGAGGGAAAAAACGAAAAACAAAAATAAGAAATCCCAGTAAAAGAGCCCCTCAAGATTTCATAAACTACAAACTAAAGCTGCTAGTTAATAAGGAAATGGCAGAATTTTCAGAGCTGTATAATACAAAAATTCCTGTAATTTAAGCAGATGTTTTCCTCACTGATGACAAATCTTCCAACACAATGTGAAGTTATGCTACTTGGATATTTGTAGCAAAACCATTTTTTTTGTACAAAAACAAAAGCAAGGGACCATGAAAAAAAAAGTATTTGTTCCTCATGGTCTATGAGCATACAAATTTTTTAGCAATTTAAAAGGGTAACTGACAGCCTGACATTTTTCTATACCCCACCTATTCTGCCTCTCTGTAGGATTTGTAAATGAAAGTAACATCTTACTAGCGGGGGTCTCGTCTATCTCCCACTCTCTCCAACTAATCCTACTAATTTTCTCTCATCTTCCTGAGCATCCTCCATGAACAGCATTGCAAGTTGGTTTTAAAAATAGAAAAGAAAAAAGAAAGAAAGTTTTACAAGGGTTTTGTTGGTTAATTACCAGTGGAGTCAGTCCACCAGTAGTTTGATTTCATTGGCTAGCAGCTGGTTCATGTTGAACAGTCACCCTGGGAGTTTGGTGAGCAGCTCTCGCTCCATGCTTTCAGGGTCACTGTCAACAGAGCTGGAACTTGCACTTATGTTGTCAACAGCAGTGCTGGCTGGGGGACCCAGCTCCAGCTCACTAGTCTCACTGGCAGTGGACACCACAGAGAGCAGGGACATACGCTGGGTGAGCTGGCCAGAGGGTAGAAGGGAGGCAGTATAGTCTGCTCTGATACCAGCTACATCTAGATTACAAGCCTTATGAAAGACGATGAAACCTACATTTGCATTGGCCTCACAGACACAGAAGGAGCTGCCATCTTTCATCAACAGGTCAACGCCACACACATCCATCCCCAGGATATTAGACACCTGGATAGCTAGCTGCTTCCCTTGTTCACTCAATGAACACATCATCCCCACACCACCTAATGAGCAGTTGCTTTGCATTCTCCCATCTGTTGAACAATGTAACATGGTGCCAACCACATGGCCTCCCACGACAATGACACGTACATCCCGTCCATGTGACTCTTTAACATACTTCTGGAACAAGTATGGCGCTTCATGGCAAATAAGATGGCTTAGATCAGCCAAATGGTGCTTATCTCGAGCCAAGAAAACAGCTTTACCTCTATGACCCCGCGTATTCTTTACTACCATTGGGAACTCCGGTACTTGAGCTTCATCAATCATTTTAGCAAAATTTTCATGGCCACCATAAGAGAAAGTATCCGGCAGAGGAACACCATGGCCAGCCAACTCTTGAAATGTCCAGAACTTATTAACGCAGTTCAGGATGGCTTGAAGTCGGTTCATTAACTGGCATCCCATCTTCTCTAGATGGCGCAAAACAGTGATGTCACTATCACTTTGCACCCAAGGGGTTGGTACTCTGACTACCACCACTTGTGGGTAGGCAGTGATTAGCTCTCCATTGATCCGCAGACCCAAGTTTCCTTTCTCCATTGTCAGCACCACCTCATCCATCACCACAGCCCTAAAGTCCAGTTCCTCCTCACAACATTTGGCCTTTAATGCTCGTAAAATCTCTGTTTGAGGATAGTCTTCCCTGATGGGACAATCTATCAAAAACCACAACTTGGCAGCCACGTAACTACAGATCTTGATCAGCTTGTGCTTCCTTGCCTGGATTGTTTCCTCTTGGATGTAACATCTACCAGTTGATTATGGAAGATGAACAGCCAGATATAGAGGTCTGCAAGAGTCCTGAGCACAGGGGCTTCTGTCCCCGAGTTAGAGTGCACCACCCTCCTAGCAGGTGGAAGCAGCCCACGAATCCATAAACCCGGAAGCTCATCTAACATAAAACTTACCATCTTAACCATTTTGAAGTTCAGTAGTATTAAGTACATTCATATTGTTGTACAATATTTTTGTTTTTGGAGGAAGGTGTAATTGACTTTATTCTGTAGCAGAATTTGGGGATGAGAAATGTCATGTATGCAGCAGTAACTACAGGTAGTTTTTGTTTAGGTCATGAAATAATTGGCAGTTGTTTCACATGTACATTCAAATATGGTTGTTTTATCAAAAGTTTTTGAAAATTGAGACATATTTTACATATAGTGAAATGCACAGTGAAGTGTACAGTTTGCATTTTGATGATAAAGAGATTTACCCAAATATTTTCAAACCAAAAGATCATAGGATGTTGGAATGGGAAGTGACCATAGTGATCATCCAGCTTAATCTTGCTTTACAGATGAGGAAACCAGAAATTGATCCCGGAAGATTTTTTGGCTGAGATTTTTTTTTTCTTTTTTGAGACGGAGTCACGTTCTGTCGCCCAGGCTAGAGTACAGTGGCGCAATCTCGGCTCACTGCCACCTCTGCCTCTCGAGTTCAAGTGATTCTCCTGCCTCAGCCTCCCGAGTAGCTGGGATGACAGGTGTGCACCACCATGGCCAGCTAATTTTTGTATTTTTAGTAGAGATGTGGTTTCATCATGTTGGTCAGGCTGGTCTTGAACTCCTGACCTCAAGCGATCCACCTGCCTCAGCCTCCCAAAGTGCTGGGATGACAGGCATGAGCCACCGCGCCTGGCCTTGGCTGAGATTTTTAACCAACTTAGATGCCAGTTAGAATTAAAGGAGAGTCTTACATCTGGCTTCTTCATGCAGTGTTTATTTAAACTGTTTTCTATTACTTTACATCTAATTTTTCTTTCCATGGTTCTATCTCCGTGGGAGACACTGAAAACGATACTCTTGCAAGTGGTAGAGTTCGACGCTTACTGTGTTGGGCATGCTGGCCTTTCTTTAGCTCATAAGCGTGGGTTATGTAGAGAGCAGACCATCACCTGGCCACTTGGATTTCACTGGATACAATTTTTTGGGGGTAGTTTCTGTCTGTTTACTATTGGTAGCACTATTTCCTGGCATAAGAAAGTGAAGAAATAGGTGAAACCCTGTCTCTACTAAAAATACAAAAATTAGGCACCATCATGGTGATGGGTGCCTGTAATCCCAGCTGCTTGGGAGGCTGAGGCAGGAGAATCGCTTGAACCTGGGAGGTGGAGGTTGCAGTGAGCTGAGATCACGCCATTGCACTCTAGCCTGGGAGACAAGAGCAAAACTCCATCTCAAAAAAAAAAAAAAAAAGTGAAGAAACAGTATAATTTGAATTGTCAGCATGTTTCCACCACTCATTCTGGTGAAGGGTTGACTGCTTGTGGGTGTCAGTCACATAATTGACCTTTCATTTTTGTTGGGGCTGTGGGGCCTCGCCTTGGAGCAGCCTCGTGTGCATCTGCTGACTCGCAGAGTTGGGAGCGACTCCATTGGTAGGCTCATTGGTGGCTTTTGGTTGAGTTACAGTGGGTTACTGGTAGGTGATTGTGGGATCAACGACTTTGTAAGACTCATACTCATGGGTCCTTCCCAAAGCATAGGCGTCCTCAACTTTACTTTCCTTTTGGCCAGGAGGGACAGATGATTATTTCGTTGCCTGAGAGTTGCCTGCTCACCACGGACACAGTGATTCGAAGCTACTTAGGGGCATACATTACTAAGTAAGTGACCACACACTTGCTTACCTGGTGCAAGTGCTTCTCCTTAAGGTCTGTCAATGGCAAATATGTCACTTGAGACACAATTCATTAGAACCCAGTCCCTTGTAGAGCTGATAAATAACCTGAATGATGTGAAAAGTTTACTCCATTCTAGAAAGTTTGCCCTCCCTCCCTGCCTTCCTGCCTGCCTGCCTGCCTGCCTTCCTCCCTCCCTCCCTCCCTCCTTCCCTCCTTCCCTCCCTC
Organism: Homo sapiens; assembly: GCF_000001405.40. Classification (NCBI taxonomy): domain Eukaryota; kingdom Metazoa; phylum Chordata; class Mammalia; order Primates; family Hominidae; genus Homo; species Homo sapiens. The sequence goes on along the minus strand of NC_000021.9, from coordinate 36,048,064 downwards.
CCTCCCTCTCTTCCTTCCTTCCTTCCTTGTCTCTCTCTCTCTCTTTCTCTCTCTCTTGCTTGAGATGGAGTCTCACCTGTTGCCAGGCTGGAGTGCAATGTCGTGATCTTGGCTTATTGCAACCACTGCCTCCCAGGTTCAAGTGATTCTCGTGCCTCAGCCTCCCAAGTAGCTGGGATTACAGGTGCCTGCCACCACGCCCAGCTAATTTTTTTTTTTTTTTTTTTTTTGTATTTTTAGTAGAGACAGGGTTTCACCATTTTGGCCAGGCTCGTCTTGAGCTCCTGACCTTGTGATCCACTCGCCTCAGCCTCCCAAAGTGCTGGGATTACAGGTGTGAGCCACCGTGCCCGGCCAGAAAGTTTGTTCTTAATTCACTGTAAATGGCATTTCTAAGGTTTTTAATAGGCTTCCTGGAGTGTGGGTATGATATCCCGATCCATCACTGACTAAGAAATAAAAATTAAATGGGATAATATATGTAAATCACAGCTGAGTGCCTTGGCTCATAGTAGCCTCTTCTCTTCCATCATAGTAGCTCTTGACAAATGTAAGTTACTCTCTCTTATTTCTACCGTTATTGTACTTCAGTTTTCCTTGAACTTTGAAGAGCTGTTAATTTTGTGAAAGAATTAGTTTTATTTAGGTATAGAAGAGAGGAGGCTGATGGGGAAGAACTGTTTTCTGGCACACGTTCTGCTGGGCCTTTGTTTTGGGGCATCTTTGAGGACAGAGTGAGAGCGACCCGCAGTGGAAGGGATTTCTAAATACAAGGGTTGAAAGAGTATACCGTTTTTTTCTTTCTTTTTTGAGACAAGGTCTTGCTGTGTTGCCTAGGCTGAAGTGCAGTGGCGTGATCTTGGCTCCCTGCAACCTCCACCTTCCGGGTTCAAGCAGTTCTCATGCCTCAGCCTCCCAAATAGCTGGGATTACAGGTGTGCGCCACCATGCCCTGCTAATTTTGTATTTTTAGTAGAGATGGGGTTTCTCCATGTTGGTCAGGCTGGTCTCAAACTCCTGGCCTCAAGTGATCCACCCACTTTGGCTTCCCAAAGTGCTGGGATATAGGCAAACGGCCACTGTGCCTGGCGTATACTGTCTCTTAACCATTAGGTAAGTGCTGGTCTTTTTTCCCCCTGGCATGTTTTTGGAAGAGAGTGAATAGGTCTTTTAGGCCTGTGTAGAGACAATGATGCTGTCATTGTTAACATTTTCTGAATCATTCTGAAATTTTGAGTAGAATGTATGGCAGTATAGGAATCTGGATGTCGAAGGATTGATGAAAACTTTCTAAATACATTCAGGCAACATGAGATCTTTTTATCGGCAATTGTGCAAGTAAAAATACTGTGATACATAATTTGTAATAGAGCAGGTAAACTTAGGAATAAAAGCTTTAGAACTGCAACAACTGTATATGAGCATATTCAGTTTTGGTTTAGGTTGGTGCCCTCCAATAGAGCTTTTAGCAATGACAGATGTTTTTTATGCATTGTCCAGTATGGTGGCCACTAGCTCTGAATGGCTATTGTGCAATTAAAACATAGCTTATCTTACCAAGGGATTGAATTTTAAATATTCAATTCTAAATAATTAAAGGTTAAATTTAAATAGCTCTGTGTACCCAGTGATTACTATATCGGATGGTGCAGGTCTCAGTTCTTTCCACCATTTTTTCCCCACCATATTTTATATCTTTACATAGGTGAGACAAATGGACTTAGGTCAAAAGGTTTACAACTGGAGAACCAAGTTGGAAGCAAAGAGGTTTTTTTGCAAAGAGGAATCTCTTGCAAACAAACCTGGAACTTGGCTTAGTGAGTCAGTTTTTCTGACATGTAAGTATGGCTCTTTCAGAGCACTAGCACTGGGGCTGTGCTCCCCTGGAGAGGAAGAGCCTTAAGGAAGGAAGGAAGGAACTCTTGAGTCTGTTAAGTAAACTGAGTGTGTTGACAGTTTGAACACACTCCTTCTGGCAGCAAAACAAACTGCTTGGCTTATTTCGTATTTTGAATCAAAGTAATTCCTTTAAACTGGCTTTTAATTTTCAAAGGTGGAAGCCTCCTCCATCTCCTCTGCTGGCGCTGTGCACCTTTTTAGTTTCAGAAAAGCATGCTGGGCACCGATCTCTTTGGAAGCCTTACCTGGAGATTTTACCCAAGGCGTATACCTGCCCTGTTTGTTTGGAGCCGGAAGTGGTGAACCTTCTTCCCAAATCTTTAAAAGCAAAGGCTGAAGAGCAGAGAGCCCACGTGCAGGAGTTCTTTGCTTCCTCCAGAGACTTTTTCTCTTCTCTGCAGCCTCTGTTTGCGGAGGCTGTTGACAGCATCTTCAGCTACAGTGCCCTGCTGTGGGCTTGGTGCACCGTCAACACCAGAGCCGTGTACCTGAGGCCCAGGCAGCGGGAATGCCTTTCTGCAGAGCCGGACACCTGTGCACTCGCTCCGTACCTGGACCTGCTGAATCATAGCCCACATGTCCAGGTGAGAAGCTGACAAGGGAGCAGCTATTCTATTTGGATAGGAAGGCTTCCGCTGCCCAGAACCTGTGGCTGTAGATGTGGGTGGCACCACAGGGAGAGGTGTCGGCGGCTTCAGGTGACCCTGTCAGGTTGGCCTGACGTCAGGAGGCTCCTGTTGTTCTTCTAGACCCCACTATCCCTCCCGCAGTGCTTGCCTTGGCCCCTTTTCTTCACTCTGCTCTTCAGGCCTACAGAGCCTCGTGCTGCATCCTCTGTCCGGTCTTTCCCAGCAGCCTGTGGTGCGGAGCCTTCCTTCCTTCTCCCTCGTTCCTCCTTCCGGGACTGAAGCTTAGCTTGCTTTCCTGCCCCGTCCCTTTTAAACTGGTGTTGTAGCTGTCACAGCATTTCTCTTCGCTCTGATCGCTGACTGACTTGCTCTTTTTCCCACTGAGCTCTGAAATCTTTGAGAATGGGGTCTTTGTCTTGTTCCTCTTTGTCACCTCAGTGCTCATGGCAGGGCCTGGCACATAGTAGGTGTTCAGTAAATGTTTATTGAATGGATGGGTATTTGTGGGGAAAGGGTTCTGGGAAATAATGAAAGAAACCTGATTTGGGAGGTGGTCACAGATCGCCTCCTCCCCAGCGCTTTCCCCAGGTGGCTCATTTAGGAAATGAGTGTATTTGCAGGGCATGCAGGGGTAGAGGCCTGGCTTGGAGAGCGGAAGAGAGTCCATCAGTTGGCTCACCTGTAACCACTTTGGGGTGTGTTGTGGAGGGACATGGCTGGGATCTGTGTCCTGGCCGTCGCCTTCATCTGACATTCCACTGGAGAAGAGCAGCCATGCCTTGTGAGCCCACGTGCTAAGCTTTCGTGCTCTCTACGTGAGATCAGAGCTTAGGGAGGTTCCCGCTCTGCTTTCTTAGCCCAGGAACAAGGGCTGTCTGCTTGTTACTTTTGTAGAAAGAAGTATCTTTAATAATCGGGAGCAAAGGAGCCTGGGATTAGGTGAGTGTTTCTGTGGTTGATGTTGACGAAATAATATCAGGAGTGTGTAGTGTGATAGGATGCTAGACATGGGGACTCCGTCAGCAGTGATTTATTTTTATTGGGACTTTTGGTGCATTTATGTGCCAAACCAATGAGTTTATAGTTTACTGTAGGAAGACCACAGCACGAACTACAGCCTGTGGGCGTGTGGCCCAAGAGCCCTGAGCTAAGAATGGTTTTTACACTTTGAAAGGATTGTGAAAATACAACAACTTGTGACAGAGACCACATAGTGCTGGCAAAGCTGAACGTATTTACTCTCTAGCTTTTTACAGATAAAGTTTATTGGCACCACCATGTCCTCCTTCCCTGGGCTGTGAGTGGACGTGACCAATAAACTGCTGATGATCTCATCTGTGCTGTGTCGGGTGTCGTGGTGTGGCCACCCCCAGAGCCCTAGGGCAGGACTCCCTCCGTCATCAATGGGGTGAAGTCGAGGTGGATGAAACCGGAAGTGGCATTTTCCCTATGCGTAGTTACATTTATTGATGGGTGTTTGAAAGCTGCACCTGACTCACATTAATATTATGTAATAACTTAATCAGCTTTGGAGTTTTACACCTTACTTTAAAAAATACCTTAACAGTTTTTCTTTCTAGGTAAAAGCAGCGTTTAATGAAGAAACTCATTCTTACGAAATTAGAACGACTTCACGTTGGAGAAAGCATGAAGAGGTATTCATCTGTTACGGCCCTCACGATAATCAACGGCTGTTCCTGGAATACGGATTTGTTTCTGTCCATAATCCTCATGCTTGTGTTTATGTCTCAAGAGGTTGGAATCAACTTTGTTCTTAACATTAACACTATATAATTTTTTTCCCCATTTGGAGATGTGTATTTTCAGTTTTAATAAAAATATCAAAACCTTAAGACTGACATACATATCACTAATTTTCTTCTAGGTAGGCCTAGCCTTACTCTTACTGGCTGTAATTTCAGTGTTGAAGTAAAAACAACGAAGTTTTGACTGATATTTTGAGAAGTTTTCATTGCATTGGGTCAGAAGATAGAATGGAAGAAAAGGAAAACTGCTAAGGAAATAAATACAGTATTAAAGGATGGAAATGTTTATACTGAGACGTTGTCACTGGCACTAAAGAAAATAGGATTAGAGAGCAATGAATAAAAAATATTTATTAAGCACCTACTGTGGGTAAGACACTGTGTTAATCACAGAGATAAATCTACCTATAGTCCTTGTTTCTGGAGGTTGTTGCCATGGTGAGATTTGATTTCATGTATGTTCTTTTGTGATCTATTAACCTAGCCATCATCATTGATTTTATTATTTTTGAGTCAGAGTCGCACTCTGTTGCTCAGGCTGGAGTGCAGTGGTGTAATCTTGGCTCGTTGGAACCTCCGCCTCCCAGGTTCAGGTGATTCTTGTGCCTTAGCCTCTGGAGTAGCTGGGATTACAGGCACGCACCACCATGCCTGGCTACTTTTGTAATTTTAGTAGAGACGGGGTTTCGCCGTGTTGGCCAGGCTGGTCTTGAACTCTGGCCTCAAGTGATCTACCTGTCTCAGCCTCCCAAAGTGCTAGGATTGTAGGAGTGAGCCACTGTGCCTGGCCTGGTTTTATTATTACTATTTTTAATATTTGTTTTTTCATATGATAGAGACAGTGTCTTGTTATGTTGCCCAGGCTGGTCTTCAACTCCTGGGCTCGAGATCCTCCTGCCTCAACCTCCCAGAGTGTTGGTATTATAGGCGGGAGCTACCGTGCTTGGCCCAGTTTTATTATTTTAAAATAGTAAGTTAGCCATTACACTTAAGATGTGAAAATTCCAAATATAGTGTTAAAAAAGTACATAGAAGACTGATTTTTCCCTTTCTGAAACTGTAGAGAAGCAGTTTTCTAGGCCATGAAAAAACGGCAAGAGCCTTATTAAATATATAATTTGAAGCATTTTTAAATATAGATTTGATTGGAGATAGAAACTTGGCCAAGCTGTTACTACTCCATCTTATAGGCAGAATAATAATGTGATTTCTCAAAATAAAAATAGAAAAGCAAAAACTGGGTCTTGCTGCTAGAAAACCAGCTTCGAGATTGGCTTCATGTTTTCAAAATCCTGATAAATTTAATATTGATGTCCGCGAAGTATTCATTTGTTGAATAAATTAATTTGAGCAAAAATTATATTTTAGTTATATTTACATTTTTAAAATAAAATAGAAAAATCCCTTATTACCCTGCTTCTCCAAATAGCTCTGTTAATTTGTGCATATTTACTTTAAGTTTTTTGTAGTTGCAGTCACTAATATCCAGACTGCTTTGAATTCTGGTTTGGAAAAAGCTCAGTATTGTAAACCTTTCCTCATGTTTTTGCAGGGCCTCTACTTTTGTTGACTGTAAATTTTCAACAGTCATGCTGATGTCCTAATGACCTGCTTGTTTTTGGTGGATTTACTTAGTGGGAGCAGGAGCTGAGGTTATGCGTGTTTAGTCCTCCAGCCTTGAAATTCTTACAGCCTTTCAGGGACTCAGTACTGATGTGACTGAATTGGACTTGAAGAGTAGATTTCCTTTGTGTGAATTAGGTGGAACTGTTTATGCATGTCTGGGTTGCTAAAGGGAAAGGAAGTGAGTTGAGAAGGGAAGGGAGACATACTTTTGTCCAAATTTATGCCCTAACAGTCTGATTTTTTTTTTTGAATATAGAAATACTTGTTAAATATCTTCCATCAACAGATAAACAGATGGACAAAAAGATTTCTATTTTAAAGGATCATGGCTATATAGAGTAAGTGTTTCTCTTTCCCTCTTAAAATTATTCCTTTAGGAAATTTTCATGGAAAACCTGGGGTTAAATTTTCCATGGGGGTGAGACCCCTCCTGACCCTGTATCAGCTGACGGGTAGGTATTGAGCACTTACTATGTGCAGTAAAACTGCGCTTGATGTTGTGGAGGACAAAAGGAGTATAAGACACTTGAAAGAAACTTCTTTAGGGACATAAGATACAAGCTAGAAATATTAAATTATGGTACCAAAAGAGAGCTTGGATGTGTTGATGGGTGGCCCAGGGTGAGTCTGTCTCCCTTGTGGTCATGTGGAAAGGCCAGGCTGGGCCTCAGGAGAGCCCACGCACCTGGCAACATGGTGCAGGCTCTTGGGGTAGGTGGGTAGCGAGGTGATTCCATGCCAAGTGGCTAAACAGGGTTCAAGGCTCTCCCTTTCAGATTTTCTTTTCTGGATGAAATGAAGTTTGAAATGATCCCGCCATGGTGTGAGAGCAGCCTGGCAGTGGTGGCTGCCATCAGTGGGATGCCCAGGGTAGTTCCAGTTCTTAAGCGTTTCTCTTACTGGGAACTCCTGTGCATGGGCCCTGCCTCCGGCCCCTCATCCATGGTTAAGCTCTTTTTTTTTTTTTTTTTTTTTTTTTTTTTTTGAGAAGGAGTCTTGCTCTGTCGCCCAGGCTGGAGTGCAGTGGCGCAATCTCAGCTCACTGCAAGCTCTGCCTCCCGGGTTCACGCCATTCTCCTGCCTCAGCCACCCAAGTAGCTGGAACTACAAGTGCCTGCGACCACGCCCAGCTAATTTTTTGTATTTTTAGTAGAGATGGGGTTTCACCGTGTTAGCCAGGATGGTCTCGATCTCCTGACCTCGTGATCCACCTGCCTTGGCCTCCTAAAGTGCTGGGATTACAGGCGTGAGGCACTGCGCCCGGCCAGCTGTTTACTCTTTAGAAAAAAAATGGGGAGAGAATTTCCTGTTACTTAGGCTTTCTTCTTAAGTATTTGCAGACTGATTTTCTCTTGTCCTTTGGCCGAGGTTGCAGGTTACATGACATTTAGCAACCTCTTTAAAAAGGTGTTTGGCTCTTCAGTCATTTGCTATGAGGTCATGAAATACTGAAATGATGGATTTGTCATTATTTGTTTTTCTACTTCAGAAATTTGACATTTGGATGGGATGGACCATCTTGGAGGCTACTCACAGCCCTTAAGTTGTTATGTCTGGAAGCTGAGAAATTGTAAGTTTCACATGTGTTGGTCTTAAGCTGTAGCAACAGGCTAGATATAACTTTGGAGGGTTGGTTTGTTTGTTTTTGGCTTGCATTCAGATACCCAGCCAGGGAGGAAAAAGGGATGTCATACATTGGAGTTGCTTTCTCATTATGTAACTTGCCCATGTAGCGAATGTTTCATTTCTAAGTTTTAACCGTTTTGGAATTCTGGTTTTAGACTCAGCATACATAGTTTTGATAATCTTTTTGTTTCTACTCATATTTTCCTTCTGGTGACCTGAAATCCTTTAAAAAGTGTGGGCATTGGCACTGTTCAGAGGAAAGTCTCTGAGTAGGTAGGTTTTGCCCAGGACAAGTAGAGCTAGAGTCCCTAACGTCGGTCCTGCCCTGGGGGAGATCCAGAAACCTGGCTGAAGAGCTGGACTTTTCCATGGGGGAGGCAGGTCGGGGAGCCCCCGGTGTGGGTGTGCATCCTGGCCAGGCTCCCTCATGTTCCTGCCTGCTGTCAGTCCTGCTCCCTGCAGCCCCCTGTCGACACATCCAGCTGTGCTGTACCCAGTGTAGGGGCAGCTTCAGCCTGAGTCCCTGGCAGGGAGAGCAGCCTTCAACCTTCTGCTGCTAGATATCCAGGGAGAACCTCTTGAAGATGGTGCAGGCTGTCCTTGAACAGTTGGGAGGACTGACTGAGATGAGGCACAGTGCCTGGGAGCAGTCGGTGCCCCTTCAGTGACGCCTGTTCTTCTTTTGGATGAGATGATGTTGCTTCCTTCTTTTTCTCTAGGAACTTTTGGAGTAAAATTTCTCTCTGGTCTCAACACTAGACATAGTTTTTGTTTTTATTCTTAGCAAATGGAGTGTTTTTATCTTACAGATACTATGAATTCTTTAACCGATGTTTCCTTCTTTTCCTTGTTCACTGGAAAACTGAGAGGCAAATCTGAGGTGCATGCAAACGTACCTAGTGTTGGGACATGCGGTTTCGCACTGGCCCATTCCTGCAGTGTCTTGTCTTTTCTCCTTTTGTCTTCCTTTGTCTTGTTTTCTGCCTTCATTCATCTTACCTTTTATTTTGTGTGTACTTATGTTAGCTTCTTTAAATCCTTCTGGCAACAAGGTATGAGTCCTTTTCGGACACTTCAGCCTAAAATTAAATACAACAACTGGCTGTTTCCCAGAGGTCTTCCTTAGGCCTCTTTTCTTGCATTTGAGTTACCGCTTACTGAGTGGGTGTGGAGAAAGCACGTGTGGGGCTCTGGCTGGGGCGTTTCAGTTCTTTCTGCCTCACTAGCTCTGTCACTCAGGGTGAGTGCTTCAACTTTGCTGAGTGTTTCTTTGAGTCTAGCATGCGGATTATCGTGCTTTCTTTGCTAGGTAACTGTGAAGATTAAATTAGGTAATGGTTATTCATGAACACCATGCCTGACACACAGTCATTTCCTTTTTCTTTACTGAGAACTCATTTCACCTGTCATCTCTGAAACTGAAGCCTTCTGAGACTATTCCGGGCTGTGTCTTGCCAGCTGTTCTGAATCTAATGGGCTCCTGTTTACTTCCACAGCAGCCATCTTTCCTCCCCTTCGAAGCCACTTCCACTTCCAGATTCTCGGTGTTCAGAATCCGGTCCTCCGTCGTCTTTCTCCCGGTAGTTCTTCTTTCTAGTGTCTAGGTCTGGCGCTGCCACCTCTGCTCCGCATCCTGCTGTGGCTCCCTTGCACCTGCCACAGCAGACCTTCCAGAGTGGGCCCTGCCTGCTGACTGAGCCCCGTTTCCTGCGAACCTTTGTAGTAGAGCACTGGAATGACCTGCATGGGGATAGAGGCTTGCTGTAGATTCCTCCTTCCAGACATGGAGCATTTGGCTTTGTGAATTGTGCCCAGTTTGCTACTATTTTGGACAGACGGTCACTTGAAGGAAAACTTCTGCCTTTGCTCCTTAGTCCTCTGCCTTTCGGCTGTGGACTCGCCCTCCTGTTCTGTCACTGGCTTCGTTCCCATGGCCGGGAACGGGACTTCATTCACTCATGGGTCAGACACAGGTTTGTGATGATAATAACATTCAGCCCTTGCCTGCAGAGAGTACCCACCCCCCGTGCTTTTATTCTCAGCTCCTCCTCCTCCTCTCTCATTACCTGGTCGGCTTCCACATGGGAGCTGCAAGTGGCATGGAGGTTTGGGGAATCTGCTTATGGAATGAGTTGTATTATGCTCCTGGAGAAATAGGAGAAGGAGTTTATGTGTTGCACTGAAACAAAAAAATCTGTTTTTTGAGAGCCTGCTAAAATTGTGTCATGGAACATTTTGGTTCTAGTACATGCTGGAAAAAAGTACTTCTTGGGGAGGTAATTTCAGATACGAATGAGAAGACAAGTTTGGACATAGCCCAGAAAATATGCTATTATTTCATAGAAGAGACTAATGCTGTGCTTCAAAAGGTATGTTTCTAGAATATGACATCCTTAAAGAAGTGTCTTGATTCAGCAGTTCCTTGTTTTGTACATGTTATTAGGGATAGTGCATTTCATAAGAGCATTGTTTAGTGCCTTAAATAAATAAATGTTGATGTAATCTCTATTTTTGTTTTCTTTGAGATGGAGTTTCACTCTTGTTGCCCAGGCTGGAGTGCAATGGCACGATCTTGGCTCACTGCAACCTCCACCTCCCAGGTTCAAGCGATCCTCCTGCCTCAGCCTCCCGGGTAGCTGGGATTACAGGCACCCGCCACCATGCCCAGCTAATGTTTGTATTTTTAGTAAAGACGGGGTTTCACCATGTTGGCCAGGGTGGTCTTGAACTCCTGACCTCAAGTGATCCACCCGCCTCAGCCTCCCAAAGTGCTGGGATTACAAGTGTCCACTGCGCCTGGCCTGAACCACCGCATCTGGGCTCCATTTTTGACTGTTAACATAGTACCTATGCTTTTTCTCTCAATTTTTTATTTTTATTTTTTCTTTTTCTTTTCTATTTTTTTTTTTTTTTTGAGACAGAGTCTTGCTCTGTCTCCCAGGCTGGAGTGCAATGGCACGATCTCGGCTTACTGCAACCTCCGCCTCCTGGGTTCAAGTGATTCTCCTGCCTCAGCCTCCCGAGTAGCTGGGATTACAAGTGCCCGCCACCACATCTGGCTAATTTTTGTATTTTTAGTAGAGACAGGGTTTCACCATGTTGGGCAGGCTAGTCTCAAACTCCTGACCTCAGGTGATCCGCCCACCTCAGCCTCCCAAAGTGCTGGGATTACAGGCATGAGCCACTGCACCTGGCCTCTTTATTTTTAATTGGTCAGTAAAAATTGTATATATTTATAGTGGACTACATGATGTTTTAAAATAGGTATACATCGTGGATGGCTAAATCAAGCTATTTAACATATGCATGATCACATATACTTATTTTTTTTGTGGTGAGAACACTTAAAATCTGCACTTAGCAATTTTCAAGTACATAATATATTGTTATTAACTGTAGTCACCACGATGTACCATAGATCTCTTGAACTTAATCCTCTGGTCCAGCTGAAATTTGGTGTCTTTTGATCAACATCTCCCTAATCCCTCTCCAACCCCTCAGCCTCTGGTGACCACAATTTGACTCCCTGCTTCTATGAGTTTGATGATTTTAGAGTCCATGTATAGTGAGATCATGCAATATTGGTCATTCTGTGCTGGCTTATTGCCGTGTGACAGCATGTCCTCCAGGTTCATCCACGTTGTCACAAATGACAAAATTTCCTTTTTTATAAGGCTGAATGTACTTCACTGGGTATATATGCCACTTTTTCTTTATTCATCTGTTGATGAATACTTAGGTTGATTCCATATCTTTGCCTTTACTTTTTATTAAAAGGCAAAAAGTAAAAGTTACTGTGTGACTTCAAGCATTCTTTCTCATTGATGTGTTTATTTAGTAAATGTTTTAGTTAAATGAGAAATCAGCTTATTCGTATGAAAACATGCCTGGGATTTAAAGAGTGATTTTAATGAAGCTTGAAGACATTATTGGAAATGAAATAAGCCAGACACAAAAGGACAAATGCTGTATGATCCACTTCTGTGAGGTTCCTGGAACAGGTGAGTTCGTAGAGACAGAGAGTGGAGTAGAGGTGACGGGGGGTTTGGGGAAGAGGGGAATAGGGTTATTGATGTATGCTTGTAGAGTTTCTGTTTGGGTGATAGAAAAAGTTCTGGAGCTGGAGAGTGGCAGTGGATCTAAACAATGTGAATGTACTTCATGCTGCTGAACCATACACTTAAAATTGGTTAAAAAGGTACGTACGTTCTGTGAAATATATATATATGTTTTACTACAATAACAATAATTAAAAAATAACTTTCAGGTGTCTCATATGAAGGATGAAAAAGAGGCCCTGATAAACCAACTAACTTTGGTGGAATCCTTGTGGACGGAAGAGCTAAAGATTCTCAGGGCATCTGCCGAGACCCTGCACAGTTTGCAAACAGCTTTTACCTGATTTCACCGAAGCGCATTTGGTCACCTCCTCTGGTGGGTGTTAGTCACACATTTTAGACTAAGGTTTGATGGACTAAATTTATATAGTTTAGAGTCGATGAGTTGTGTCTACTCAACAATTAGGAACTTAATCCTTTTCCTTTTGCTTTTCCTACAGAAACAAAAGTTAATTTTGAAGAGCATCATCATGGGCTGGGGTGGTGGCTGCCCCCAGGACATGCAGGATTTCTGCAGGGGGCAGCACAGGTTCTGGGATTGTGAGGCTGTGAGTGAAGGTGGACAAGCTGTCTGGATGGCAGGTCTAATGCTCTTCCGAATAAAGTGCTGAACTGTGAGGAGAGAGGCGGACTGTGAGGCAGCCAGGAGCCAGCTGCGTCCGTGTGTGGTCTGTCACCACGGGGCCTGCTTCTTATCTGACACAGCAGCTATCAGAGTCTAGTGGTTGTGCTTTTAAGATGCTCTGATACCATTGGGTTAAGGGGCAGATTGGCGGTGGGTGTGGGGCAGTGTGAGGTAGTCCTGGATCCCCGCCAGGGTGGCCCAGACGCCAGCCCTTCCCTGTGTGGCTGCACTGAGGTGGGTGTTGAAGAGCCCCCTAGGGGACACACAGCTTCCAGGAGGAGGGAATGTCCTCTAAGCATGCTCCTGGCCTCTCAAGGTGGCGCTTGTCTAATTATTCACTTGGGAAGAATGACTAGCTCAGCCAGCGGCTCTTTCTGCTTTGTTCTGGCGACTTTCCTGGGCAGGCCTTTCCACCTGGGGAGCTGGCTCATCCTGCACAGCTGGGCCGTGGTGGGCCTGTCTGCTTGATTCTGGGGTTCAGTGTAGGTCAGCTGATGGCGAACCATGGTGGTGGTTTGGCTTCTGTTCTTATTCTTGAGTTTTGATACCACGCAGACCTTGGGTGGGGAGAGCTTCCTGCACAGCTCTCAGCGGCCTGTGGCCTTGGAACTGCCTGCGTAAGTAACGGAGGGGCTGCTGGTCCTGTTCAGGCCCGTGCTGGGGACGCCGCTTAGACAATGTTGCCCAGAGTCCTGTTTACCCTCCCAGGGTTCATTCTTCCCAAGAACTCAAATTCCTTTCTCATTGGAGCCTAGTGAAACCAAATGAACGGGACCTGCTGGCCTCAGGAGGCAGGCAGAGTTTAAAATAAAACTTTCTCATGATTTCTTGAACATCTTTCCCTGTTTGTATATACACTTTGTGTTTATTTTTCAGTAGCTGCAGTATATTTTTTTTCAATATTCAGTATAATGCAGTGTATTTCATCATATGCTGTATGGAGAGTGGGCAGACTTCTGTGGAGGGCCCGATAGTAACCATTTGAAGCTTTCTGGACCTGTGGTCTTAGTCCCAGCGATTCTGCAGAGCGGCCATCGGCAGCATGTCAACCATTTGCATGGCTGGGCTCCAGGGAAACTACTGACAACGACAGGTGGTGGGCCATAGTTTCCTGACCCCTGTGCTATGCCAGAATTTCTTTTTCCTCTTCCCTATGAGTGGACCTAAATATGTTAATTCCTTTTCACCTTTCAAAACGGACAGCCCCTTGAACATTAAAAACTTCGCAGACCCTACATGGTCATTGTGCTTTCCTTGTCCAGTGATTAGAAAAACTGCGCAGTGGGTGGGCGTGGTGCTCACACCTGTGATCACTTCAGGGGAGGCTGAGGTGGAGGATCTCTTGAGCCCAGGAGTTCTGAACAGCTTGGGTGATGTAATGCGTCCCCCCGCCCCACAATCCCGTTCCTACAAAACAATTTAAAAAATGAGCTGGGCAGGGTGGTCCGTGCCTGTAGCTGCAGCCACTCGGAAGGGTGAGGCCAGAGGATGGCTTGAGCCCAGGAGTTTGAGGTTGCAGTGAGCCAGGATCGTGCTACTGTACTGCAGCCTGGGCGACAACTAACTGAGTGAGACCCTGTCTCTAAAAATAATAAAGCAAAATTAAAAAATACACAGTGACAAAAAGCAGCTGCCCAGAAACATGTACAACTAATAGTTCATCAGCACAGCAGATCTGCATTTATTTACAGCTGAGTAATACTCCATCAGCACAGCAGATCTGCATTTATTCGAAGAATAGTATGAGACTGTAGACAATGCTAGTTATGTGAAGTCACGGACCCCTTGCAAGAAACCTGTGGCCCCTTGTTGGGCAGTCTGGCCACAGGGTGAAACCACCGCTCACAGTCCATACGCTTCCTTTCGGCTGCTCTTTTGTTTTGGACTCAAAAGACGCTGGTGGCAGGCTGTTCTCGTCAAGTCATTCTTAGGGCAGCAAACCCATCTGTCCCCATCTAGGGTGAGGCAGCGTGCAGTGCTGTTTAACCGACGGCGCTATTTTCTTCCTTATTGTCTAATCACCACCGCCCTCCCCGGACTCCCCCTAGCCATCTTTCTTTCTTGGTTTTCTCTTTGCTGGTGCTTTGGGTGGGCCTGAGGCTCCTAAAGACTCGCACCCCTGTTGGTGTCTAGTTCTGAGTTTGGGTGGTAAACCTCCAACTGCTGACTTGGCCCGAGGGGACAGACAGCAAGAAGTTAAGGGCGATTGGAGGCATTCCTCGATCATCTTTCCAGCTAAGGATAGAATAGGCCCTCCTCTGTGGAGGGTGTTCCTCAAGGAGGGAGGCCCTCCTCTGTGGAGGCTGGCAGTGATGTTTGAGGAAATAGGTCTGTAATTGTGTGAAAATGACTTTCTCACCGAAACTCCTGGCCGTGCCCCTTGAGGGCCCATGGGGTCCAGCAGAGGCGATTCTGGCTCCTCCTCGGTGGTCAGCTGCTGCCTTCCGTACTATAGGTAAATGCTGGGCGGCAGGTTTTGTCCCGAGGGGGAACGTGTAACAGAACCCATGACTTGTGGGCTGATATTTGAACAGCCTTGTCAGGAATGCCACCTGTGGGATCCCTTGTAAAAGAGCTTTCTCCCACAGTACAGAAAGTCCTGTGGGAACTAAAAGGAACAAAACGGAGGAAGGAAGGCGCAGGGACAGTGCATCTTTCTCCAGCCCGGCCAATGTATCCATGCATCAGCCCCCACAACAGGACAGCGACCCCCACACATCAGTGCCCCACAACAGGACGTGACCCCCACACATCAGCGGCCCCTACAATAGGACAGCAACCCCCACACACATCAGCCCCCACAATAGATCAGCGACCCCCACACACATCAGCGCCCCACAACAGGACAGCGACTCCTCACATCAGCGCCCCACAACAGGACAGCGACCCCCACATATTAGCGCCCCACAACAGGACAGCGACCCCCACACATCAGCGGCCCTCACAACAGGACAGCAACCCCCACACACATCAGCGGCCCCCACAATAGGACAGCGACCCCCACACACATCAGCGGCCCCCACAATAGAACAGCGACCCCCACACACATCAGCGGCCCCCACAATAGAACAGCGACCCCCACACACAGCAGCCCCCACAATAGAACAGCGACCCCCACACACAGCAGCCCCCACAATAGGACAGCGACCCCCACACACAGCAGCCCCCACAGTAGGACAGTGGTCCCCACACATATCAGTGCCCCCCACAGTAGGACAGCAACCCCCCCACACATCAGCAGCCCCCACAATAGGACAGCGACCCCCACAGTAGGACAGTGACCCCCACACACATCAGTGCTCCCCACACACATCAGATTCCCCCCACAGTAGGACAGCGACTCACCACACGTATCAGTGCCCCTCACACAACACACCAGTGTCCTCACACAACACACCAGTGTCCCCCACACAACACGCCATTGCCCCCACAGAACATGCCAGTGTCCCCCGCACAACACACCAGTGTCCCCCACATGACATGCCAGTGTCCCGTGCACACGCCAGTGTCCCCCACACAACACGTCAGTGTCCCCACACAACACGCCATTGCCCCCACAGAACACGCCAGTGTCCCCCACACGACATGCCAGTGTCCCCCACACAACACGCCAGTGTCCCCCACACAACATGCCATTGCCCCCACAGAACATGCCAGTGTCCCCCCGCACGACACGCCAGTGTCCCGTGTACACACCAGTGTCCCCCGCACGACACGCCAGTGTCCCCACACGACACGCCATTGCCCCCACACAACACGCCAGTGTCCCCCACACAACATGCCATTGCCCCCACAGAAAATGCCAGTGTCCCCCCGCACGACACGCCAGTGTCCCGTGTACACACCAGTGTCCCCCACACGACACGCCAGTGTCCCCACACAACACACCATTGCCCCCACAGAACACGCCAGTGTCCCCCACACGACATGCCAGTGTCCCCTGCACAACACGCCAGTGTCCCCCACACAACACATGCCAGTGTCCCCCAGACATGCTAGAGTTCCACTGACAGCACGCCAGCACCTGCCCCCACCAGCAGACATTTCTCTCCCGTGCTCATCCCTCTCACCTTTCAGAGGGTGTTTCTCATCTTCCTGTTGTAACCTTTCACTATTTTCTTGTTTTAATATCCTTTTATTCTATGTAGTTTTAACATTAGGCTATAAGAAAATTAAAAAAAAAAAAAAACACCTGGGCCAGGCACGGTGGCTCACGCCTGTAATCCCAGCACTTTGGGAGGCCGAGGCGGGTAGATCACGAGGTCAGGAGATCGAGACCATCCTGGCCAACATGGTGAAACCCTGTCTCTACTAAAAATACAAAAAATAAGCTGGGTGTGGTGGCGGGCACCTGTAATCTCAGCTACTCCGGAGACTTAGGCAGGAGAATCACTTGAACCCAGGAGGTGGAGGTTGCAGTGAGCTGGTATCATGCCACTGCGCTTCAGCGCAGGCAACAGAGTGAGACTCCATCTCAAAAAAACAAAAAACTCCCCAAAATAGAATGTATTTAATAAAAATGTAAGGCTACCACTCCACAAGGTAGATAGTAGCAGGTGCTGTTACTATCCGAGGTGGGAGGATCACTTGAGGCCAGAAGTTTGAGACCAGCCTGGGCAACATAGTGAGACCCCCTGCCCCGCGTCTCTACAAAAAATAATAAAAAAATAGCTGGGTGTGGTGCTGCATGCCTGTAGTCCTAGCTACTCTGGAGGCTGAGGCAGGAGGATGGCATGAGTCCAGGAGTTCGAAGCTGCAGTGAGCTGTGATCACACAGCTGCACTCCAGCCTGGATGACAAATCTGTGGAGTCCTATTTAGGGCAAAGGAGTCAGGCTGGCGGGACTGAGGGAGTTAAAGATAAAGCAGATAAGTTACCGGCCTACCTTTCTTCATGGTCCAGGACACATAGCCCTCCAGTGCAGATAACGTACATTACCCACAATCCTCCTGCACCCAACTTAACATCAAACACTTCCGTTTATCATCAGACACCTTGGCTGATAGAAAAATGCACGTTAGCTCCTTGCAGCCCTGGCGTTATCAGTATTGTGCGCAGCCCTATGTAGCCGAAACCATCCTATAAAATCTCCAGGAGCCTTTGTCTCTGGCAGTCAGCTCCTCCTCCGCTGATCTGCCCGTTGCCTCCTAACAACGTGTTTTCATTCTTCCTCGCGTAAATCTGCCTTTCTTTACCTACAGCTGTCTTGGTAAATTCTTTTACCCCTGCATGCCACTGGCTCAAATGGTTGTCGCCCACCTGCGACAAGTGAGACCCTGACTGTAAAAAAAAAAAAAAAAAAAAAAGGTGGAGTGGGACTTAGAGCCACTGTGTCCTCCTGGTACCCGGTGGGATATCCCTCTTTCTCATCTAATTGTCACAATAGCTCTATGAGGCAGGTATTCCATCTTTTGTTAGAGTTGAAGACACTGAGGCATAGACGGGTCAACTGACTTCTCCCACATCACGTGGCAGGGATTAGAAGCCAGCAGTGTCTGGTGTCTGAGTTCCTGCCTCTGATGTGTGAGTGATACCTGTTTCTGCCTCCTAAGTTAGGCAGTCTAGGGTAAGGGAGGGGACCCGCCACCTTCAAGCAGTTTATGTTGTCTGGTTTTGCTTTGTGAAAGGCCGAGTGACTACTTCACCTTGCAGGCTGTTCTGGAGGAACCAGGCAACTCCACTCCCTGGCCCTGCTGCAGGGCAGAGTGAGCCAGTCTCTCTCGCTGCAGCCTCGCCTCAAATGGTCCCATTTCAGTTTTACAGCCCGCTTCTCATCACACTGACAGCTCATATCTCATACAGGGCATAGCTGTTATTAGAGGGCTGAGAAGGGGTGAGTGAGCCCAAAGCAGGCCTTTTCTCGTTTCCGTGGAATTCGTCTCAGGGGAGAGGCTCTCCTGTTGCAGTTGAAAGCATTGTCTCGGTGCCATAGAAACTGCTCAGAACCCTGAAATCTCTTCCTAATGCCCAGATTCAGAAGATAGGGCCAAGACCAGAACGGCAAAGACCCCACTCAGTAATGCTTGGGACAGTCAACAATTCCAGTTTTTACTGTGATAATCACAAAGGGAGACTAAACTGTTGACAGATAAGAGAGAGTTTGGGATGTCACAGAGGAAGCAGGTTGGGTCTAAGGCGACTGTGTTTGGGACAGGCAGCGTAGACCTGTGCTTCTCGTGCCATGTCTGAGACCTGTGTCACTGGACGTCTTTGCCTTCCAAGCCTCTGATGGTAAAGGCTGTAGCAGTGGTTGGCGGCTTTGCTGTTCACTGGAATCACATGCGGAGCTTTAAAAAATTCTGAGGCCGGGTTCCCACTGCAGGGGTCTGAACTAGTTGGCCTGAGGTGTGCCGGGGCAGTGGAGATTTAAAGCTCCCACATGACTGATGTTCACCAAAGTTCCCTTTCTGAACCTCTGGGATATGGGAGCAAGCTGCCTTACCTTTTCCCAGCTGGAACTTTCTGGTTTTCAGAGGTGTGGGAGGCAAGCTGAAGAGTGTCAATTCTTTTCTTTTTTTTTTTTTTAATTTTTTTGGAGATAGAGTCTTGCTCTGTTGCCCAGGCTGGAGTGCAATGGCGTGATCTCGGCTCATTGCAACCTCCACCTCCCGGGTTCAAGCAATTCTCCTGCCTCAGCCTCCTGAGTAGCTGCGATTACAGGTGCATGCTGCCACACCCAGCTAATTTTTTGTATTTAGTAGAGATGGGGGTTTCACCGTGTTGCCCAGGCTGGTTTCGAACTCCTGAACTCAGGCAATCCACCCGCCTTGGCCTCCCAAAGTGCTGGAATTATAGGCGGGAGCCACCACGCCTGGCCAAGTGTCAATTCTTATACTACACAAGTTCATGCTGCCTAAATGATCTTTTAAATAGTACCACTTCATGTTGAGTACAGATGAATCCAGAGATCAACTCTTTATCATTTGGCTCAGTAAATACAGTTGGAGTGCCCGCCCAGTCCACGAGAAGTGATTAGCAAATTTAATTCCACGTGTCTCCTTTAAAAGGCGCCACACCTCTCCGTGTCCAGAGTGTTTGGGCTGATGCTTGGTAAGTACCAGGTGGATCTTGGAATCCCTGTGGGACTTTGCAACGTGCTTGAGCCACTTCCACCTTTCGTACACTAGATGGCGCAAGAGGACCGCCGAGCTGACCTGGGTACTGCGGCTCGGTCAAGTCAGGCAGCAGAGAGTGGTTTTCCCAAATATTAGTAGCATCCAAACAAGGCAGAAGCAACTCTCCGTGTTTCCCCTGGAAGAAAATGCCAACGTTCACATTCTCCTTTGGGCGGATAAACACCACTTCAAGGTGATAGCTGCTCGGGAAGGGACCTGGCCAGGTGGGGCAGGGGCTGGAGAGGGCAGTGGTGGCTCAGATGTAATGGCGAGAGGAGGAGGGGGTGAGACCGTGCAGGAACCATCCTGGCTCTGCCCACAGAGGAGCCACAAATAAAGGCATATATTTAGCCCTTACTTTTGAGAAGGAGAGAACTTTTCACACCGGGTAGCAGGTTTCAATTTCTATCCTAATTGATAGCAGGTAGACTCAGGCTGTTTCAGGCAGGCCAAAAGAAGGATTTTTTTTTTTTGAGACAGAGTTTCACTCTTGTTGCTCAGGCTGGAGTGCAATGGGGCGATCTCTGCTCACTGCAACCTCTGCACCCCAGGTTCAAGCAATTCTCCTGCCTCAGCCTCCGAGTAGCTGGAATTACAGGCATGCGCCAAGAGCTGGACTTACAGGCATGCACCACCATGCCTGGCTGATTTTTTTATTTTTAGTAGAGATGGGGCTGGTCTCGAACTCCAGGCCTCAGGTGATCCACCTGCCTCGGACTCCCAAAGTGCTAGGAAGTTGCTGGGATTACAGGTGTGAACCACTGTGCCTGGCCAGAAGGATGGCTTTTAAGGAGTTGAAACTGACCACCCACACAAACAGAGGGACGGATCCTGTGACTCCTAGCTTCTCATCTGCCAGGTGTTTCTAGAATAACGTGAAGTATTTTGTGGTGAGGTGGAAAGAATCCATTTCTGCTGACCGAGGGGAGGCCTGGCCCATCTTTGTTAGAGGTGCATGACTGATCAGAGGTTGGGGCCTCAAGGTAGAGTGAAAAAAACCATCAGGGTGCGCTTGAGCTTCTCTGTCCACAGGATACTGAGACACTGTAGATCCCCAAATGGCTGGTGATGTGGACTGACTCAGTACAACATCACATGATGACTTGACGCTGATGGCCTCACTTGAAATGATTTCTTTGGTCAGCTGGACTTTATCAGAAGCTCTGTCATCTGGTCTTATGTGTAGACAAATTCAACTTGTGAACCGGGAAGCTGCTATAATGCTTTTCTCCCTCCTGATACCCTTCTCCTCCCCAGCCCCGTGCTATTGATACACATTCTGGCTTTGTGTTGAGTGGAAGTTTGTTTTCTCTTTGGCATGTTGATCTACAGAGTGCTACCAAGACCTCGATGAGGCCAATATTCAATATCACTATATTGAAGGTTTTTTTTTTTTTAATTGGAGGAGTAGAGAAAGGTATACATTACTGTTTATCTGATTGGAGTTGCCTCACTGGTGATGGTGATTATGTATATGGAATGCAGATATTATTTAAGAGAACTCAGGTTGGGGCCAAGCATGGTGACTCATGCCTGTAATTCCAGCACTTTGGGAGGCTGAGGTGGGCGTATCACTTGAGGCCAGGAGTTCCAGATCAGCCTGGCCAACACAGCAAAACCCCATCTCTACTGAAAAAATACAAAAATTAGCCAGGCTTGGTGGCACATGCCTGTAATGCTAGCTACTCAGGAGGCCAAGGCATGAGAATCACTTGAATCTGGAAGGCCCAGGTTGTAGTGAGCCTAGATCATGCCGCTGTACTGCAGTCTGGGCGCCAGAGCAAGACTTTGCCTCAAAAAAAAAAAAAAAAAAAAAAAGAGTAAGCCAGGCGAGGTGGCTCATGCCTGTAATCCCAGCACTTTGGGAGGCTGAGGCAGGCAGATCACCTGAGGTCAGGAGTTCGAGACCAGCCTGACCAATGTGGAGAAACCCCGTCTCTACTAAAAATACAAAATTAGCAGGGCACGGTGGCTCACGCCTATAATCCCAGCTACTCGGGAGGCCGAGACAGGAGAATTGCTTGAACCTGGGAGGCGGAGGTTACGGTGAGCTGAGATCGCGCCATTGCACTCCAGCCTGGGCAAAAAGAGTGAAACTCCGTCTCAAAAAAAAAAAAAAAGTATTCAGGTTGGAATAACAAGTTTTTTTTGTTTTGTTTTGAGACAGTTTCGTGCTCTGTCACCCAGGCTGGAGTGCAGCAGTGGCATAATCTCAGCTCACTACAACCTCCACTTCCTGGGTTCAAGTGATTCTCCTGCCTCAGCCTCCTAAGTAGCTGGGGTTACAGGCGTGCACTACGCCACCACTCCCAGCTAATTTTTTTGTATTTTTTTTAGTAGAGCTGGGTTGTGCCATGTTAGCCAGGCTGGTCTTGAACTTCTGACCTTAGGTGATCCAACCGCCTCGGCCTCCCAAAGTGCTGGGATTACAGGTGTGAGCCACCCACACCTGGCCACAAGTGATTTTTGATGGTTGTGGTTCAATGTTAAGAGTAGGTGGCCACCATGTAGTCTAGGCAGGGAGTCTTGACTCACAACCATGGCAGCAGTCGTGCGAGAGGAGAAATACTGTGTCTCTGTATTAGAAGGCAGTGTCTCTGATACCAGCAGGAGAAAAGTACTGGCAGGGGGCAACTGCTAGGATCTATCTTCTTTCTTTTATAGGTCACCAGGGCAAAAGTCTATAAAGGAGGCCACTACCACCAAAAAATGTCCCCCAGGAAGCTAAATAAGTGCTTTCAGCTTTGTTGATTGGGGCTGTTTGCCTTAGAACCCTGCTCCTCACAGGGTGATCTGCAGAGCACATCAGCAGCACCTGGGAGCCTATTAGAAATTCAGGATCTTGGCCGGGCGTGGTGGCTCACACCTGTAATCCCAGCACTCTGAGAGGCAGAGGATCACCTGAGGTCAGGAGTTCAAGATCAGCCTGGCCAACATGGGGAAACCCTGTCTCTACTGAAAACACAAAAATTAGCTGGGTGTGGTAATGGCACCTATAATCCCAGCTACCTGGGGAGGCTAAGCCAGATCACTTGAGGTCAGGAGAATCGCTTGAACCCGGGAGGTGGAGGTTGCAGTGAGCCGAGATCGTGCCACTGCACTCTAGCCTGTGTGACAGAGCGAGACTCCATCTCAAACAAACAAACACACACAGACACACACACACACAAATGAAAAGAAATTCAGGATCTCAGGCCCTGCCCTGGACCCACTGAATCAGAATCTGCATTGGAACAAGATTCCCGTGTACGTGAAAGTTAGGAAAACAGTGTCTTCGAGGTGTGACCGACTCCAGACATCGAGCCAGTTGGGCGGTTTATGACCTGTCTTCTGGGCTGTCCATTGGCAATCCCTTTAGCCCTGTCCTGGTTCACCCTTCCTTGACACGAGGTGCCAGTGGAGATGGCTCATTTACAGAAAGTGAGGCGGGGCTGGGGTTCTGCTCAGAGGACCCACGAGGCCCGATTATCAGCACAATGACCATGGTTTTGCCCCTTTTACTTTGGGGCATGGCAGTTGCCAAAGACTTCTTGAAGTGGGAGGCAGCTGGACAGAAAGCCACCAGCCCCTTACTCACACCACATGCTGGGGAGCCTCTGCGCCGTGGGGCTGCGGACCTCCAGCCTAAATCACTCACATTTGTGAGTTTTTCATTCACCGGGAAAAATAGATCCCAGTGCAGCAGTGTGGTTACAAAATCGCCGAGCTCCACAGGTGCATTAGGACTGGTGCACCCTGAGTGGAGGGGTCCCAGGATGTTCAGACTGGACCGTGGCATTGACTTAGCATTTCCAGGTGCCAGCACAGTACGACAGGCTGCCAGCCCTGAATCAGTTTCATCCTCAGTGGCTACAATAGTCTCCCCCAACAGATGGGGAAAGTCCAGCTCAGTCAGTCAGTCCAGCTTATTTTTATTAGCTAGCAAAGTCCCTTCCTTGTCCAAGGTTCGTGGCTGGTATAGACAGACCAGCTCTGGGTCCTGGTCTGCTGGATACCATGTGGGCACTTGGTACCCTCTCAGCCTTGAGAGACAGGGTCCTGCTCTTTTGCCCAGGCTGGAGTGCAACGGCCAATCATGGCTCACTGCAGCCTCAAATTCGTGAGCTCAAGCAACCATCCTGCCTCCGTCTCCTGAGCAGTTGGAACTACAGGCACGCACCACCACACCTGGCTAATTCTAAAAATATTTTGTAGAGACGGGGGTCTCACCATGTTGCCCAGACTGGTCTCAAACTCTAGGCCTCAAGTGATCCTCCCACCTTTGTCTCTCAAAATGCTGGGATTACAGGCATGAGCCACTGTGCCCAGTTACCACCCAGCCTCTTTCCAGTCGTTTCCCCTGGCTGCTCTCTGATTCCCCACAGCACTGAGGTCAAGGTTGAGTTTCACTGGAATCTTAAAGAACAAGCAGAGAAGGATGTTGGGAAAGGCAGTGGTGGAGGGGGAGCAGTCTTCACCTTTGCTTTGTCTTGGCCATCATAGATTCTGGGACAGGAACCTCAGAAAAGGAGGAAACTTGGCCAGGCACGGTGGCTCATACCTGTAATCCCAGCACTTCGGGAGGCCAAGGCGGGCAGATCATTTGAGATCAGGAGTTTGAGATCAGCCTGGTCAACATGGTGAAACCCCGTCTTTACTAAAAATACAAAAATTAGTCGAGTGTGGTGGTGGGTGCCTGTAATCCCAGCTACTCGGGAGGCTGAGGCACTAGAATCACTTGAACCCAGGAGGTGGAGGTTGCAGGAGCCGAGATTGCAGCACTGCACTCCAGCGTGTACAACAGAGGGAGACTCTGTCTCAAAAAAAAAAAAAAAAAGGAGGAAACTTCAGGAGAGATGGGGGTAGGGGGGTGGGGGTGGGACCAGATGACTGCACTTTGAAAGTTGGCTGTGCCCTCTCTTTCCTGTGGCTTTGGTTGCCTTCAGCTGGTTCTAACATGCTCAGAGCTCAGGTACGGAGGCAGGTGGGGCTGCTGGCCGCCCGGGCATGCTGGCCACGCTGATTTCATGGGATTGTTTTCAGCCATTAGTGCGTATTGTGCAGAATGACAGGGAACAGGGCCTAGTGCCTCTTTTTCTCTTCTTTTGTTTATATACTTTTTTTTCCTCTTTATGAGGGAGAAAAAAGGGCTGACTCCCTTTCAAGGGACATGAAAACTGAGTTTTGTCTTCCCTTCCTATTACTGTCAAACAAAAGTCACCTTCAAACTCCAGCTCACATGGAGTCCGTCACTGGCAGGAAGCAGGGCCTTCACTCCTGAATGTATAACTTACAGTAAGTTCTCAGCAGACCAAAAAAAATTCCTTTTATCATGTTCTGGTTTTTTTCCTTCCACTGTTTTATTTCACTTACAACATCACTCAGGCCCAAATGGTATTTGTCAGGAGTAATTGGCAAACGCTGGAGGCTGTGTTCAAGGCTGCTTGAATGGAAAATCTCAAAGCAGTTGTCCATGTTGAAAGAAAATATTACATTTGATCTTTTTAAAAAATGATTTTCGCAGACATGATGCATGTCTGCATTCTTTAGCCTTACAACCTCTTTATATTTGGGAGGGGAAAGAAAACCTCCCTGCAGGAAGTAGCACTTCACAGTTAATTTACAGTACGTCGGAGAAGTAATGACAACACATGAAAAGTCATTTGAAAAACATGACTATGATTTATTTTATTAGCTAGCTCATAAGCCTGTACTGGTTTGCAGGTTGTTATGCATTGAGTTATGACTTCAAGCTTTGCATTTCATGTGTATTTCTCTAAGGATGTTTATTCTTCTGGATGAAAATATGCTTAAGGATGGTGGCAGCCATCCACGGGGGGTGGTGTAATACCTTCACATGCAGTCTCATTTCTAAGCTACATGCTTTTCCAGAGCAGGACATCATATAGCCAGCAAATGAGAATCATCTGATTAAACTGAGGCCCAGAGAGCAGGGATAACGTGACTGAGGCCATGCAGTGAATGGTGACTGGGTACCCTAAATCTGTTGTCATCATACTGTACCAGCTGGTTCCTCTGTGCATTTTCACTTCCAGGAACAGAGCATAGCATCAATGACACGGTTCTGAGGCTTTTAAATCCATACTACCCGCTATTAATATGCCTTCCTCCATGTTCCAGGGGTGTATGTGCACATGCCCAAAGGAAATGACACAGTCCAGGGACTGAGGATGGCAGAGCTCATAGGAAGTACCACCTCATATCTGCTATGCTGGGATAATTCTGGAACAGTCACATACCAAGAGCCACTTTGATGTTATAGAAAACTCTATACCAGGAGTTGGCAAACTATGGCCAGTTTCTATTTTTGTAAATAATTTTTTTTTTTCCTAAGCCGGGTATGGTTGCTCACGCCTGTAATCCCAGCACTTTGGGAGGCTGAGCTGGGTGGATCACTTGAGGTCAGAAGTTCGAGACCAGCCTGGCCAAAATGGCAAAACCCCATTTCTACTAAAAATACAAAAATTAGCTGGTTGTGGTGATGCATGCCTGTAATTCCAGCTACTCAGGAAGCTGAGGCAGAAAGAATGAACCTGGGAGGCAGAGGTTGCAGTGAGCCGAGATGATGCCACTGCACTCCAGCCTGGGTGACAGAGTGAGACTCTGTTTGAAAGAAATTTTTTTTTTCTAAATGCAAACTTTATTATGACAAAATATGTATAACATAAAATTTACTATTTTAACCATTTTAAATTGTACAATTCAGTGGCATTGAGTATATTCACACTTTGTATAACCATCCCCACTATCTAATTTCAAAACTTTTTCAGCACCCCAAATAGGAACTCTGTACCGTGAATCGGTAACTTTCCATTTCCCACTTTCCTGAGCTTCTAGTAACTTCTACTTTCTATCTCTATGAATTTGCCTGTTCTAGGTACTTCATGTAAGTGCAGTCATACGATCTTTTTACTTTTGTGTCTGGCTTATTTTACTTAGCATCATGCGTTCAGGGTTCACCCACGTTGTAGCACGTGTCAGAATTTCATTCCTTTTTAAGGCTGTATACTATTCCTTTGCATGTACGTGTATCTACACATTTCGTTTGTCCATTCATCTATTGATGAACACCTGGGTTATTTCCACCTCTTGGCTATTGTGAGAATAACATTCATATACAAGTATCTGTTTGAGTCCCTGCTTTACATTTTTTTGGGTATAGAGCGAAGCATGTGTAAATAAAGATTTTCACGTGTATTTGTTTGGCAGTTGCATATGGTTGGTTTCACTTCCCAACAGCAGAGCTGAGGAGGTGTGACAGAGACTACTCCGGTTTGTGGTTCACAAAGCTGAAAATACTTACTATCAAGCCCTTTACAGAAAAGTTTGCTGGCCTCTGCTAGAGCTGATACAGTACGTGCCCTGTTCGATGGCTCTGTTGGAGAGTGCCTCTCTCCATCACTGGCTTTGAACAAGGCCTACCTGTTTGCCTGGTACTTGGTACCCACAGAGTGATAGCATCAGGCATGCTCCAACCACCAGCAAGTTTGCTCGCCCCCTGGGGTCTGCCGTCCTCCCAGGGGTTTGCTGACGGCCATGAGATGCTGCTTTTTGGCTCTCCTAGAACCTGGAGCAAATCTTCTCTATACTGGGGCAGCATTTCTTTCCCTGCCTCGACCCACAGGTGTTAGTTTCCCAGGGCTGCCGTTACAAAGTTCCACAAGCTCGGTGGCTTAAAACAACAGACATTTATTCTTGCACAGTCCTGGAGGCTGGAAGTCTGAAATCATGGTGTGAGCAGGGCTGTGCTTGCTCTAAAGGCTCTCAGGGAGAATCTGTTCCCTGCCTTTCTCCCAGCTTTTGGTGGCGGCCGGCCATCCGTAGGGCTCCCTGGCTTGCTGCTGCGTCACTCCCATCTCTGCCTATGTGGTCACATCACCTTCTCCCATGTCTCTTTCTGTATCTGTTTCTCCTTTTGTCTTATAAGGTTCATTGCATTCAGGGCTCACACAACTAATGTAGGATAATCTCAACTTGAGATCCTTCTCTTCATGACATCTGCAAAGATATGATTTCCAAGCAAGGCCGCATTCACAGGTACTGGGACTTAGGGATTGGGCATGTCTTTTTTTGGGGGAAGGGGACACCATTCAACCCACTGCAACAGATAATGGATGACATTCAAATCCAAACGGCATAGATGTATATATATAGCTAATAAAATGACACATCCCATGAGTGGACTCCGATTTTGAGAAAATATAAGATTTTTTTGTTTTGTTTTGTTTTTAAAGAAACAGAGTCTTGCTCTGTCACCCAGGCTGGAGTGCAGTGGTGCAGTGATAGCTTACTGCAGCCTTGACCTCCTGGGCTCAACTGATCCTCCCACCTCAGCCTCCTGAGTAGAGCTTGGGGTTACAGGCTCATGCTCCTGCACCCAGCTGATTTTGAGAAAATATCAAAAATCTGGTAGGGAAGTAAGGCAAATAACGCTGCTTTTATTTTCCCCAGGGACATTGATAAACACATTCATCCACATGAGTAAAGCAGCCATGTAAAGGTCTCCAAAAACTAGTCACTGAAAATCATTTAAAATGTATTTTATTTTTTAGTTTTTTTTGGAGACAGTCTCATTCTGTCACCCAGGCTGGAGTGCAGTGGTGCAATCTCAGCTCCTTGCAACCTCCACCTCCTGGATTCAAGAGATTCTTTTGCCTCAGCTTCCTGAGTAGCTGAGATTACAGGCGCTCACCACCACACCTGGCTAATTTTTGTATTTTTAGTAGAGATGGGGTTTTGCCATGTTGGCCAGGCTGGTCTTGAACTCCTCACCTCAAGTGATCCACCCACTTTGGCCTCCCAAAGTGCTGGGATTACAGGTGTGAGCCAATATGGCCGGTCTAAAAATGTGTTTTAAGGACTAGATTATTTTTTTAAAGAGTATTGATTTTTTTCTTTTTCTGTATTCCACAGATAATTAAGCAAACAGGCCAAGGGTAGTGATGGCTCACACCTGTAATCCCAGCACTTTGGGAGGGTGAGGCAGGAGGATCACTTGAGGCCAGGAGTTTGAGACCAGCCTGCTCAACACAGCAAGACCCCGTCTCCACAAAAAAAAAAAAAAAAAAAAAAAAAAAATTAGCTGGGTGTGCTGGCACATAGCTGTAGTCCCAACTATTCTGGAGGCTGAGGCAGGAGGATTGCTTGAGCCCAGGAGGTTGAGGCTACAGTGAGCTAGGATCGCATCACTGCACTCTAGTCTGGGCTACAGAGTGAGAACCTGTCTCAAAAATACAACAAATAAAATAAATAAGATAATTAAGCAAGCGAGTACCACAATAAACACATTTAAATAAACACATTTTTGTTAAAAATCACAGTAAATGGAATTCACACATTTTTGGCTATGTAAGAAGAGTTCCAGTAGAGTAGCCTTGATTCTCGTAAGGGCTGCTAGTGGCTTCCTCTGCTGATGAGGAACACAGGACAAATCCAGGACATCTGATTTTTCTTGTGGTACGTGCATGAAAGCTAATCTGAATGACAATACTGGAAAAAAGCAAAGAAGAGTTCATACAGCCTGATGGCAGGTTTCTCCTCTTTGCTTGGAGAGAGGCAGGGTGGCATATTCGTTCATCAGCAGTGCAGGGGTTACTCACGTGTGTTTAGCCTTGACATCTTTCATGTTAAAAATCTATCTCAGGGCCAGGCACGGTGGCTCACGCCTATAATCTCAGCACTTTGGGAGGCTGAGGGGGGTAGATAGCTTGAGGTCAGGACTTCAAGACCAGCCTGGCCACCATGGTGAAACCCCATCTCTACCAAAAATACAAAATAAAAATTAGCCAGGTGTGGTGGCGGGCATCTATAATCCCAGCTACTCAGAAGGCTGAGGCAGGAGAATCACTTGAACCTGGAAGGCGGAGGTTGCAGACAGCCGAGATCACATCACTCCACTCCAGCCTGGGCAACAGAGCGAGACTATGTCTCAAAAAAAAAAAAAAAAAGAATATATTTCAGAATGAAATGCAAAAGAAAACAACAGAAACTA
Organism: Homo sapiens; assembly: GCF_000001405.40. Lineage (NCBI taxonomy): Eukaryota > Metazoa > Chordata > Mammalia > Primates > Hominidae > Homo > Homo sapiens. Next base: position 36,018,669 of record NC_000021.9, on the reverse strand, counting down.
TAAAACCACACCTTGCAAGCAGCAGAACAATTTGTATTTCCCACGGCTGCTCACTGTGGATCAAGGGCTTCTGGGTTGTGAGGGGAAGCATAGGTGGTTCATTCATTCTCACCTAACTTCTTTTTTTTCACTACAGAAAGCACATCGGAAGTGACATTATTTTAGGGATAATGTTTAAGCCATTTTAGGCTTTTGAAGGCATAATTTAATTTTATGTCAGGGAGAAGGCTAAATTTGGATTAATAACAAATTACTTGTGCACATCTCATAGCTGCTTGGGATAATGTTACGGTTGGTCTCAATGTACAAGATTATTTCCCTGTTGGAAAATTAGGGGCTTCCCCAGCCTGAGCACAGCAGTGTTACATAGCAGTAGAAATGGGAGCCACAGCTGAACTTTCTGGAAAAAGAAATCTGAGAGCAGGACAACATCGAGAGGGCCTTTCATGGTCCCACATAGAGCGGGCATCAGGATTCTGCGGTTGTCCGGAGCTGTGCAGGTAGAAATGGTGGTACCCAGGGCCATGCAAGTTTTTCTTGGCCAGACTGATCCTTCGAGGGAAGCTTTTTGGAGTGGTCCATTGAGAAATGGAGAGTGTGCTAGAATTAGACTATGAAGCCCTCATGGAAGCAATCAGCTCCACCAGCATCAAACCTCGGAGTTGTCATGGGGACACATAGAATGGTATCCTCAGACAGGGAGGGGCCCAGGACCTGTCACCAAGCCCAGGAACACCAGCTCTGGGCTCCACTTCCTGAAGCCCTGCTTGGCCTCCCATTCAAAATCACAAGGAATATCAAAACATGCCTCCCCAAATCTTACCACGCAAAATCTCACTCTGAAAGGGGAAGAAGAGAGGAAGTTAAGGACTGAGGAGGAGAAGCGAAGCGTTTCTTTTGTTTTTTTGAGGGTGTTTTTGGTTTGTTTTTTGTTTTTTTGAGATGGAGTCTTGCTCCGTCACCTAGGCTGGAGTGCAGTGGTGGTATCTTGGCTCACTGCAACCTCTGCCTCCCAGGTTCAAGCAATTCTCCTGTCTCAGTCTCCCGAGTAGCTGGGACTACAGGCGTGCACCACCACGCCCAGCTAATTTTTGTATTTTTAGTAGAGATGGGGTTTCACCATGTTGGTCAGGCTGGTCTCGAACTCCTGACCTCAGGTTATCCACCCGCCTCAGCCTCCCAAAGTGCTGGGATTACAGGTGTGAACCACCATGCTCGGTGGAAAAAGAGGGATTTTAGAATCATTTCACTATTTCCACTGAAAACTTGCTCCACTCCTCCACAATCATTCATTTTCATGGGGGTAGAGGATAGCGGTGGGGAGGCTTGGAGTGATGTATATTTGTCTCCATATCGTAATATTTCCTTCCCATTAAAATGTGGTACCTCCAAATTTGTGATATAGCATCGCAATGTAATCTGGCAATGTACAAAAAGAAAAGGAAATAAATGTTGGTCTGAAGTAGGGTAAATATGACATACAATCAGTGATGTCAGCAGCTATCAAAATTGTAAAACATAATCATGGCTCTTGATTCTAGCATAGTGAAGAGCTGGGTTGATGAACTGTGACCCATGGGCCAAATCCAACCTGATGCCTGTTTTTTGTTTTTGTTTTTGTTTTTGAGATGGAGTCTCGTTCTGTCACCCAGGCTGGGTGCAGTGGTGCGATCTTGGCTCACTGCATGCAACCTCCGCCTCCTGGGTTCAAAGTGATTCTCCTGCCTCAGCCTCCTGAGTAGCTGGGACTACAGGTGCGTGCCACCACACCCGCCTAATTTTTGTATTTTTTGTAGAGACAGGGTTTCACCATGTTGGCCAGGCTGGTTTTGAACTCCTGAGCTCAAGTGATCTTCCCACCTCGCCCTCCCAAAGTGCTGGGATTACAGGCACGAGCCACCGTGCCCGGCCCCTGATTCCTGTTTTTATTAATAAAGTTTCATGGAAACACAGCCACACCCTTCATTTACATATTGCCTATAGCTGCTTCGTTCTTACAAAGGCAGAGTTGAGTAGTTGCAACAGAGACTATGTATGGCCTGCAAAGCTGAAAATATTTACTATGAAGAAATAGAAAAACTTTACCAATCTCAATTTAAAAATTAAGATGGGCTTTTCACAAGATGGCACCGAAAGCAAAGAAGGAAGCTCCTGCCCTCCTAAAGCCGAAGCCAAAGCGAAGGCTTTAAAGGCCAAGAAGGCAGTGTTGAAAGGTGTCCACAGCCACAAAAAAAATGATCCACACGTCACCCACCTTCCAGTGGCCCAAGACACTGCGACTCTGGAGGCAGCCCAAATATCCTTGGAAGAGTGCCCCCAGAAGAAACAAGCTTGACCACTATGCTATCATCAAGTTTCCGCTGACCACTGAGTCGGCCATGAAGAAGATAGGAGACAGCAACACACTTGTGTTCATAGTGGATGTTAAAGCCAACAAGCACCAGATCAAACAGGCTGTGAAGAAGCTCTATGATATTGACATGGCCAAGGTCAACACCCTGATTCGGCCTGATGGAGAGAAGAAGGCATATGTTCCACTGGCTCCTGATTATGATGCTTTGGATGTTGCCAACAAAATTGGGATCATCTAAACTGAGTCCAGCTGGCTAATTCTAAATATATGTATATCTTTTCACATAAAAAAATTAAGATGGAAACCAAAGCAAAGATGAACTATGGAGATAGTCTAAGCAGTGATCTTCTACTATAACATTGGATTGCGTTTGTGTCTGCCTTCCCTCTTGCCCCACACCTGCTTTAATTTTTTTTTTTTTCTCTCTCAGATACTTCTGGGTAAAAGTGACAAGCCAACTGGCAAACCTGCAGAAATTAAATTACATGCAGAAGATGGCCTGGGATGGGAGCAGTGGCTCATGCCTGTAATCCCAGCACTTTGGGAGGCTGAGGCTTAAGGACTGCTTGAGGCTAGGAGTTTGAGACTAGCCTGGGCAACATAGCAAGAGCTCGTCTCTACTAAAAATTCGAAAAAAAAATGAGCCAGGTGTGGTGGTGTGCACCTGTAGTCCCAGCTACTTAAGAGGCTGAGGTGGGAGGATTGCTTGAGATTGGGAGATTGAGGCTGCAGTGAGCTACGATCACACCACTGCAGTCCAGCCTGGGTGACAGTGAGACTGTCTCTAACAACAACAACAAAAGGAAGGTGGCTTAAGATTCTTGTCTATTTCTCTCTTCCCAAAGGATCTGTTGGATATCTTCACTGTTGAGTTCACAGCACAAGTAGTTCTATGTTTCTGAAACACGGATTCACTTTAATCAGTTCCTAAAATGTTGCTAAATACTGACTAATGGATGTTTCCAACATTTGTAATGCAATTGAAAAGCCGCTAATCAGAAACACAGCAATCAAGTCATTTATCAAATATGAGAAGTCCCTGTTCACAAGACTGTGAATTCTCATGATTGATTCCATGACTATAAAATAGCATCATGGTTTTTTACATACTCAACTTGCAACGGCATACGCCCCATATTTTGACAATGGGGAAAAAAAGCCCAGTATCTTGTGTCTTCTTTAAATTGATGTTGAATATTCAGAGATTTGAGATTTTCGGGATGCCTGAGTCATATCCAACATTTTACTCAGCAATTTTAAAGAAATAGTGGATTGGAACAAAATATGCAGGATTGACAGCAGTGGACGGAACTTCCACCCAGGCTTGTCAGGGACTCATTTCTCCTGTGTTTCTTTCTGGGTAACTTGACTCAGCTGACACATCTAGGAAGTAAGATTGATTTGCTCACCCTTCAGAAGAGCACTGAGAAAAGAATCTGTTTCTCAATGGCTTTTGCAATAAAAGCTCATCAATTGGGACTCTGGAATAGTTTGGATATAGCAGATCCCTGAGGAGTTCTGTTTTCACAACTCCGACACAGGGTGGATTATCCTGGAGCAGTATGCTATTGAAGGGAGCACGGCTCCCACAGGAGTTTCAATCTCTACTAGAGGTTTTTTTGTTTTGTTTTTTTGTTTTGTTTTTTGAGATGGAGTCTTACTGTGTCGCCCAGGCTGGAGTGCAGTGGCGCGATCTCGGCTCTCTGCAACCTCCACCTCCTGGGTTCAAGCGATTCTCCTGCCTCAGCCTCCTGAGTAGCTGGGATTACAGGCACCCACCACCACGACCAACTAATTTTTGTATTTTTAGTAGAGATGAGGTTTTGCCATGTTGCTGAGGCTGGTCTCAAACTTCTGACCTCAAGTGATCCACCCGCCTCGGCCTCCCAAAGTCCTGGGATTACAGGCGTGAGCCACCACACCCGGCCTGCTGAGAGTATTAAGACCTTCACTGCGTCACTCCAACACACTTTACACTAAGCGTCCATGCCTTTCTTCTCCTCTCTAGGTGTAATCACCAAAGGCTCCCTGCTGTTTTCTGAGCTTGTGTCCTCAGTCTCAGAAGAGGGATTGGAGGGGGAACCCTGTTACACACAGCAGCGTCAACTTAAAATTGCACCTTAGCAGCTCTGTGTGTCAGGGCCTTCCAGCCCTTATGAAACTGACTTCTCATCCATTGCACCAGCCCATAAGCCTGTACTCCTCACGATCTCACCCCTTCTCCTTCATTTCTCTCTTATCCTCACCACATCCCTTTCAGAACATTCTTGTGAACTTCGAATTCTCATTGTGTTTTAAAAAATCAAGATATAGGCCAGGTGCGGTGGCTCACGCCTGTAATCCCAGCACTTTGGGAGGCTGAGGTGGGCAGATCACGAGGTCAAGAGATCGAGACCATCCTGGCCAACATGGTGAAACCCTGTCTCTACTAAAAATACAAAAAAATTAGCTGGGCATGGTAGTACGTGCCTGTAGTTCCAGCTACTTGGGAGGCTGAGGCAGGAGATTCACTTGAACCCAGGAGGTGGAGGTTGCAGTGAGCCGAGATCACACCATTGCACTCCAGCCTGGTGACAGAGCGAGACTCCATCTCAAAGAAAAAAAGAAATCAAGATTTAATCCACATATAAAATTCACTCTTTAAAAGTGCAAAATTCACTGATTTTTAGTATAATTATAACATTGTCCAACTATGACTACTCTCTCATCCCAGAACATTCTCATCACCCCCAAAAGAAATACCTTACCCACCAGCAGTCACTACCTACCACAGCCTCCCTTCAGCCCTAGGCATCCACCAACGTAGTTTCTGTCTTTACGAATTTATCTATTCTAGATATTTCATATAATAAAGGAAGCTGGGTATTTCATATAATAAAGGGATCTGTGTCATGTAATAAAGGAATATAAAGGAACCATACAATGCATGGCCTTTTGACTGGCTTCCTTCACTCAGCATAATGTTTTCAAAGTTCATGTTGCAGCATATATCTGTACTTCATTAATTTTTATGTGGAATAATATTCCATCGTATGATATAGCATGTTTTATTTGTCCATTCATCAGTTGATGAACATTCATTTAGGTTGTTTCCACTTTTTGGCTCTTATGAATAATGCTGCTATGAACATTTCTATACAAGTTCTAGTGTGAACATGTGTTTTTAATTCTCTTGGATATATAACTAGGAGTGGAATTTTGAGGAACTGCCAAACTGTTTTTAAAAGTGGCTGCACAGGCCAGGCATGGTGGCTCACACCTGTAATCCTAGCACTTTGGGAGGCCGAGGCAGGCAGATCACTTGAGGTCAGGAGTTCGAGACCAGCCTGGGCAACATGGTGAAACACTTTCTCTACTAAAAATACAAAAATTAGCCAGTCATAGTGTCATGCACCTGTAGTCTCAGCTACTTGGGAGGCCGAGGCAGGAGAATTGCTTGAACCCGGGAGGCGGAGGTTGCAGCGAGCTGAGATCATGCCATTGCATTCCAGCCTGGGTGACAGAGCAAGACTCTGTCTTAAAAAAAAAAAAAAAGTGGCTGCATTATCTTACATTCCCACCAGTAATGTATGAGGGTCCCAGTTTCTCCACATCCTCACCAACACTTGTTTTTTGTCTTTTACATTGAAGCCATCCTAGTGGGTGTGAGGAAGTATCTTGTGGTTTTGATTTGCATTTAACAATTGAATTATTTATCCTTTTATTGTTGAGTTGTAAGATTTCTTTATATATTGTGGATGCTAGACCCTTAACAGATATATATGATTTGAAATATCTTCTCCCATTCTGTGGGTTGCCTTTGCACTTTCCTGACAGTGTCCTTTGAAGCACAAAAGTTTTTGATTTTGATGAAGCCCGATTTATCTATTTGTTTCATTTGGTTGTTTGTGCTTTTGGTGTCATATCAAAGAAACCGTTGCCTAATTGAAGGTCATGAAGGCTTATACTTATTTTTCTTTTCTTCTAAGAGTTTTAGAGTTTTAGCTCTTGCATTCAGGACTTTGATTCATTTCAATTACTTTTTGTATATGTTAAGAGATAAGGGTCCAACTGCATGACATTGGTCTGGGCAATTATTTTTTTGAATTTGACTCCAAAATCACGGGCACAGCAAAAATAGACAAATGGGATTACTTCAAAGTAAAAAGCTTCTGCACCACAAAGGAAACTGTAACAGAGTGAAGAAACAACCTATAGATTAGGAAAACATATCTACAAACCATACATGTGATAAGGGGTTAATATCCAAAATCTATAAGGAACTCAAACAACTCAATAGCAAGAAAACAAATAATACAGTTAAAAATGGTCAAAGGACTTGAATAAACATTTCTTAAAAGAAGACATACAGGCTGGGTACGGTGGCTCACGCCTGTAATCCCACCACTTTGGGAGGCCGAGGCAGGGGATCACTTGAGCCCAGGAGTTCGAGACCAGCCTGGCCAACATGGTGAAACCCCGTCTCTGCCAAAAACCCATAAAAATTAGCCAGGTGTGGTGACACACACCTGTAGTCCCAGCTACTCAAGTGGCAGGGCACAAGAATCGCTTGATCCCAGGAGGTGAAGGTTGCAGTGAGCTGAGATCATGCCACTGCACTCTAGCCTGGGCAACAGAGAGAGACTCTGTCTCGAAAAAAAGAAAAAAAAAAAAAAACAGAAGACATACAAATGGCCAACAGCTATATGAAAAAGTGCTCAACATCACTAATCATTAGGGAAATGCAAATTAAAACCACAATGAAATATCACCTCACACCTGTCAGAGTGGCTATTATCAAAAAGATGCAAGATAAATGTTGGCAAGGATGGAGAAAAGGGACCCCTTGTACACTGTTGATGGGCATATAACTTAGTACGGCCATTAGGGAAAATTGTATGAAGATTCCTCAAGAAACTAAAAATAGAATTACCATATGATCCAGTAATCTCTGGGAATATATCCACAGGATTTGAAATCAGTATGTCAAAGACATACCTGCACTCCTGTGTTCCTTGCAGCATTATTCACAATAGCCAGGTTTTGAAATCAACCTAAATGTTCATCAGTGGATGAATGGATAAAGAAAATGTGGTATGTACACAATGGGATAATATTTAGCCTTAAAAAACAAGGAAATTCTCTTATTTGCAACAACATGGATGAACCTGGAGGACATTATGCTAAATGTAATAAGTCAAGCACTGAAAGACAAATACTGCATGATTTCACTTGTATATGGAATCTGAAACAATCAAACTCACAGAAGCAGAGAGCAGAAAGGTGGTTGCCAGAGGCTGGGGTTGTGAGAAGAACAGGGAGGTTATGGTCAAAGGGTATAAAGTTTCAGTCAGAAGGAATAGGTTTCGGAGACCAATTGCACAACAGGGTGCCTATAATTAACAATGGTGTATTGTATATTTCAAAATTGCTGAGAGTAAATTTCAAATGTTCTCACCACAAAAAATGATAAGTATTTGAGGTGATGAGTATGTTAGTAGCTCGATTTAATCATTCCACATTGTATAAATATATCATAAATCTTTGTACTTCATAAATACATACAATTATAATTTGTAAATTTACAGTGAAAAATATATTAACTATGAGTTTTTGTGTATGCCCTTTGTAAGGTGCCCTTCTATTTCTACTTTATTCATTGTTTTTTATCATGGAAGAGTGTTGGGTTTTGTTACATGCTTTTTTCATGTCAGATCATGTGTTTTCGCACTTTATTCCATTAAAGTGTATTACATTGATTGATTTTCATATCAACCAACCTTGTATTCCTGAGATAAATCCCACTTGGTCATAGTACATAAACCTGTTTTTATGTTGCTGTTTTCAGTTTGCTAGTATTATGTTGAGGATTTTTGTTTCTATATTCATAAAGGATATTGGCCTATAGTTTTCTTTTTTGTAATATCTTTGTTATGGTTTTGGTATCATGGTAATACTGGCCTCACAGAGTGAGTTTGGAGGTGTTTCATCTTCTTTTTGTGGAAGAATTTGTGAAGCATTGGTGTTTTTCACTATTTTGCACTGCAATTTAGCTCTTCTCAGCCTCTATTCTAAAAGGTAAAAAGAGGCAAGTGAGAAGGACCACATTGTGCTTCTAGATGTCATCAGTGTGTGATACCTAGATCTATGGCAGCCTCTCTGGGAATATAGTGGGAGATATTCCCAAGTCAACATCCTAAGGGTGGCAGAGGAGAAAGAAGGAAAGAACCCACGTACTTTATGAGTAATTGAATAATTAACCTGGAGCCTCTCTGTCTCCATACCTCGTATGGACATGTCTTTGTTGTTGTTTAAGCCTCGTTTGCTTAGGGTTTTAATCATTTGCAGCTGAAAGCATGTCTGATAGTTAATATCATATCCATTGCAACAGGAGCATTTTCTGTTTATTGTCTTCCACTTTCTGTGTCATCAGGCTGAGAACACTAATTGTGCCTACAGAAAAGTCTCCCGAGGGAGAAGTGACAGTCACTGGTTTCTGGGTAAAGTAAACTAATGACAACCTCAAGGTTACATGGAATTCAAGTCTGCCGGAGTCCTCTGGGCTGAACTGAATATTTCAGCATCCTTGAGGGTTAACATTCTTGCCCCTTGTGTGAAGGTAGTTAAAATACAGGACAGATTGGGTTTGGAGAGATGCACAGTGGACCCGAATTGTTACTCATGCACTAACCTTGTGTATGTGCCAGGGTTCTCCAGAGGAATGCAACAAATAACATTCTAAGATGGCCCCCATTCCTGCCTCTGGTGAACATACCCTATATAATCTCCTTCCTTCTTAAGTGTGGATGGGACAATGAATACAATGTTATAAGACAAATGTGAAAGGGTTTTGTAGATATAATCAAGGTCCCAAATCAGCTGATTATGAGGCAATTAAAAGAAAGACCATCCTGGGTGTGCCTGACCTAATCAGGTGAGTCCTTAACTGTCTAGATCCTTTCTGAAGTGATAGATCTGAAGTGGAGAGGGCCCATTGAGGAGACCATGTGTCAAGGGCTTGAAAGCAGCCTCTAGTCACTGAGAATGCTTCCTAGATGATGGCTAGCAAAGAAAATGGGGACCTCAATCATAGAGCCACAGAAAAATGAATTCTGCCATTGACCTGATGGAACTTGAAGATGGCACTTTTCCCAGTTGAACCTCCACATGAAGATGAATCTGGCTAGCAAATTGATTTCAGCCTTGTGAGACCCTGAGCAGAGAATCCACTTAACATGTGCTGGGCTCCTGGCCTACAGAAACTGTGAGATTATAAATTTGTACTGCTCTAAGATAACTAGGTTTATGGTCATTTGTTATGCAGTGATAGAAAATTAATACAGGCACCATTTCAAATATTGCACCTTTATATTGGAAAAAAAGATAAAGATCAACAAAGAGCAAATTGCAAAAAGTAATGTTTGACAATGCAGAACATGACAGAGATGAAATGTTCTGGCGAGTTGCCTTTTGTTTTTCTTCATTCAACTTTGTCACTTCTAATGAAACTCCATGGACAAGAGACTGGATTGGGCAGAATTTAGGGGATGCACTTTTATCTTCCTCCAGATGGTTGAGCACACATGCTCAGCCCTTGGGAGGCTAGTGCACCTGTGTGGCCCTTGTCCTGGCCCTGGGACAACCTTGGCCAATGGAAGTCACAATCGGCCCTGGCCTGTACACATTCTGGGGTTCCTTCTGTCAACAAGAAATCTACTCTAGGTGAGACCATCCAAGTTAAAAAGAGTTACAGCTTTGACAGAGAGTACCTACAATACATGGGACAGATATCTGGTTGAATTGTTTTTCTCTATGGTGTGAGACATGGTTATTTCTTAAAATCTTATAACCCAGTAGAAATTATTTGGGCGGATCAGTTTGCTATGCAGCCCCACTTGTGCTATGACCAGTTTTGGCATCAGAGTAGTTAGGGATAGCAGGAAGATCATGTCCCATCTACAAGTGACTAAATTATTTATAAATTGATTTTTAAAAGTGATCAAAACTGCCGACCTTTTATTAACCTTAGAGAAGAAGTTTTTGGGATTATTTTTTAATGTCATATATCTGTACAGAACAATTTTCTTTTCTTTCTTTGGCTTTGATGGGATCAAAGGTAGTCGTGAGAATTTCTAGCTTGCGAGACAGTGGAAAATGAGAAGAGAAGTGCATACCTTTTTTGTTGTTGCACTGACAATGAAAATGAGAATCAGATGGAGGGCTTTTTTTTTTTTTCAAATTTAAAAAATGTCCAGTCATTTGTACAAATGCTTTAAAAGCCTTGAGATTTTAGGAATGTTGTATTTGCAATTATTCTCCTTTAATAATTAATTACTAATATGTTTTAATCACTGAGAACCTTGTTTTGATCATTAAGAATTTACAATGTAAAGATTATTTCAAGGTCAAATTTCAGATGTTAATCATCGTAATGCATGTAAATCTCTGCTGAATTCAGTTTAAAAATAAAAAGTAAATCATTAATTCGAACTGGCATACTTACTGGAAATTGTCTTTTATTTTTCTTTGCTGTGGTTCAAGGTCATTTCTTTAATCAAACCTCAGAGTTGGATATAGAGTCATCAAAAGAAAAATCATTCTTCTTCCTCTCTGTTTCCCTAAAAATAAAACAGTCACAGGAGACCTTTCCTTTTTTCTTAATTGTTCTCATCTCATCTTTAATTATTGCTGCTGCTGTTATGTGTTTATGTTTCCCTTTTTTTTTTAAGTTTTGAGGGTAGATCGTGTCACTGGGCGTAAGATACTGAGAAATCAGGTAGCTTCACTGGCTGGTAGGGGACTTTTGCTTTTGAAACGTCACAGGCTGTCTTCCTTTGGATGTAATGGACGTCCTGATGACCCAAGCCATCTGCTTAGCTGTGTTCTGACCAGGGCCTTGGGGATATGGATGACCAGCATGGGTTCTAGAGTGGGCTTCCCCGGGTTTGAGTCCTCAGCACCACTTATTAGTTCTGTGACTGTGGAAAGTTTCCATCCATCCTGTGCCCCACCTCCTCATCTGTAAAATGGGGACAAGAAAAGCACCAATTACTTAATTAGCCAATTAATTAACTAGAGATGGTGTTGCCCGGCCACTCAGGCTAGTGCACAGCAGTGAGATCACAGCTCACTGCAACCTCGATCTCCTGAGCTCAAGGCACCCTCTTGCCTCAGCCTCCAGAGTAGCTGGGTCTACAGGCATGAGCTACTGCATCTGGCCAGGTAATCTATTTAACTCATTCTACAGAGAAAATGTGACTCTTTACTTTGTCTTCTTTTCTTTTTTTTTCAAACGGAGTCTTGCTCTGTCCCCCAGGCTGGAGTACAATGGCGCAATCTTGGCTCACTGCAACCTCCACCTCTCAGGTTCAAGCGATTCTCCTGGCTCAGCCTCCCGAATAAGTGGGATTACAGGTGTGAGCCACCACACCTGGCTATCTTTTTTGCATTTTTAGTAGAGATGGGGTTTCACCATGTTGGCCAAGCTGGTGAACTCCTGACCTCAGGTGATCCACCCACCTCCCAAAGTGCTGGGATTACAGGTGTGAGCCACCATGCCTTTACTTTGATCTGGTCTTCTCCTGAACCCACTCCACAGGTTATTGGGTAAAATATGACTTCTAATCCCATCCAGTTTAAATCTTAGTGTCATCCAATTTAATTTAAAAAGTCCCTGTTGAATTTACATAGCTTCTTTTGGTAACAGCCCAAAGAGAAACATGCTCAAAGCGCTGCCCCTTGTGTTTGTCCCTAAAATGTTGCAGGGTGTGTGGTGAGGTTGCGTGTTTACACAGCTTCCCCCCCATGCTGATTCTCCTGTCTGTAACTGGTGAACTTCTGGTCTGTTCTTTGGGCTCAGGCACTATCTTGGGGACACATCTGCTATCTCTCCCTGGCTGGCTTTTGCTACCTGCAGACCCCAGGCTGGGATCCACAAGGCCAGGGAGGTACTTGGCTTACTGCCTCTCAGCTCAGGGTCTCTGCTATGGGAGAATGAAGTGGCCTGGGACAGCTGATCTTTGAGGTTTCCTTTGAAATGTTTTTGCCTTTTGTTTTTAAAGAGTTTTAGAGACAGGGTCTTGCTCTATTGCCCAAGCTGGAGTGCAGCAGTGTGATCATAGCTCACTGTAACCTTCAACTCCTGGGCTCAAGTGATTCTCCCACCTTTGCCTCCTGAGTAGTTGGGACTACACGTGTGCACTGGCACTCCTGGCTAATTTTTAATTTTTTTGTAGTGATAGGGTCTTGCTATGTTGCCCAGACTGATCTCAAACTCCTTGCCTCACACGATCCTCCTGCCTCAGCCTCCCAAAGTGCTGTGATTACAGGCGTGCCACCGCCCCCAGCCCAGACTGCTTTGTGGGCTGTCGAATTTGCTAGGACATGTCCAAGCTCTGGATTGGTATATGGGGCAGCCTGTTAGGTTGCTCTTTCTATAAACTGACACATGGGGAAAGACAGGATATACTCACTGAAAAACAGAACACCTGTTGGCTTGGCTTGACCTCCTGGCTTCAGGTTCCCATTTTCCCACTTTACCCCTGGCATCTTTCCTCCTGGCATCTCCATCCCCATTTTTGCTACTTTACCACTTCTTGTTGGCGAACCGCTGAACAGTTTTTATAAACATTTCCTGTTTTAGTCTTCCACGCCTGGCTCTTGATATGCCAAGTGGAGAAGAAAAGCTGGACATTCTTTCTCAGGTCACCAGCCCAGCCTGAAAGACTAGCTCTTCCTGCAACATCTTTCTCTTGAGTGCATGAAGGAGAATCTCACGTTGGTCTATCTCCTTGCATTCTTTCTGTATTCCTTATGTTTCCACTAGGCAGAGGGATGTCTCCAAGATCAGAGCAAAGAAAAACTCTGCCAAAGAGAAAAGCACGTTAATGCTTTCTGCAAGGCTCTTGGATTGGTCGGAACCCTGAGAGCGCGCCAACAAGCAAAACAAGGCGGTGTGGAGCAACACACTGTTTCAGTGAGCGCCTGGGTGCAGATGGGCTGAGGCCTAAAATGGCGTCAGCCCCAAATGAGCACGGGGCAGGAATTTTATAGTCTCCTGTAAACAGGAAGTGTCTCAGTCTGATGTAACTGCTACGCGGTAGACAGACGGCCTCTCTCTGGGTCTTCAAGGGGTGCATGTCTTCCCGCCAGCTCTCCTCCTGCTTCTGCTGTCTTGCTGACGCACGCTGCGCCTTGGGACTGGGCCTGAGAAGAGAGGAGGAGTTATTCACATACCACCAACGGACCCACCCCCCCCGCACCCCTTCCCCCGGCCCCCCCGACTCCCCCCTCCCCCTGCCTCTCCCTCCCCCCTTTCCCCTGCCCCCCCTGCCTCCCCCTCCTCCCTTCCCCTGCCTCCCCCTGTCTCCCCCTCCCCCCTTTCCCCTGCTTCCCCCTGCCTCCCCTCCCCCCTTTCCCCTGCCTCCCCCTGCCTCCCCCTCCCCCCCTTTCTCCTGCCTCCCCCTGCCTCCCCCCCGCCTCCCCCCGCCTCCTCCCCCCCGCCTCCCCCCGCCTCCTCCCCCCCCCGCCTGCCCCCCGCCTCTTCCCCCCCCGCCTCCTCCCCCCCCACCTCCTCCCCCACTGCTGCCTCCCCCACTGCCTCCCCCGTCCCCCTCCCGCCCCCACCACCGGCACCAGCTTCCAAGCTCTGGGTAAAGTCTTTCACTTTCTAAACTGCTGCCCTTCTAGTGCTGATGCTGGACTGAAGCTTCCTGCAGGCTGGGATCCTGTCTGCATATCTCGCAATGTGTTCCCAGGACCAGGCGTAGTTTCTGGTAAAAACTCAAGGAATATTTGTTGAATGAGTTAATGAATGAATAATGATGATAATTCATACCAGAGTTGCCTATAAATAAGCGTACGGTGAACCCCGTGAACAAGTCATTTTCACTTGGAAATTGGACGTCAATATAATATTTTATACTGCTCACTGTAAATATTCCTTACTGAGGTAAAATGCCATCAGATTACCAGTAAGAGAATGTAGTTAATGTTCCTATATTTTGCTTTTTTGGGTCAATCATTTGGTAACAGCAATTAGAAAAGAAATTGGAGAGTACAGGGCCTGTCTGTGGAAGTTCTTCAGAACCTCAGTGCCATTGTCAAGAGAAAATGACCTGAGTTTTTCGCACTTTAGAGGGGGTGTTAACAATGAGTGCTTTCCCGATTCGATGCCATCACCAGCCATATTTGTGTTGAATCAGGTGCCTTATGGTAAAATATGTCATAAGTATACAAATATTTTTCCAAAAAAGTCTGTACTATGCGCTATTTCTTTTTGTGTTTCACTCACAACTATGTCTTCTTTTCTATCATCACACTTGGCTAATGATTGTTAGTAGATATTAGTCACCATAACTCTCCAGCACAGGAGAAGCTTAAAGAGAAAACTTCCTGGCGCACGCCTGTAATCTCAGCACTTTGGGAGGCCGAGAGGGCACATCACCTGAGGTCGGCAGTTCGAGACCAGCCTGACCAACATGGAGAAACCTAGTCTCTACTGAAAATACAAAATTAGCCAGCCGTGGGGGCGCATGCCTGTAATCCCAGCTACTCGGGAGGCTGAGGCAGGAGAATCGCTTGAACCTGGGAGGTGGAGGCTGCAGTGAGCCAAGATCGCACCATTGCACTCCAGCCTGGGCAATAAGAGCAAGACTCCGTCTCAAAAAACAACAAACAAAAAAACAAAAAGAGACAAGTTCCATGGGAGGTGGCACGCATTGGATGAAAGTGTAGTTATATAAAGAAATATGACTTAAAAGAAAGTAATCCAATGCTGGAAGCAAGGAGAAAATAATAAAGGATAAAAAGATAAATGGGAAATCTGAGCTAATGGTATTGGTTAGGCTAAGAAGGCATCTGCATGTTTTCACCTTGATGGTGTCAGTTGTGGAGTGCCTGGTAGAAGTGTTGTGAGCTGCCAGAAAGGCTGTGCACTATACTCTTCAGAAAAATCTATCAGTAGGGATGAGTTCAGTCTGTCGTGGGCATGTGGTTTAACACAATTTAGGACAATTTAGTTCCAGGACCTTACCTCTCCCTTAAATGATCATATGTTATAGACTGCCTCTTGGCCCATTTGCAAAAGAGGTATTTTACGTTAGCTCATTTGCAAAAGAGGTATTTGTCAATCCTCATGGAGTTTTATAGTCGTGTACCTTGACGAAGGAAAATATTAAGAACCATAGGCCAATGGCGATTTAGTGCCAGAAACCAGAAATCTCCATCAGCTAGTCACTTTTGATGATTTACACAGATTTTACACATGTTGGATTAAGTGCCTTCTGAATTATGTCTCACTGTTTATAAAACAGTAATTGCTTTTAAGTTTAGCAGCAGCAGATTTTTGGATCATAAGGATATTGAGTGAAAAGCTCTCATACCTTATTTATTAAATGCTGTATCCACATTTTTTTTCTCCCATCAGAAGCTAAATACAAGTGGTTTCTAAGACGTGTATTTTGACATACTTTATCATTTGGATATAAAATGAATGTCCAAGCGTTTCTGATTGAATGGAAGTCCCTTTCAATTATATAAAAAAGTAAAGACTAGAAATAGTATCATCTTCTCCCATGCATATGGGATTTTATTATATATATAGTTGATTTATTTTAGAGGTATGGTTTAACCCGTGGTATTTGTACATTGATATATTATGGATCAAGTTGTAACAGAGTAATACCTTAAACCCCTCCACCATTCTACAGAGTTTTATTTTATTTTATTTTATTTTATTTTATTTTATTTATTTTTTTTGAGACGGAGTCTCGCTCTGTCGCCCAGGCTGGAGTGCAGTGGCCTAATCTCGGCTCACTGCAAGCTCCGCCTCCTGGGTTAACACCATTCTCCTGCCTCAGATTTTATTTTATTTTTGAGATGGAGTCTTGCCCTGTCACCCAGGCTGGAGTGCAGTGGTGTGATCACGGCTCACTACAGCTTCCTCCTCCCCAGCTCAAGAAATCCTCCCACCTCAACCTCTTGAGTAGCTGGGCCCACAGGTGCATGCCACCATGCCTGGACAATTTGTTTTAGGTTTTTAGTAGAGATGAGGTCTCACTATGTTGTCCAGGCTGGTCTTGAACTCCTGGGCTCAAGCAGTCTTCCTGCCTCGACCTCCCAAAGTGCTCAGATTACAGGTGTGAGCCACCACACCGGCCTCTTCAGAGTCTTAATAGTTGACTCTGTTAATATTTCTGGGTTATCCTCTATCATGAACTGAATTGTATTGTCACAGAATTCATGTTGAAGTCCTAACTCCCCAATGTGACTGCATTTGGGAAAAGAGCATTTAAGAAGATAATTAAGATTAAATGTGGTCATAAGGGTGGTGTCCTCATAAGAAGGCAGTGGGCCAGGGGTGGTGGGTCACGCCTGTAATCCCAGCACTTTGGGAGGCTGAGGTGGGTGGATCATGAGGTCAGGAGTTCGAGACCAGCCTGACCAACATGGTGAAACCCCGTCTCTACTAAAAATACAAAAATTAGCCGGGTGTGGTGGTGCGCGCCTGTAATCCCAGCTACTCGGGAGGCTGAGGCGGGATAATCATTTGAACCTGGGAGGCAGAGGTTGCAGTGAGCTGAGATCACACCATTGCACTCCAGTCTGGGTGACAGAGTGAGACTCTAAAAAAAAAAAAGAAAGGAGTGACACCAGGGTGTACATGCACAAAGGGGTGACCTTGCGAAGATGCAGCGAGAAGGTGGCTATCAGCAAGCCAAGGATAGAGTCCGCAGGAGAAAACAAACCCGTGGACACCTTGATCTTGGACTTTCAGTCTCCAGAACTGTGAGGAAATTAATGTCTGTTGTTGAAGCCCCCTAGTCTGTGGTATGTTGTTATGGCAGCCTCAGCAAACTAACGGATCCTCTTTCTAAGGAAGTAAGAATTGGGCCACAGTTGAAAATCCAAGGATTCAGGAAATGCCAACAGATCAAAGCCACTGTGCACTTAATACCTTACCCTATTGAAAACACCTTTTTCTTCCAGTCATTTGAATAATAAAAAAAAATCCACTGGAATTGGAATGATCAAAGTGAGTATATGTAAAAGCCAAGAGGTAGAAGGAAGTTTGTCTTCTAAGGTGGGTGAGAAACCTAGAACTGTTAGCACTGCCTGGCAGGCTCTGCGGGGTCCCCTTCAGTTGTCCTCAAATACCTAGTTATTGGTTTGTTCAGCAAGTGCTACATATATGACTGACGCAGAGATTCCAAACCTACGTAAAGGCAAGCATAGAAAAAGCGCAAATGAGAAATTATTATGGAAAAATCAGAGAAAATCCATAAAGGGTCTTCTTTAGTCTATACTGCTACTCTCAGTGAGCACATCCGTTGTGATAGGAGTGGTCAAGACACAGTTGGAGACAAGCGTGCTTCCTGGAAGCCTGAAGTCAAATGCACCAGGCCATCCTGCTGACCAGCCCCTTCACAAGTGTTCACAAGCATTCACTCGTTAGCCTCCCAACACTCCCAAGAAGGCGCTGAGCATCTTTGTCCTCTTTTTTCCTACTTTACCGCTTCTTGTCTGGTGAACTGCTGAGAGGCTCAGCAAATTGCCCAGTATTGGCTCCCAATAAGACTCCTCCACACCCTGCAGCATCGAGCTAGATTTCCTACCCCCACCGAAGTGTCTTCTGGATGCTGCAAATCCCACAGTCAGTCCATTTACCTGTAGCTCTGCAAATCTGGTCCTATTCCCAAAACAACATTACTTGATATTTAAGAAGCGACCGGAATTCTTATTTTTACTTGCAATTTCAAGGCTTTTTCCTTTCTCCAAATCTCCTTGGGCTATAAATTAATCTTAGTCAAAACATGCTTTTAAGAGAAGGGGACTCAAAGTGGGACAACGACTTGTTCTTTTTGAAATTGCAGATAATTTAACAGGGAATAACCTTTGAAGAGGAAATATGACCTGCGCAGAACATCGCAGTGGGATTTAAGGAGGCTCTATGTCTGAAAGCCTCATCTCAAAGAAGGGAGGTATTTGGTTTCAAATTATCAAAACAGCCTTGTACTCTTCTTGGAGTTATTTTGACATCCAAATAATAGTTCTGGCATTTCTTTCACAGTGTAAATCAATAACATTGACTTAGTGCATTCTTTCCTCTTATTTTCATTCCTTACTCTTTTATAAACTTAAATCAAGTATTAATAATTATTTTAAGCCTTAGCTTAGGTTTGGTATCTTGCCACTTACTGATGCAGGAGGCATCTCCCCCCTCTCCCCTTCCTTTTACCAGTTGCCCAGCTCTTCCAGAATATTCTCTTCTTGGGATAAAGACTACATTCATCGTCAAAGGCAGATAAGTAGATTTAGTGGTCGCCTTTGACACATCTCTTTTTCTTCTTTTCCAGTTCTCACAGTCTTAGAATGCAACACCTTTCTCCTTTTTTTCTTTAATCATAGCCTCTTATCATGAATTCCTCCGTGGTCTCTCCCCAGGGTTTCTGAAGGATGACCTCAGAATCAGCTGATGCTTGTTGCAGTGGCACTTCTTGGGCCTCACCCCAGACCCAAAGAATTGGAATCTCTGGGGATGAGGACCTAGATGGTGCAGTTTTAACAAGCACACAGAGATGCTTATGGCATGAACATGTGGGAAGCCCTACCTCACACCTTCCTGGCTTTCCAATTCCTACCATTCCAGTTAAACTCAAAGTAGTTATTGAATTCTTACATGCGAACTTCTGATATGGATATTACTGCATTTTCAAAAATATTCACACAAGCTCCAAAGTCCTCGTGATTGACTTTCAGACTCTGCAGGATGCGGGGGTAGTATAGTGGGGAGGGGGCAGAGAGACATAAAAGGGGGTGGGAGGGGCTTGGAGGTCAGTCTAACCTAGGTTACATTTCCAATCCAGCTGCATAACTAGCTGAATGACCTTGGGTGAGTGATTTCATTTTGTGAAACTCAGATTTCTCTAAGTGGGGGTGATAATCAATCATGCAGAATTGTTTCAGGGCTGTTTAGGAGGATTAAATGAAAGAATGCATGTAGAGTTAGGAGGTGCTACTACGTGACAATTTTTTTTTTTGGGATGGAGTCTCGCTCTGTTGCTCAGGCTGGAGTGCCGTGGCGTGGTCTTGGCTCACTGCAACCTCTGCCTCCCGGGTTCAAGTGAGTCTCCTGCTTCAGTCTCCTGAGTAGGGATTACAGGCACCTGCCTGCTAATCCTGCTGATTTTTTGTCTTTTTAATAGAGATGGAATTTCACCAAGTTGGCCAGGTTTGATCTCGAAATCCTGACCTCAGGTGATCCACCGGCCTCGGCCTTCCACAGTGGTGGGATTACAGGCGTGAGCCAGCGCGCCCAGCCTATGTGACAACTTTTATTGCTCTTTAGTTTATTTCTTTTGTCTTTTTCATTCCTATACTTCTATTTCTTGGTTGTCTTAGTTCCTTGTCTTTTTTCCATATTATCCTCTTGGAGAACTTTAAGGTCTTATCTTAGCATCTTCTTTTTCAGAAACTCCTCTCTAAAGTGATTTCAGCTTATTCATACCTTTTATTCTTGACCTTGTTAGGTTAACTGTGTAGAAATCCCTCAGGTGGGGAGTACCCAGTAGGTATCTGCTGTTTTGGTGTGTTTAGCACTTCTTCCTCCAGTAACAGTACCTCTCTTCACCTTTGAGGTCCTGCTGGTCCTCCCCTAACATGTGTGGTTGTGGGGGGCTGAACGGGCACCTGACGCAGGGTGTGCTGCTTATGGTGCCACATCCTTCCCACCATGGTGATTGGTCCTGGAGTTGTCAGGTAATGCAAACGGGGCCAATCAGCGTCGTTCCCCGTAGTTTTCTACATTGGACTTGTTGGTAGAACTTACTTTTGTTTCTGGAGCTCCAAGTCCCCTTAAAGCTCTAAGACTTCTTTGGTCTGCTGATACTTGCTTGGGGCGGTGGGGTGGGGGCAGCAGTGAAAGTGGGGATGGAAGGCAGCCTCTGTTGCCTCCTGGACTTTAGGTGTGCTGGGGCTTACCCCTCTCTTGCCGCTAGGGAAACACCTTCCAATCTCTGCTTTTCTGGAGGCGCTCCCTCTTCAGAGATGCTGGGTGCTGGCTCCCAAGAATTTACAGCTCTCTTAATTGTTTGTATTGTACATCCTTTTTCTTCCCCAAATCATGTACACACTGTCAATGTGGTTGAGCCTGCGGGCAGCATCCAGGCAGAGTCGTACCTAGAATTACCATTTCCCTCTATCCCACAGGTCCTGTTGGTGAATCTGACACATCAGGTTCAACCTTTATCCAGCACAGTAGACTCTGTCCCAGGGACTGTCACAGTCTCCTCTATTCCCACCTTCTGTGGGCTTCCCCTACTTGGCACTGTTCTACCTGCTCCTGGGCTCAACAGAGATTCCAGTAATTTGGGGGGAGGTTTCTGGACCCCATGATAATTAGTGGATGCCATGCATGTGGGTGGGTCTTTCACCTCCACAAGCTTCATCTACAGCCTAGACAAGATTCCTGCTGCACATATCATTAGAACTGTGCAAAAGTGTGTACACAACATTCAAGTATGGGAATAGTTAATAATTGAGGGATCATTAGTGGGTGCAAATTCAACAATTTCAATTCTATTGAATTGGTGAAAGTTTCAATGGGATGTGGTAGAAATAGGAGGAGGCAGGAATCAAGGTCCACATATAATTCTTTTGTCTCTGCCAATGAGTAGCTATGACTTTAGACAAGTCAGGAAGTTCCTTCTTTCCACAATTTTGTCAATGGCAAAATGGCAACTGTAAATTATGAATGATTCCATGACAATGATTTTAAGTGGAAATTTAGTGGCCCATGGCTGGATTTTGAACCATCTACTCAGGTCTCACAGTGCTGAGGGCGTGCTCCTTGGTACTCAGGATTTCTGAGACCTCAGTACCTGTTGCTGACACGTTTGCATTAAGACGGTTCCCCCCTCCTTCCATGGTTGTTTGGATCACTGGGGCAAGCCGGGTAAATCAGCTTTCCTGGGCACTTAGAATTGGGTCTCAGAAATCCTGAGTACCAAGGAGCACACAAAAATCCAGAAGTCATGGAGTGGCCATAGGTATTCCTTAGAGCTATAAGATGGTCTTTTTCTACCCTATGAAGTGAAGTAAACAATGAAGTTCTGGAGAAAGTAGTTGTACAAAGAGATGTGGAGCTAAGAGGCAGAGAGCTCGTGGATTTCCCAGTCCCCCAGTTGCTCATGAAGTCTCCTTATCCTCGGGTTCCATGAAGCACCCCCGCATCCTTCTCACAAATTTCATTTTCTGATCAAGGTAGCCCAAGTTGGTTTTCATTACTTGCTTTGCCTTGACTAAGATAATCTCTACTGTTCCATAATAACATCCAAATTTGGGGTGGTCCTTAGCAAATGCTTATGCTAAGAAAATTCCTAAAATAAGAAAAATCATTCAATCTATGTTGAACATTTATGGAAAGAATAAGGATCATAAATAAATATATCCTAAAAGTGCTTGAAGTGGGAAGTAGGATGTTTTCCTATTCCTTTCCAGCAAGATCTAAAATCATCCCACCAGAAATCAGGAGAACAGATTCCCAGAATAAACAGGAGGCCATCAACCAATCTTTTGCAAAAAGGGTTGCTCTCAGTTTATTTAAAAATTTATAATAATTACAAAAATAATAAGACATGGCTCATGTACTGCTACTATCTTTTAATGGAACAACATTGGTTATTTAGTCCTAGAGTCTCATAACAAGTCAACTGAATGTTTATTGTGTTTGAATGAGGCTCCAGGAAGCTGCAAGAGAGGTATACAGTGGATGCTTAGGTTTTGGACCTCTTTTTTTTTTTAAAGACCATTTTTTTCTACTCCCTTTCCCTTTTTTAGTAGTTAGTCTTATATACTGGAAAATATAACTTTCTATGATGATACAAATGTTTTATATCTGTGCTGCCCAATATGGTAGTCACTAACCACATGTGGCTTTTGAGCACTTGATATATGTGGTTAGCATGACTGCAGAGCTGAATTTTAAATGTTATTTCAGTTTAATGAACTAAAGTTTAAATTGAAATAGCCACATGTGCTAATGACTACTGAGTTAGACAGTGCACATTTAGTCAGTGTTGTTAAGACTTCATTTGAGGGAGCTAAGCTATGAGGATGCAAAGGCATAAGAATAATACATTGGACTTTCGGGACTCGGGGGGAAAGGCTGGGAGGGGGTGAGGGGTAAAAGACTACACATTGGGTACAGTGTACACTGCTTGGCTGATGGGTGCACCCAAATCCCAGAAATCGCCACTTAAGAACTTATTCATGTAACCAAACACCACCTGTTCCCCAAAAACCTATTGAAATAAAAAAATAAATAAAAAAAGACTTCATTTGTGATGTTTGGCAGGGTTTTACAGTGGTTTGAATTACTCATCTGATTTCTCTTAATTCTCTCATTTCCCACTTCAAGAAGATCCACGATCGTGAAGCTGGCTGTATCACCTTTTAAGCACATTTGATTTTGTTCTTTGGATAAAGCTCTGCCCCAGTTCTGGTTTATTTTAGATGGGGGTTCTGTGGTTGTGTGTGGGTGAATTGTGGCTTTTTATGATAATGCTGGCATTCACAAAACACACCTGACGCTGAGGGCAGTCAAATGTAACCTGGAAGGAAGGGTATTTGCTTACCTTTCAACTTGTTTGAAGACTAAACCACAGCCATGTTGGGATAAAAGAGCCTGGTGAGATAGTACCAGCAAACTCTAGGGAGAACTCATCATGGCTCACCACAAAAACCTCAATGTTGATATGCACTTTTTTTCCTTTATGGACCTTAATGACAGACTTTCCTGGGTCTCGGTTGCTGTGAAGAGGTTACTTGAGGAGGGGAGTAGTATATTTACTACATGTAATTATTCCTGCCGTTGCCCTCTTTATTTAAAAAACAAACTCAGAGCAAACCTTTCCACAAGAGGTGAGTTGACAGCCTCATGCTCTGCCTAGGAGCCTGTTCTCCTGGTTCCTGGCAAAATGGGTTCAAGTTCAAGCCGATTGGATCCAGAGCTGGGAGTCTTTTGAGATATGACTGAATGCATTGGTTCAAAGACAGTAAGGTCTGTTGCAGAAGATGACGACACATTTGATTGAGATAGTTGAGAAGGTGTCTCTTCTATTGTTTCTGGTTGGGTTTCTTCGTTAGAGACTTGAGTGATCTTTCAGTTTCCTGCCTTGTGCCCTGCTGAGAAGCAGCCCTGGTCTCTAATGGCTGGATCATTTTGTTTTGTGCACCTTGTGACATCTGTGACTATAACTATCCACAGGCCTGGCAAAGCCAGTCAATCCGTGGATGCTATCCACAGGACTTTTCTTCTCCTATCTTCCTGAAAAGGGGAGGGAAAGCATCCTTCTCTGCACTTTGGCCATCCGATGCCTGAACTGCCTGAGGTTGAAGGGAGATTTGTTTATTGGTGTGGTGAGTGGTTAAGTCAACCTCCTGAGGAGGGCTGGGGCCCAGATGCAGGAAAGCAGATAGGTTGAAGTCTGGGGCCACTTTCTGCTATTGTCACCATAGGTACCCTTATCAGGACAGTCCGGGAAGACCTTACTGCCCTCCTGATTAACCAGCATCTGTTCAGTGCGCTTATTGCACCACTTGCTTGCTCAGTGGTCCATGTGGCTACTGCTTAGGGAAGTGCTGGGTCAGGTCAGTGAGTCAGGTAGGTGCTGGCATTCGTGGAATAAGCCAGTCACACAGAGTCCTCTGCCAGTGAATGTTCACCTCAGTCCAAGCAAACTCTTATGGAGAGCCAGGAGCAAACAGCCACTGGACTCGACTCCGGGTTGAGTTGGCCTGGAGGCTGTCTTCGTGAAGTCCCTGGACATGGCAGGGTTTCTGATTGGTGGGGCTCAGATATGAGAGTTGTGGTGTGTGAGAGTTGAGGTGTGCGCTGAGGTGTGTGTGAGTTGGGGCATTTGTGAGTTGGGGTGTGTGAGAGTTGAAGTGAGTGGGTTGGAGTGTGTGTGAGTTGAGGTGTGAGTTGTGTGTGAGAGTTGGGGTGTGTGAGTTGAGGGGTGTGTGAGTTGGGGTGTGTGTGAATTGGGGTGTGTGAGCTGGAGTGTGTGTGTTGAGGTGCAAGCTGGGATGTGTGTGAGTGGGGTGTGTGAGGTCGTTTGATTGTTGAGGTGTGTGCTGTGAGAGTTGGGGTGTGTGAGAGTTGAGGTGTGTGACTTGAAGTGAGTTGGGGTGTGTGAGAGCTGGGGTGTGTGTGAGTTGGGGTGTATGTAAGTCGGAATGGTGTGAGTTGGAGTGTGTGAGAGTTAAGGTGTGTATCAGTTGGGATGTGTGTGACAGTTGGGGTGTATGTGAGTTGGGTCATCTGTTGGGGTGTGTGCTGTGAGAGTTGTGGTATGTGTGAGAGTTGGGGTGTGTGAGTTGCAGTGTGTGTGAGAACTGGGTTGTGTGTGAGAGTTGAGGTGTGAGTTGTGTGTGTGAGTTGGGGTGTGTGAGAGCTGGGGTGTGTGTGAGTTGGGATGTGAGTTGAGGTGTGTGAGAGTTGGGGTGTGTGTTGTGAGAGCTAGGGTGTGTGTGAATTGGGATGCGTGTGAGAGCTGGTGTGTGTGAGTTGGAATGTGTGTGAGAGTTGAGGTGTGTGAGAGTTGGGTCATCTGATAGTTGGGGTGTGTGTTATGAGAGTTTGGGTGTGTGTGAGAGTTGAGGTGTGAGTTGTGTGTGTGAGTTGAGGTATGTGAGAGTTGGGGTGGGTGTGAGTTGGGGTGTATGTGAGTTGGGGTGTGTGTGAGAGTTGAGGTGTGAGTTGCAGTGTGTGTACGTTGAGGTATGTGAGTGTGTGTGTGAGTTGGGGTGTATATGAGTTGGGGTGTGAGTTGAGGTGTGAGTTGTGTGTGTGAGAGTTGGGGTGTGTGTGAGTTGGGGTGTGAGAGTTGGGGTGTGTGTGAGTTGGGGTGTGTGAGAGTTGAGGTATGAGTTATAGTGTGTGTGAGTTGGGTTATATGTGAGTTGGGGTGTGTGTGAGAGTTGAGGTGTGTGAGGGTGTGTGTGAGTTGGGGTGTGTGTGAGAGTTGAGGTATGAGTTACAGTGTGTGAGTTGTATGTGAGAGTTGGGGTGTGTGTGAGTTGGGGTGTATGTGAGTTGGGGTGTGTGAGAGTTGAGGTGTGAGTTGCAGTGTGTGTGAGTTGGGGTATGTGGGAGTTGGAGTGTGTGTGAGTTGGGGTGTGTGGGAGTTGGGGTATGTGGAAGTTGGGGTGTGTGGGAGTTGGGGTGTGTGGGAGTTGGGGTATGTGGGAGTTGGGGTGTGTGTGAGTTGGGGTGTGTGTGAGTTGGGGTATGTGTGAGTTGGGGTGTATGTGAGTTGGGATGTGTGAGAGTTGAGGTGTGAGTTGCGGTGTGTGTGAGTTGGGGTGTGTGTGAGTTGGGGTGTGTGTGAGGGGGTATGTGTGAAAGTTGAGGTGTATGAGAGCTGGGTCATCTGATAGGGTGTGTGTTGTGAGAGTTGGGGTATATGGGAGAGTTGGGGTGCATGTTGTGTGAAGCTTGGGCATTGTGGTGGGTGTTGTGTGTGTGTGAGGCATTGTACAGTAAGGTAGCCTTGGCAGCCTCTGAGACAGCCCCCTGAGCCCCAGCTTGAATCGGAAGGGCCCGGCCCATCACCTTCAGGTGGACTTGGGCAGTTAACCCCGCAATAGGGAAACAACAGTCTTCTGGGATGCGCCATTCACTTCTATTTGTCTGTTTGGGAAGCTGTGAGAAAGGGCTGCAAACTCCAACAAATGTGTGTACACTTGTGCTAATAGCAGCATTATTCACCATAGCTGAGAGGTGGAAGCAGCCCAGGCGTTCATCGATGGGGGAATAAATACAGAAAATGCTGTATGGCTGTAGATAGACCAGCGCAGCACCCAGCCTGGAAAGGAAGGGAATTCGGACACAGGGATGAACCTCGGGGACATTATACTAAGTGAAAGAAGTCAGTTACAGAAGGACAACTACTGTATGATTCCACTTACACGAGGTCTCTAGAGTAGTCGAATTCGTAGAGACAGAGGTAGAACGGTGGTTGCCGGGGGCTGGGGCGAAGGGGAATGGGGAGTTAGTGTTTAATGGGGCAGAGTTGCAGTTTTGCAAGATGTAAAGAGTTCTGGAGATGGTGGTGAAGGTGGCTGCACACGCATGTGAATGTACTTAACACTGCCGAACTGTAGACTTAAAAATGGTGAAGATGGTAAATTTTATGTGATGTGTATTTTAGCCATTGCAGGGTGGCTGTTCCATTCCCTACTACTAAGCCTGATGGTTTATGTTGGCTGCTAGCACTTGGGGGTGCACTATTTTGCTCCCCTTAGCCTCTGCCCAGGGAGGCGTGCTCCCAAATCTCTCACAGGAGGAGAAATGAGATCGCACTGGCCTAGCATCAGGGAAACATCAGTCTGGTTCAGCACACTGGAAACAATTCAGTACAGGAGCCTCCCACGTGGCTACAAACTGCACGCCCAGAACGAGGTTAAATAAAACAAAATGGAATCGTAGGCTGAGTTGGGAAAACAGTTTCCCCCAGGTTACTAGGCTTTACCTTCCTAGATGCAATAGGCGCCGGCCCAAGTTGGCTTTTAACTCTGGCTCTGTGAGGTGGTGGGGCCGAGCTTTTTTTTTTTTTCCCTTTTTTCAGATGGAGTCTCACTCTGTAGCCCGGGCTGGAGTGCAGTGGCGCGATCTCGGCTCACTGCACCTCCGCCTCCCCAGACTTAAGCGATTCTCCTGCCTCAGCCTCCTGAGTAGCTGGGACTACAGCTGCACACCACCATGCCCAGCTAATTTTTGTATTTTTGGTAGAGACGGGGTTTCACCATGTTGGCCAGGTGGTCTTGGACTCCTGACCTCAGATGATCTGCCCGCCTCGGCCTCCCAAAGCACTGGGATTACAGGTGTGAACCATGGTGTCTGGCCTGGAGCCAAGCATTTTTATCCCCAGTGGTGAAAAGGAAACTGGCATCAGTGAGGGACAGTGATGATCCATCTCCCTCCTCACTCTCCTGCTCTGTCCCGCAAGGCCACCTCTGTTTGCACTGGGAAAATGCAGATGTGTGAACAGAAGCCTGGACAACAGGGGCTTCTCTCTCCTCATGGCTGCAGTCAGGAGTCTGGCCAGCGCTGCTCACCGTCAAATCCTTTGATATTTTGACTTAAACCAGTATCCCATTGGAGCCGCCAATGGAAGCAACAGTTGAGGCCCTTTGTGTACAGTCCTCTCATCTCACATTTCTGGGTGGATTTCTTTTTGGAGACAATGTTCGAGAATCACCTTTGAAATGAGCATTTATCTGCTTAGGGACTATTCTCTGGATTGTCAGAACAAGTGTAACTCTGAAATCCTGTTTCCGTAGTCCTAGGCCTACTCCAAAGGAGGAGAGGAATCTCCCCCACCCCTACCCGGGGAGCTATGCTTTATCTTATTTTTCCCAAAGACTAGCACGGCAATTCTCACTTGCTTCTTTCACTTCCCTACGGAATGGCTGGCCTGACTCATCGCACTGTTCTCCTGGTTCTGCCCCTTGCTCTCTAAGTCTCAGTTTCCTCTTCTGTAAATTGGGTACAATATCTCAGGATGGCTGAGAGTTTAACTGAGTTTTTTTTTTTTTTTTTTGACGGAGTCTCACTCTGTTGTCCAGGCTGGAGTGCAGTGGCATGATCTCGGCTCACTGCAACCTCCACCTCCCCGGTTCCAGAGCTTCTCCCGCCTCAGCCTCCTGAGTAGCTGGGATTATAGGCATGCACCACCATGCCTGGCTAATTTTGTATTTTTAGTAGAGACAGGGTTTCTCCATGTTGGTCAGGCTGGTCTCGAACTCCCGACCTCAGGTGATCTGCCCGCCTTGGCCTCCTAAAGTGCTGGGATTACAGGCATGAGCCAGAGCACCTGTCCGTAAGTGAGTTTCTATAGGTGAAAGTGCTGTATCGATTTGAAACTGTTACGCCAATGGGCATTACTCTCCTGCTAAAAACCCATGAGAAGATGGGCGGTTTGTCTCCCTCTGAACTTGCTGCCTGGCAGGGAGACTATGTCTTAATCATGCTGCCATATTAAAAACATTAATAACGAAGATCATTTCTCTCTCCTTTCGGCCCTCTTTCCCTCTGCCCCCATTTCTGTCTTGGTGATCATGCAAATTGATTTTCATTTCTTTTTCTCTCTCCTAGCCTCACTGTCAGGAGAGGTTCGTCAAAGCTGTTTCTCCTTGAATGTCTGTTATTTGCCATTGCCTTCACACGAGTCAGTGGAAGGTCCTGCTTTAAGCCTGTGAAGGTGTTGGAGAGCTAGACAGCCTTTGTCTTCTGACCCACAGAGACTGATGTGAATTTAAAGGCAGATATTTTTGGCTTTGTTTATTTATCTTTTTGAGACGAAGTTTCGCTCTTGTTGCCCAGGCTGGAGTGCAGTGGCACGATCTCGGCTCACTGTAACCTCTGCCTCCCAGGTTCAAGTGATTCTCCTGCCTCAACCTCCCAAGTAGCTGGGATTATAGGCATGCACCACCACACCCACCTAATTTTTTGTATTTTTAGTAGAGACGAGGTTTGACCATGTTGGCCAGGCTGGTCTCAAACTCCTGACCTCAGGTGATCCACCCACCTTGGCCTCCCAAAGTGCTAGGATTATAGGCATGAGCCACCACGCCTGGCCTTTGGTCTTGTTTTGTTTTTCTTCCGGGGAAGGGCATCATTTGGGAAGACAAAGAGGTCCAGAGAGTGGGCTCAGCTCAGGGCTGGAGAGGGCAGCTGGGAACCACCTTCTGCTGGCTCCCTGCAACCCTGGCTCAGCTCTGCCCCTGGACACTGAACCTCTCTTCATGCCCAGAACTGCCGACCGTATTCCCAGGCTCACAGGAAAGTTAATATCTGTTCTGTGGTTTGTTGAAAAGTCCAAATCTGACTGTGTGATTCAAGCCAGTAGCGTCAAACTTTGGCCGGGGAGGGTTGGTTTTTGGGGGAAGCTTGGAGAAGTGAGAAGCTAAATATTGTGACATGAGAAGTTTTTCTGTTGATTTTAATGCACTTTGCATAGTTTTCCAAGGCTCTTGGCGCTGGGCGGTGGCCTGATTCATTGTGTAACATGAGGCTGCCATGGATGAGGCTCAATAATACTTGGGTGTGTGGTTTGTCGTCTGGGAACCTGGGTGTGCACGCTCTGTATTTTCTTGCCAACCAGAAATCTTGAGCAAATGACCAGCTCATCAACATAACATTTCTTCCTGACCCTTGATGTGCCAGTGAGTTCTTGAAAATTACTACCATGTGACAGCTTTTTGGTGGTCTCTGTGTGGAGGAGACAGAAAGGAATCAATTGTATAAAAATTGGCACCACACTTGGCATTTTGGCAGGCCCTCTCAGAAAAGTGGCTGTTGTCGTATAAAATGATCTGCTTTGTCAAGGGTGGGTGGGAAGGAACGCTGAGCTTCTAGCTCATATTGGGTTGTTGAAAGTCAACCTCCTGGAAAACATTGTTGAAATCAGGAAGCCAAGTATATTATGGGTATGGGAAGATTGAGATGGAAGTTCCTAAGATCTAGGTGAAATCCAAGAAGCTGGTGGCAGGGAGCAAAATCTTTTTTTTTTTTTTTTTTTTTTTATAGAAAAGCTCTTTGTTTTGAAATAATTGTAGATTCATAGGAAGTTGCAAAAAATATACAAGGATATTCCATGTTTCCTTTACTTCCGTCACATCTTGCATAACTGTAGTATGAGAGGAAGTCATTAAATGAAGCCAAGTGCTTTTGAGGTAGCTAATTGACACTTCTGACAATGCAATCATGATCCTATTATGGAGATAACAGCAGCAAAAAAAAGTTTTTTGAGCCCCTGCTATTTGTCAATATACCGAGCATTGGGAAGGTAAACAGATCAGTCCCGGTTCCTCCCTTTGGAGGGGGTTACAGAACGAGCAGGGGGACTGACATTAAATAAATCATTATGCAGCTAATTCGTTAATTACTGTTGTGATAAGTGCTATAAAATGGAAATATAGTCAAAAGAAAAAAATAATTTCATGAAAAGAGACCTTAAAAATTTCCATGAAGTTTAATCATCTTAAAATTTTCTAAACATTCTATAGGAGTGGTAACTTTGAAGTTTGCTCCTACTATCAACTTTATAATCGTGTCCTTTTTGGGAATAATTTTTCCAAATTTTCTTCTTTTTCTTTTTTAGAACTGTGAAGCCAACTATGCAGCGATGACTGTACCCACAGATGTAAGTTTATGAGGATATTATTAATATACGTCGAAAATTTGGCTGCAGAAAGAAAATTAGACTTCAGAAATCTGTTCTGCAATATCACCAGCAATTAAAACATGCTCCTGCCAAGGGGCACGATTCTTGAACATTGGCTGTGTTTGATGAGACGCTAACATCTTTTCAATAGCAAAGCTTCCTGCCTTTAGTTCCAGAGGGTAGATTTGCAAACCACATTGAGAGGTCAAATGCATAAGGTTCACTCATGTAGTTCAGCAATGCAATCTAATTTGGAATCCTTAGGGTTTAAGTGAAGAGAGGAACAATTAGATTTATGTTCCCTGTTGAACTCAAGATGTGGTATCCAGGCAACTCAAGCTGAACGCACCCAAGATAGCGACCCTACCCACCTCCTTGGTAAACTCTGCACAGGTGGTGGAAATAATACCTGGATAAATATCACTGGTCACTTAGGAAATTTTCTTTATATCAACATTTGCTGTGGGAGGTTCTCACGTCTCCTGGCTTTTGCCAAGCAAACAGTGTACTTCAGACAAGAAGCAGGAAACAGAGGTTTGTCAGAAGGTGCTGGGAGTCCTTGGCCTTATCAGTGATGTCAGCCAGGTTATTCGACTGATCGCCAGCTCCAGTTTGTGTGAGATGCTGTCTTGAATTAGAATACCTGTCCAAGAAGCACATAATATTTAAAAGCGCTGACTTTATGTTTGTTTAAAGGGGAGCATCTTTGTAATGTTTCATTCCTCATTGATGTTTGGTGTCAATGAGTCTTTCAAAATGCGCTTAGTATAGAAGCAAGAGCTGCACTTCCATTGCCTTATTCTAAATAAAATGGGGAAAGAAAGCCCCGCAAAAATCCAAAGAGCCTCAAACGTAGCTTTTCCTCCCCTTGTAGGGAAATCACAGGATCAGTTCATGTTAATCTTGATGTTAATCCTTTTGTTGAATTTCACTTTTACAATTATTTTTTATTTTTTATTTTTTTTGAGACAGTCTTGCTCTGTCGCCCAGGCTGGAGTTCAGTGGCTCAATCTTGGCTCACTGCAACCTCCACCTCCTGGGCTCAGGTGATTGTCCTGCCTCAGCCTCCCGAATAGCTGGAATTACAGGCATGCGCCAGCACACCCGGCTAATTTTTGTATTTTTAGTAGAGACAGGGTTTTACCATGTTGGCCAGGCTGGTCTCGAACTCCTGACCTCAGGTGATCCACCTGCCTGAGCCTCCCAAAGTGCTGGGATTCCAGGCGTGAGTCACAGTACCTGGCCAACTTTTGCTATAATTTTTAAATAATAATTTTTGGTATTTTTTTCAGAATGTTGGAGCTGAGATCGGGAGAATTTGTTATTTTCAGTGAATGCCAGTGAGCAGGTGGGTGTCCTGTTAGACACTGGAAGCCTGATGTCCCCTAGGCAGGCAGATGCTGCGCTAACTCTTGGAGGCAGGCCCCAGTCACTTCTGTATTCCCCAGGGCCTGGCACATAAGCTGTCATCAGTGGATGCTGGCTGCGTTGCTGTTGAAAACTTGCAGCTGGACGATGTTGGACTTTGGAGAAGATATCTGATTTTGAATCCTGGTTCTGCCACTCACTCATCTGAGTCCTTGGGCAAACCAATTAACCTCTCTGAGCCTTGTTTTTGTTTTTGTTTTTCACATGTAAAATGAAAAATAATAGGACCCACCACATAGAGCTGGAAAAATTAAATGAGATGATATTTAGTGCTTTCTATGGAACCTGAGGTACGTGTACTTGTAGATTGCCTGTGTCCCCAATTAGAGTGTAAGCCCCATGTGCACAAGGATTTGTCTTATTCACTGCTGTATCCCAATGCCTGGCACAGAGCAGGTGCTCAATAACTATTTGTCAGATTAATGAATACAAATGTATTACCAATTTTTCTATGATATTACTGTAAAAAGAAAGAGAACAGTGTAAAGATTGGGAGAATGAAGACATGAGACAATTATATTGGAAAACATAAAATTATTGGAGAGATATTTGTGTCAATATGAGTTATCTGGATATATCAGTATTGGACATCAATTCTACTTTTAAGTATAGTTAATATTTTAGTTATGGAGTCATTCATTTTTCTGGATTATATTTTCAAGATTCCAGAGAGAAATTGACTTACCCCTTTTAAAATCTTTAATTGATATACATATATATATATATATATATATATATATTTTTTTTTTTTTTTTTGAGACAGAGTTTCACTCTGTTGCCCAGGCTGCAGTGGCGCAATCTCAGCTCACTACAACCTCTGGCTCCCGGGTTCATGCAATTTTCCTGCCTCAGCCTCCTGAGTATCTGGGATTTCAGGTGCCTGCCACCACACCCGGCTAATTTTGTTTTTAGTGGAGATGGGATTTCACCATGTTGGCCAGGCTGGTCTCAAACTCCTGACCTCAAGTGATCCACCCACCTCCACCTCCTAACATGCTGGGATTACAGGCGTGAGCCACTGTGCCCGGCCCCATATATTTTAAACATAATTGTGTATTCTTATTTTTGGCTCTCCACCGAATATGGCAATGACTGTGACTGTCCCTCTCTTCCATGCACTCTCTTCCCCTTTCTTATTTCTTGCTATTTTTCTCTGCCTCCAAGATAAAATATTACAGTGCATTAAAAATATTTCTGAGAATTAATGTTGTAGAGGAATGTCAGCTTCTCAGGGAAAAGTTTAAATAAAGTCAAAATAGTGTTTTTCCTTAGGGGTTACTCACCTTTGTACTAATAATTCTATAGGCAGCCAGTAATTGACCTGCCCTTGAAATTACCAGAATCTGGTGTCAATTAGTAATCAATTTGGGGGATCAATATGTGTCTAACTGCTGGGACTCAGGCTGGCACTGATGCTACTACTTTGCAAAGTCACGAGTGGATTTAAAAGTGTTTTAGGGACAATTCTTGAACCCACCACCAGATGGGAAAGGTACTCCATTGAAGTGGAGTGTAGCATTGGGTTTGTTCAAACAGGTTTTGTCACTTTGCTCCTTCCTAGACTGGATGGTTCGCATTTTTCTGGATGCAGGAAAGAGAGCTATTCACTTGGGCTGTATTTTAACATTTTATGTAGGAATTAAAGTACATGTTGTTACAGATTCTGATACTATATGTGCTCTTAAAATATCCAAAGGGTTACATATTTTCAACCTTTAAGAGGATGCTATTGACATGTAAGTTTGACTTTTTTTTCCCCTCAAAGTAAACTTTGGTTTCCCATTTCATAACTTCCAATCCCCTCTCTTCCATGTCATCCCCCACGTTCTTTGTCGGATCATTAACAATAGGTTAATGATTAAGAACAAGTGCGACAGAGATCAACAGCTCTGCGTTCAAGTCCAAACTCTTCCCCTCGGCAAGGCACGTGACCTCCCTGTGCCTCAGGTTCTTGCAGAGTGGAAATGCCCACTTCACAGAATGGCTGAGGGTGTGGATGAACGGTGGACGCTCCTGCCCGGCACCCATGGGTGCTCACGACGATTGTGTTTTACTGTTGGCTGCAATATGTCATGACTTATCATGTGTGATCCTTGAGTGAATAGGCAGGTGAGTGCAATATTTCTATACCTCTCCGGTACATTAGCATCTCAAACTCCACTAAATGATAATTTAGTTATAACCCCTTGCTTCCTCCTCCCCACCCCACCCCCACTTCTGCATAGGTAAAATAAGTGGTTTTCAGTGGTGAGGGTAGAGGATGAGACTACTCTGCCAGGGAACATTTGGCAATGTCTGGAGACATTTTTGATTGGGGGTGGGTATTACTGACATCTACTGTGTAGAGGCCAGGGATGCTACTAAATATCCTATCATGCACAGAACAGCCCCCCTACAATAGAGAATTATCTGGTTCCAAATGTCAATAGTGCTGAGGTTAAGAAATACTGGGCCAAAAAAAAAAAAAAAAAAGAGAAACACTGGGCTAAGTGGTATTCAGTAGAAGGAAAGTTCCCTGTCCTCAGTCTAGTCCATTGAACTTGATTACTTTCTACATATATACTAATCAGGACCTATGCTGGACTCTGGGGCCAGTCCCAAAGAAGAAAAGGCATGAACTCAGACCAGGACCTGCAAAGGGTCTGAGATTTTACTCTACTTACAAGCTGATAAGTTAGCTTGTTACTGTTTTATGGATGCTGGCAGAAGACACAAGATCCCTGGGTCAGAGACAAAGGACTTTATTATTCATGGCACAGCAAGCTGAATGAGCGTCATGTTGGCACTGGTTCCCCTTGCCCCTCAAGTCCCACAGGGGTAACCTGGATGTGCCAACGTGAATGCTAAGCATGTAGTGAGTTTACATTTTAGCTGATGAACACTGAACTTGGGAATCTACAGCTCTTATGGTAAACAGTAAGTCTGCTCCTTGTCTGTTACTACGTTTGCTCTTAAAGTGACAGAAATTAAGGGGGAAGACTTTACCTCATCCCTCAAGGGCATAAAGAATCCTATACAACGTGCAGAGGTCATGGAATAGGGTATTTCAGATTGGTGGTGTTTGAGAAAGCTTTATGGAAGTGGAGATACCTGAATTGGGTTTTATGTAATTTTTTTATTTTTAAAATTTCATTAACATACTTTGTTTCCAGAAGCTTTGCCAATGAAGGTAAAAAGCATAGAAATACAGCTCTGACAAAAAAGAGTTGTAGTATGAAAAATCATTAAACATGAAATTAAAGGAAGCTGTACTAAAATCACATGTGCATCCAAGTGGGTTAGGATTGGGGAATAGAGGGAGCACCTGATCTTAGCACAGATCAGGGAGCACAGGAAGAGGGAGGCCTGCTTGGCCTCGGGCTGTGGAGGCATCAAGGATTTGGCTCCTGGCTGGTCGCAGTGGCTCACACCTGTAATCCCGGCACTTTGGGAGGCCGAGATGGGAGGATCACTTGAGGTCAGGAGTTTGAGACCAGCCTGGGCCAACATGGTGAAACTCCGTCTCTACTAAAATACAAAAATTAGCTGGGCGTGTTGATGCATGCCTGTAATCTTAGCTACTAGGGAGGCTGAGGCACAAGAATTGCTTGAAGCCAGGAGGCCAAGGTTGCAATGAGCCGAGGTCACGCCACTGCATTCCAGCCTAGGTGATGAAGTGAAACTCTGTCTTAAAAAAAAAAAAAAAAAAAAAGGATGTGCCTTCCATTCTGCAGACTCCTGGAATTGCACTTAGCAATACACAGTCACAGCTGCCAGTCCCTAGCCTGTCTCCAGAAAAGGAAGAAACCTAGACAGGGACACGGAAGAAACCTAGACAGGGACACGGAAGAAACCTAGACAGGGACACAGAGAGGCGTGTATCTTGCTTGCTCATGTGATTGACTGGGAAATGCTGCCTGGGGTGCTGTTCTGCTAGAGTTTTTGAGGCATACCTGGGCCTAACAGGAACATGACCTGGACTAGGTTAGTGTTGTTTGCCTTGGGAAAAAGGGTGAAGTGATGTGTGGTGTCTGCATGGAGGATACTTTCTGATCCTTCCAGAAGTCCAACTCAGAATGAACTGGGTGTAAAAGGGTGAGTAGGGCTTCAACCCAAAGGCAAGGAGAGAAAAAGTGTGCCCAGAAGCAGAAATAGGATAGGCAAAAGGCACAGAAGCACAGACCATCATGGGATGTTCAGGAACAACATGCCATTTCATGTTGACAGAGTGAAGCATGCCGTCAGAGAGGGCAGATGGTCTGCTCTTGGTGGGGCAGTCAGGGGGTGCATCTTGCCTGTTGGTGTTCCTCAGAATGAGCAGGAGCATCTCTTACTGTGGTCTATGAGTGCCCTAGAATTGAGGGGTATGAAAATATGTGTCATGGATGTAATTGCAATTCTAGAGCTCTCTGTGAAATAT
Source organism: Homo sapiens (assembly GCF_000001405.40). Taxonomy (NCBI): domain Eukaryota; kingdom Metazoa; phylum Chordata; class Mammalia; order Primates; family Hominidae; genus Homo; species Homo sapiens. Next base: position 35,982,281 of record NC_000021.9, on the reverse strand, counting down.
AGAGAGCTGTATCTGCCCTCTTTGAAAGGCTCAGTGACACGAAACATGGAACGAGGAATGAATGATACAAAGGAATACAAAGAGGTAGAGGAGAATTGGGAGTTGCGGTGATGCTAGGAACCCTCTAAAGAGAGACTTCTTTTTGTTCCAGCAATGCACTAACTTCTGTGCTGAGCATCTCAACATAGATTATGTGGGGAGAGGGAGGACCCTCTGGAAAAGTCCTGGCTGAGCTTAATCAGCTTGTTAGCACAGAGAAACGGTTGCATCTGTGCCCCACAATGATAAACGTAGGTATAACAATGACTTATTGTAAGCAGCTGAGCTACATTTTTCTGAGATGATTTTTTTTTTCATGTTGGCAGCTGCGAGCCTGAGCGGACTCCTATGAACCAGTCTTCTCCAGCAATAGACCCTCCTTCAACTCGTGGTAGCCTGTACGCCAAGGGTGACAGACTGGAAAGCAGGATCCACCGGTTCATCTATGGGAAAAGGAGGGGGAATGAGATCAAGGATTGAGGACGCTAATGGGTAAGCATGAGAACCATTTGGGTAAACACCGCAGCACGGTCTCTATTAATCTAATCTGAGAACACTGGCTATGAAAAGTATCAGAGGCTGGGCAGGCAGGGTGTAAAATGGAGCCAAGTTAGGGAGAATCCTGTGGGATATGGCCACAAAACGGAACATTATACCACAGTGAAAATGATGAAAGTAGGCAACAAGCATTAACATGAATACATTCTAGCCTTTTAGTCTGAGAACCAGAAACCATTCTGTATATTTCCAGCAGGAAGGGTTTACTTCAGGAAATTAGGTGCCTAGAAAATGGTTGCAAGGCCATCCTGGCCAACGTGGTGAACCCCGTCTCTACTCAAAATACAAAAATTAGCCAAGCATGGGGGCGGGTGCCTGAGTCAGGAGAATCGTTTGAACTCGGGTGGCGGAGGTTGCAGTGAGCAGAGATTGTGCTACTGTACTCCAGCCTGGGCGACAGTGAGATTCTGTCTCAAAAAAAAAAAAAAAGAAAGAAAAAATGGTTGCAAAGGATGGTCAGGGAGCAAAAGCCAAGGGAGGTGGTGCTCCTCAGAAGTCAGGAGGTATCAGGAAGCCACTGTTGCTACTGCAGAAGCCCGGTTGTCTGCCGCTGTCGCTGCCCCAGGAAGAGTGAAATCTGTCTTTGTCCCACCATGTGCTTCTCACTGATGATCTCAGAACAGAGACCCTAAGGGCTGTTCCCAGGCTGCCCCATCCTGTGATACATCAGCTGAGAGCAAAGAAGGGGCAAGGATGATGTTGAGGGTCAAAAGACAAGAGTGACATAATGTGGTATGAAAAAGCAACTCCCAGATTGCATGCAGCATATTACCATTTTTTAAAGTACAAAAAATAACATATTGTTTGGGCATTTATGTCACGGTGCATTGGGGCTGGGCTGAACTGGCATGCAAGAGCCAACCGTTAACTTTTCAGGAATTTTGCAAGCCAGTTGTTAAACACAGCCATGATTCAAAATTAATTACACTTATTGTTAAATAAATTATATTGAATTTGATGATAACATTCTAAGCTCATCATTTCTTAATCATTTTACTGCCTTTTATTATTAGCTGTGCTTTTAAGGTTATTTATAGCTATTGCATCTGTTTATTTTTATTTTTTTGAGACGGAGTTTCACTCTTGTTGCCCAGGCTGGAGTGCAATGGCACCATCTCGGCTCACTGCAACCTCCACCTCGTGGATTCAAGCGATTCTCCTGCCTTAGCCTCCCAAGTAGCTGGGATTACAGGTGTTTACTACCACACCTGGCTAATTTTTGTATTTTTAGTAGAGGTGGGATTTCACCATGTTGGCCAGACTGGTCTTGAACTCCTAACCTCAAGTGATCTGCCCGCCTCAGTCTCCCAAAGTGCTAGGATTACAGGCGTGCGCCACCGAACCTGGCCAGCTATTGCATCTGTGTGGTGAAAATACAATACTCTGGTGTGCTACTGTACATCTCTTTGCAACTCTGTGTTCAGTGACATCACCTTGGTAGCCTGGAATATGCCACAATGGGAGTATTTACACCAAAAAAATTGACAAATTCTGCCAATCAGAGCTTGCTTGTTTTGTTGATTATCTAGACACAAGGAAGTGTGGGGAAATGTTAATCATGCAGATTCGACTTAAAAGTTTGTCATGTCTTCAGCTGCTGCATTGTAAATGGCACAAAAATTGAGGAAACAGTCTTCTAGTATTTGACAACTACTACCTGATTTAACAAAGAGTCGCCCTTATGAATGATGAAAATGTTTTCCACCATATGTCTTTGTCATTTATTTTGCTTTCTTCTTACTTGTTAATGTAAAACAAAAATATTAACCAGCATTCATATTGGAGCTACACTTGTTCATCAGTTGCAGCCATATGTTGGCTGCAATTACAATGGTTTGGCAAAAATCAACAAAACCATTCTGTAAGAATCAATTGACTTTACCGATTTACATAAAAGGCAATCTTATTATTTGTAAATTGTGTGCTATACATCCTTCATGTCAAAAAATTTATAAGACACAGCATGATAACTATAGTTAATGTATTTGTCTTGGTCTGTTTGGGTTGCTATAACAAAATATCATAAACTGAGTGGCTTACAAACAACAGAAATTTATTGCTTACAGTTCTGGAGGCTGAGGAAGTCCAAGATCAAGGTGCTAGAAGATTCAGTGTCTAATGAGGGTTTGCTCTCTGCTTCATAGATGATGCCTTCTAGCTGGGTCCTCACAGGGCAGAAGGGAAGAACAAGCTTCCTCAGTTCTCTTTTATAAGGGCACTAATCTCATCTGCGAGGGCTCCACCCCAGTGATCTCCTCACCTCCTAAAGGTCCCTTAAGACTATTGCATTGGGGATTAGGCTTCAACATGTGCATTTTGGAGGGACACACACATTCAGATCATAACAGTATCATATACTTAAAATTGCTAAGAGAGTAGATCTTAAGTATTCTTACCACAAACATAAGCTAAGTATGTGAGGTGAGGTGATGGATATGTTAGCTTGATTTAATCTTTTACAATGTGTACACAGACCAAAACATCACATTATACACTATAAATATGTATACTTTTGATTTGTCAATTATACCTTAATGAAGCTGGGAAAAAATTTTAAAAATTTGTAGTAAACTTGTACAGGAATAGACACACATACCCACACGCATACATTCAATTTTTTGGAGATATGGTTGCTAAACATTTATCATCACATCACTGCATATATATATCATGAACGAAGAGGTGATAACATTTCATATAGCGGTTGCCTATGTGGGGCAGTTGTGGGTGGAAATCCACCAATACCCGCCTCTATTGTGTCTTCCCTGGTTTGCCATTTACCTAGGCATCCAAGTTCAAAGTCGGGGAGCCATGGAGGAATCCTCCCTCCCACTTCACAGCCCATCGCCCGCTATGGTTGAGTTTTCTTTTTCATTTTATTTGGAAAACAGCTTTATTGAAGTGTAATCGATACATTTGAAAAACTGGGCAGGCCACAGGGGCTCATACCTGTAATCCCAGCACTTTGGAGGCTGAGGCAGGAGGATTGCTTGAGCCCAGGAGTTTGAGACCAGCCTGGGAAACAAAGTGAGACTGTCTCTACAAAAAAATAAAAAATATTAGACTGGTGTGGTGGCACGTGCCTGTGGTCCCAGCTACATGAGAGGCTGACATGGGAGGATTGCTTGAGCCCAGGAGTTTGAAGCTGCGGTGAGCTGTGATTGCACCACTGTACTCCATCCAGCCTGGGCAACAGAACAAGACCCTGTGTCAAAACAAAACCAAAACCAAAACTGCACATGTTCGATGTATACGATTTGGTGAATTTGACATAGGCTTATACCCAGGATACTATCCCAACAATCAAGGTAATGAACATATCCTCTCCAAAAGTTTCCTTGTGTTCTTAATTTTATCATATGTTTATTTTTTTGTGGTAAAAATGTTTAACATGAGATCTGCCCTCTTAACACATTCTTACGTGTACGATACTGTGTAAACTATAGGCATGACATTGTGCAACAGATCTCTAGAACTCATTCATCTTGTGTATTGGTTCATTTTCATGCTGCTGATAAAGACATACCCAAGACTGGGTAATTTACAAAAGAAAGAGGTTTAATGAACTCACAGTTCCACGTGGCTAGGGAGACCTCAAGATCATGGCGGAAGGCAAAAGGCACTTCTTACATGGTGGCGGCAAGAGAGAGAATGAGAGCCAAGCGAAAGGAGTTTCCCCTTATCAAACCATCAGATCTCGTGAAACTTATTTACTACCATGAGAACAGTATGGGAGAAACTGCCCCTGTGATTCAATTATCTCCATCAGGTCCCTCCCACAACATGTGGGAATTATGGGAGTACAGTTCGATGAGATTTGGGTGGAGACACAGCCAAACCATATCATCTTGCATAACTGAAACTTTATACCCACTGAAAAGCTCCCCTTTTCCCCCCTCCACAGCCCCTGACATGCACCATTCTATTCTCTGCTTCTTGAGATTTATTGTTGCGTTTTCTTCCTGAGCCTTTCATTGTATTTATGTTTCCACTTGACAGTTTCCAACTTGGAGTCCAGTTGGAAAAATGGTTTTTCCCAGCGAGTCCTCTCCTGTAACTTTCAGAGCACAGACTGCTATGGAGAATGTGGTTGCTAGAGAACATGGAGGGTAGAGAGACACAGAGAGCTCTCCTAGTGTCACCCAGCTTCCTCAGCAAAGTGTGCTGTGGGCATTTATTAATCTCTGGGGAAGCAAACCTCTGCCAAAAAAGCCTCAATGAAGAACACATGTAAGGGGACCTTGAGCAGTTCAAAAGGAGAGGCCAAGACTGAGGTCCCTGAAAAAAAGAAAGTGACATATCAGCGTAGCCTCTGCAGAAACGAGCAGGACAAATGGAAGAGGGTGAGTTGAGCCCACCTAGAGAAATCCAGGCCACAGGATGGGGCTGCTCCTTGAAGCCATTTCTCAGCATGGGGCAACTGGAGGTGGTGGAGCTGGGTGAATGTAGCCCCAGTGTTGTCCTGGCCCGAGGGTGATGCAGGGCCTGCACAGCTGTGTGTGCAACAGAACTCCAGGTACTGTGAGCTCAGCTGCTCCTCCTCTTGGTGGAAACTCCTGGGGGACAAGGTTAGGAAAGTGGGCAGGGCATGAAGGGACATGGGGAAGCAGGCTTGGGGAGGCTGCATGGGCCTGTGAGTGCTACCTATGATGCCAGCTGCGTTCTGAGGCTCCTTCAGCACCTGTGTCTGCAGGATGGTCAGTGCCATGCATTGAGGCGGATGCCCACTCTGCTTGCTTGTGCTTTTCTGTTCCAAGAACAAATCCCTGCTTGCCTCCCTCCCTTCCTCCCCAGAACCCTGCACCCAGCATGACTCCTTTCCTCTTTTCTAGAAAGAAGGAAGGGGAGCTTTTTGTTGCCCCAACAATGCCCTGGGCCTCATCCCTTTGTTGATATCAGTATCTTGCTAAACATACTTCTTAGATTTGGATACCCACGTCAATTCCTAGGAGAACAAATAACACATATAATGTGGTTTTCAGTTCCTAGGGGGTTTAATGGTTCAGCTGTTTTCACCACATCCTGTATTTAACCTCTGGTCAAGGCTCAACATTGAGACTTGGACTGGGTGGACCCAACTGGGTGGACCCATTTGCTTCACTAATGTGGGCAAAACCAGGTACGCTGTGAGCCCTTTCAGAATGTGGCTCACCCTCCTCTGAGTGTGTCCCAGGCTATATAAAGACAAGGTGCAAATAAAGAATGTGTGTCTGTAGCTGGCGGTTTGGAATTCAGCATGTAAAGATACTACCCAATCAAGGCAATCACAGTATTTCAGGATACAAAAGAGATTGATTCCACTCAATTGGGAAATGCAAATTAAAGACTTGGCTTCATTCCTCCACCAGAGCAAGAAGCCAAACAGTCTTGCCCTTAAAAAGGTGGGCTCTAAGTTCATGTGACCTGCCTTGGAGGGTGACTGTCCTCACAGTCACATGCTAGGTGGCCTTGGCGTTAAAGACCTTATTTGCTCTGTCTCTTCCTTTAGCTTCAGTTTCCCATAGTGCATTGAGCTGGAAATACTTGTCCTAACTCCAGCCCCGAGGAACCTCTAAAAAAGACCCCTGGCCAGCCCTTGTTTCACATGAGGAGGCTGTGATTCTTCTCACATCTACGCCCATGCACATGCTAGAACATTCCTAAAGGGATGATTTCTACCTGGCTATCAACAGTCTGCAATCTTACAGGAGTCATTCATTCATTCATTCATTCATTATTTTCATTCTATCTCATTCTGCCTCAAACAAGTATGTAATGTTGGATGGGCACAGCTTGTTCAATAGTTGCTGAGACTTCTTGAGAGAGAGAGGCAAAGTATGCTTTCTTGGATTCTGAGTTCTGTGTTTCCTGTTTAAGATTGCAAACTACTGTGGCTTCCTTCTGGACAAAAGGAAGAAATAAACACGGAAGGCCTTACCCCTGTACAAAGATTAGCACAGCATGAAGATGCCGGGCAGGATGGGAAAGGCTGCCGCCGAAATGAGGACTAAAGGGAAGCATTTCATTACCCCCATCCCATGGCTGATGTTTTATCATTTCCTCCTTGCCTGGGTGCTGTACCAGCTCTGTCCAGTTCCCATCCTGGGAGAGACACATTCTGATTCCATGATACATGGATAATTTTCAGGTTTGGCGACTAACCGTGAAACTGGATGTAGCATTCTCTTAAGAGATGGATGCATCCTTGCTGGGCGCAGTGGCTCAACGCCTGTAATCCCAGCACTTTGGGAGGCTGAGGTGGGTGGATCACCTGAGGTCAGGAGTTCAAGACCAGCCTGGCCAATGTGGTGAAACACTGTCCCTACTAAAAATACAAAAAATTAGCCAAGTGTGGTAGCGTGTGCCTGTAATCCCAGCTACTTGGGAGGCTGAGGCAGGAGAATCACTTGAACCTGGGAGGCAGAGGTTGCAGTGAGCCAAGATTGCGCCACTGCACTCCAGCCTGGGTCACAGAGTGAGACTCTGTCTCAAAAAAAAAAAAAAAAAAAAAAAGAGAGAGAAAGAAAGAAATGGATGCATCCTACGGTTAGATCAAAAGGATCTGCTCAGTAGCTATTTCTAATTTGGCTGCTGTACTGAGAAGCGACCTGGGTTGCGGGTGCGGCTGCTCTTATCACATTGTGCCGAAATTCTCTGCACTGTTTGCCCAGCTGGTGTCTGTTTAGAGAGCTATTTAGATCCTCCCACAGAAAGGAAAGCTTTCCATCCTCGGAGAAACCACAGCGATTAAGTACATATAAGAGAAAAGCATTATGGTGACTCATCAGCGCAAAATCAATGATTCCCTTTTTGCATTATAAATGATGGGGTTTATAGTGGACAGCTTTTAGCATGAGTGCCGGTGTGACTGTGGGATGGGGTGGGGAAAGAATCACACAAATGCCATTGAGCACCGGACCTGTCCGTTGGGAAAAAGACTAGAAACGATAATGATGTGATTAGGGTGCTCACTGATAATCTGAAGCAGGAAATTCTTTTTTAAAAATTTTTATTTCATTTTATTTTAAGTTCCAGGATACATGTGCAGGACATGCAGGTTTGCTACATAGGTAAACGTGTGCCACAGTGATTTGCTGCACCTATCAAGCCATCACCTAGGTATTAAGCCCTGCATGCAGGAAATTCTTAGCCTTTGTATTGGAAGAAAATATTATCAGAGGAAGTAAGAATTTTCGGTTAGCTTATGGGCAGTCATTTGAGGACACCCAACCTAACTTCTCTGTCCATGTGGAAATTCTCTACAAAACCTGACTTCGAAGCCTGAAGAATCTCATGATCCCCTGAATTTCCATGCAGCCAAGAAAGTGAAAGGCAGCCTTTGTAGGAATTTGTCAGTGACAGGATGCTCATCACCTCTTGTGGCTCTTCCAGTTTTTGAATGGCTTTAATTACTTGAAAGGTCTCCCTCACATGTAGGTGAAATTTGTCTTCTGGTAACTTTTATCTGTTGGTCTCAGTGCTGCTCTTCGGAACTATAGGGAAAGCCTAGTTCTCTTCACACTACAGCTCTTACAACATTTAAGGATGACACTAGTGTTTTCTCTGTCTCGCTGTCTCCTGACCGTCCTCACTGCTTTCTGATGCTAAAGAAGAACACTTATCACTACTCGGCCACCTTCCAGGTCTGAACATGTGGGGTCCATATGTTGTTCATATATGGAGAAAGAACTGTGGGATTGTTGTCCACCTTTGTTTACAACACTATACATCTATTAACCAGTCTCTCTTAAGAACTTGTTAGTTTTTTAGCAGCTATTGGGTCCTGCCTACCTTAAAATCTGAATTTGAGCCTTCTAGTCCCTCAAATTTCCATGTACCTGAGGAGTTGGAAAGAAGCAGAAACAAAATATCTGACCTGTCACTATTGACCTGTTCTGCTTTGATCAAGGCCTTTGCAGTATTTGATGTTAGAATCTTAGGTAAGTGGATATATTACGTAGTTTGCATAGTTTTGCAATTTTAATATGATAGGATCACACAAAAATCCATGTTCTCCTTTGGGAATGGTGGCTGGAGCTTTGTTAGATTTTTGACAAAAATTATACGTGCTGGTCATAGCCACGTAAACAGTTCAACCAGCTGAAGGTGTTATTATCAATAAGGAGCTAATGCCGCCAGAATTAGGAGTTTGAGGGCATTTGTGTGCAATATTTACAGAGCAATGGGAATCTCTTATTTTATTTTGGGAATCCTCTTTGTATGACTGGTGCAGATGTTAGGGTCTACCTGAGCAAATTGTGCCAGGCAAAGTCCCAACCTGCAATGTGAAGTACAACCAGTACATCTACCCTTGAGCAGGCCTTCCAAGAGCATGTGCTTGGTGGGCCAATTCATTCAAAAGTATACTTGTTATACTTTTCTGAATCATCAGATAGTACCTGTGGACGTATCTGGTTTGAGTGGACTGAGCTGGTGAGAAAATCTCTCTCCATCTCCCTCATTGTTAATTTGATGACCATCTTGGATTAGAAAGAGTGGCCAACTCAGCAGTGGGGAGACTTAGCCTTGGGAAGGAAGGTGGGAAGGGCCTCTATCTTCCCATTTCCCTGTGCTGAATCCTTAGCCTGAATCCCAGGAGCCCAGGTGTGTCTCTTCTTTCTTTGAACTTCTTAAGTACTTGTGGTCTATATTAAACACTTGGGCATTTACACATTTAATTAATAAGCCTGTTAACCTTTCCCCATGAGTACCTATTGCCTCCCCAGCTAGATTGTTCCATCTTTTGCATCCTCTACACTCAAGCATGGAGTTGTACCCATCAAAAGGCCTAGATAGATAGATGTGGAATTAAACTATGAAGATCTGAGAGGTTCAGCTTCTTCCTCAGAAGAAAGGGCAAGAGAAAAAGGAAAACAGATTTAGGAGATTCCTATCCTATGCTGGACACTGAGCTGGGAACTTTACATTTGTTACTCCCTATAAATCTCCATAGGACCCTCAAGTAAGCATTATCATCCTCATTTTGCAGAAGAAGAAACTAAGTCGCAGAGAAGTCAGGGAATGTATCCAAGTTCAGGCAAAGCATAAGAGACCAGGCAAGGCTTGATCTCGGGTTCCTCCACCTGCAGGAGCAGCAGTGTTAGGAGACTCTCCTGCCCTGGGAGGGGGCAGCAGGGCTGGGCGTGAAGACAATGTTTGTGGCTGTAGTTGCTGCATGGCCACCTTTGAGTTACCACCAGGACCATCTCACTGCTGAAGACGGATGGGAGAAGGGCCAGGCCTGAAAGAACAAAGAGGCACATACATCATCAAGGAAGGTGGAACCATGAAGAAGGAAAAAGAAAGAGAGGAATATAATAGATTACTTACAGTTCTCTAAGCAGGAGGAATCTCACATCTGCTCAGCAGAGCAATGTGCTCATCAATAAAGTAGTTGTAAACCCCTGAAAAGGCAAAGCAGTGACATGAGTTTATCTTAGTCCCTTCTTTCAAAAGGAGGAAGACATTTTTTTTTGCTAGAGATGACAAGGATTTTTAATGTTGTCATAGAGCTTTGGAAACTTTGATCCCAATCACTGGATCATGTTTGCAAACTTTATTAGTCAGTTTGCTCCTGTTGCAGTAAATAAACCTTGATACCTCAATGGCTTACATGAGAAAGATTTATTTTTGGCTCATGAAAAGTCCAGTGTGGGTTGGGTGAGCCTCCAGGGCAGCTGTCCATGTGGTGACATGGGAATCCTGCTTCTATGCATGGAGGCCACCATCTCAGCACATGGCTTCCAGATTGCTGTGGCAGCCAGTGTGGAAGGTCAAGGACCAGCTTTAAATTTACTTATTTTTTATTTTTGGAGGACAGGCTCTCTGTCACCCAGGGTGGAGTGCAGTGGCACAATGATAGTTCACTGCAGTCTCGAACTCCTGGCCTCAAGTGATTCTCCCACCTAGTCCTTCAAAAGTGTTGGGATTACAGGCGTGAGCCACTGTGCCTGGTCAAGTAACAGTTTTTACAAGCCTTAGCATGGAAATGTCACAGATCACTTCTACTCACTGTTCCTTGGCCAGAGCTACTCACACAGCACTGCCTCACCACAGAGCAAAACTGTGCTGGGAAGGGTGGGGGAACATTTGGGTAGTCAATGACTATTAGATATCCTGACACATTTTCCTTACTCTCTTCTGCTCAGCACCCTTTCTAAGGCAGCTCATTGCTTTTGGAAAGAATACAGGCTCCCTAATACAGCTTGTAGGCCTCTGGCCTTGGCCTCTACCTTCCAGTCGCATTGGACATTTTCCATTGAGTCTCTTGGCTGAGTTTACCTTCTCTTACCTACTACCTTCTGCCTGCCTGAAATATTCTCCCCTTTCTGATTTTCTGGCCAACTCCTTTGCTATGTGGAGGCTTAGCTCTCACTTCTTAAGGAAATCTTTCCTGAACCTCTAAATCTGGACACAGTCCTTCCTTTGAGCATCCAGCCATCCTTTATTTCTCCCGTTACATTGCATTGTGGAAAGTCACTATTTTTTTCTTTTCTTTTTTTTTTTTTTGAGACAGGGTCTTGCTCTGTCACCCAGGCTGGAGTGCAGTAGTGCAATCTCAGCTCACTACAACCTCCACCTCCTGGGTTCAAGTGATTCTCCTGCCTCAGCCTTCCGAGTAGCTGGGACTACAGATGCATGCCAGCATACTTGGCTAACTTTTGTATTTTTGGTAGAGACAGGGTTTCACCATGTTGGCCAGGCTGGTCTTGAACCCCTGACCTCAAATGATCCACCCACCTTGGCCTCCCAAAGTGCTGGGATTACAGGCGTGAACCACCAAGCCTGGCCAGAAAGTCATTATTAACTAGTCTGTAGTCTATTAGACTGTGGCTGTGTGACACTTGGGATCACTGTGAGAGCAGCCCCTGGGCACAGTGACCCCCACACAGTAGATGCTTAATTAGTATACGTTGGGTAAAGGAAGAAGGGAAGGAACTTCCTTTGAGGCTGAATGTGGATGATGATACTGTTGCAGATTTTATTCTAAACTAAAAAGCAAAGGCAGTAGAAAAGGCAAGAAACTTTGAAAAAGAATAATGGAGAGATTTTCACTTTCCTTGAGGTGAACAGGAACAATGGAGTTTCACTAATTAAAAGAGAGAGATGCTGGTGTAGGAATAGACCAAGAGACAAATAGAATAAAATAAAGAATTGACATTGCAGTCTTGATTCTGAATTCTGCAGGCCAGGCCAGGCAGGCTGGAAACTTGGGCAGGGTTTCTGTATCTTGAGGCAGAATTGCTGCTTCTTTGGGAAATCTCAGTCTTTGCTCTTAAGGTGTTCAACTGTATGAGGATTATACATGGGAAACTGGCATGTAATAAAGGAGGCATTTTATTTTGTTTTATTTTATTTTATTTTGAGACAGGGTCTCACTCTGTCACCCAGGCTGGAGTGCAGTGGCACAATCATGGCTCCCTACACCCTTGATCTCCAGGGCCAAGCCATCCTCCCACTTCAGCCTCCCGAGTAGTTGGGACTACAGGTGTGTGCCACCATGCCCCACTAATTTCTGTATTTTTTTTTTTTTTGTAGAGATGGGGTTTCACCATGTTGCCCAGGCTGGTCTTGAACTCCTAGACTCAAGTGATCCACTCGCCTTGGCCTCCCAAAATGCTGGAATTACAGGTATGAGCTATTGTACCCTGCCAAAGGAGGCATTTTAAATCAGTGGAGAAAAAATGAATTATTGAACAAATTATTTTTATACAATTGGCTGTAGTTTGTAAAATTAAAAAATAATCAATAGTTTAATAATTAATTAAAAAATAAGATTTAAGTTAAAAAATTAAAAAATAAAGTCATATCCCTAGCGTGTTTTCCTATGTGGTTCTCATCTATGCAAGTTTCTTTCCTACTGTACTGCAGAAAATGAATAAATTGGAAAGTAGTTAAGGACCTAAAGCAATGCATGGTTTTGAGGGAGCCTTTTGTGTGCCTGGCAGTGTACTCCGTGACTGGCCACCAAGTGTTAATAGCTTGGGTGTCTAAGAAATCCTTTCTCATCCAGTCTGAAAGATTCATGTTGGAATACAGGATATTTTTATTAAAAGTCTCTCCCTTCTCCATAGTCATATTATAGATGAACACTGTGCTGGCTCTGTGTACATCAAGACAATCAGTCTTGCTCCTCCGTAGGCCTTTGGCAGAGCAGGGAGTTAAATGGGCATGTTCGTGACATGCACTTCAAAGACAGCTGGTTACGTCAAGTCTCATTATAATGAAAGATGAAAATGAAAGGTGACTGTCTAAACTTTGCCCTGTCTTGGTATTCAAATGCCACATGAATGTTGGTTTACTGAATGCAAAACCAGAAAAATATAGCGACCGTGCGTTGTCTTGTGTACCTTGTACCCAGGACAAATGGGTACAAAGGAGGTACAAGGAGGACCTTGTTGGCATGAAAAAGTTACTGTCATACCATTGAATACATTTCTGTTGTTGCTCCTGTTTTTGGTCTGTATTGACTTGTATTGCACTGTACTATTCATTTAATATAAAAGCAAAGCACGCTTTGGATACTAAGTCCTAAACCAAACAAGTGAAATACAAGGATAGCCTCCTGAAAGATTTCTGGATAAATGTGAATATATACAACAGATAAAATCAGTTGCAATTATTCATATCACAAAATGATACTTAGCATGAAAAAGATTCAATGCAGGGTCTTTAAAGAGAATTTTCTTAATTTAGATAAAATACAATATGGTCAATTTCAATGCACCTTTAAGAGCATAATCTGTAATGAAGCCCGATATAGTACATTTTACAATTAAAATATTTCAAGTCCCCCAAATTCAATTTGGCTCATGGTAAGTGCAAATAGGACTCTTATTCCTCTCTCTCTCTCTCTCTCTCTCTCCCTCTCTCCTCCCCCCTTTGTCTTGTGTTTTACCAAATTGTAGTTTCAGATATACAAACTTCTGTCCCTTGCACACACTTCGAGTTGCCTTATAACTGGGGACGTCTAGCAGCTGAAGGGTAGAAAGCTATGAGAAACTGAAAAGGAGCTTTGGCCATAGTTAAAGTAAAAATAGAATTGCAGAATTTGTGCAATTTGTCTAGCTAATTAAGCAAAAATCCACAGGACAGAATAGCAATAGTGAGCTGAAAGAATGTGCCCAATGGGATAGAATTCATCATTTAAAACAATTCTGGTTTTCTACATCAGCTTTATTGGTTGAACAGGCATAATTCCCTGAAAATCTGTGGTTAATGTCTCAGGTTCAATTAATGCATTAAGGAAATGTTAACATTTTAGCTGTGATGTAGCTTTGTTTCTTACTTTTATTTTTTGAAATGGAGTCTCACTCACTTTGTCACCAAGGCTGGAGAGCAGTGGCGTGATCTCAGCTCACTGCAACCTCCACCCCCCAGGTTCAATTGATTCTGCTTCAGCCAACTGAGTAGCTGGGATTACAGGTGCATGCCACCACACCTGGCTAATTTTTGTTATTTTTAGTAGAGACGGGGTTTCATCATGTTGGCCTGGCTGTTCTTGATTTCCTGACCTCGGGTGATCTACTGGCCTTGGCCTCCCAAAGTGCTGGGATTACAAGTGTGAGCCACCACCGCCTGCCTAATTATTATTATTTTTTTAAAGTAGAGATGGGTTTTACCATGTTGGCCAAGCTGGTCTCAACCTCCTGACCTCACGTGATTGGCCCGCCTTAGCCTCCCAAAGTGCTGGGATTACAGGTGTGAGCCACCACACCCAGACTGCTTCATTTTTTTTAAAAACAAAATCTCCCAGTGCTTTGGGAGGCCAAGGCAGGAGGTTTGCTTGAGGCTAGAAGTTTGAGATCAGCTGGGCAACATAGCAAAATACTGTCTCTACAAAAGAAAGAAAAAAAAAAGAAAATTAAAAAATAAGCTGGGTGTGGTTGTATGTGCCTATAGTCTCAACTACTTGGGAGGCTGAGGTGGGAGGATCACTTGAGCCCAGGAGCTCAAGGCTGCAGTGAGCTGTGATTGTGCCACTGCCCTCCAGCCTGGGTGACAGAGAGAGACCTTGTGTCTAACAACAAAAAAAAAACAAACATACAAAAAAAAAACAAACAAAAACAAACAACAAAAAAGCAACCCATCCAAACCCCAAAAACTAAGGGCATGAGTTTGCAAAGGATCAGAAAGGACTTCACATGACTTTGCCAGTCACTGCACCTTGCGCCTGTGCTGAAATGAGCTTATTTATATTCAAATGTGAGGCCTGAGTTTAGGGCTTGTCTCTGACTCAGTTTCTATATCACCACAGAGCTGCCCACCTCTCTTACCCACTGGCTGGCTTGGCCCCAGCCATGGCTTGTGCTGGTCCTGCAGTCACAAAGTCAATTCATTGCTGCCATTGTTGCTGCCTGTACTACAGGCCAAGTTGCTCTCCATGCAGTACGAATTGGCTAGAAGAAGCTTCACCTGAAGAGGGCGGGGGATGCATCTAGAAAGCATGGAGAAACTAAAACCCCCTGTCACCACCTTTGCCCAGCAGGAGGTGATGGATAGGAAGGGACTGGCTAATTAGTTATTTTCCCTTCTCCATCTCATGCCCTGCCCCACATACTGTTCTGAGATGCAAGCATCCATGTGACCTTCCTGAAGACATTATGTGAGATCAAGCCATCATCCAGGCTGTTATAAAGCAGCTCAGTAGGCCGGGCACGGTAGCTCACACCTGTAATTCCAGCACTTTGGGAGGCCAAGGCAGGTGGATCACCTGAGGTCAGGAGTTCAAGACCATCCTGGCCAACATGGTGAAATCCCGTCTCTACTAAAAATACAAAAATTAGCTGGGTGTGGTGGCCCACGCCTGTAATCCCAGCTACTTGGGAGGCTAAAGCAGGAGAATCGCTTGAACCTGGGAGGTGGAGGTTGCAGTGAGCTGAGGTTGCGCCATTGCACTCCAGCCTGGGCAACAAGAGCAAAACTCCATCTCAAAAAAAAAAAAACAAAACAAAAAAGCAGCTCAGTAACCCACGCCCTCATGTTTGATCTTCCTCTTCCTTGCCTCACTGGTCTCCCTCATACTCCTGCTTCCCCAGGATTGCACTTGTCAGTGAAGTCTTAGCACGTAAACGTGTGCCCAAGGCTCTACTGTCCAGGGAAACTTGGCCCCAGAAAGCAGAGCTTCTGATGGGTTTTGGTAGCAGCAAGTGGGTGGTGACAATCTCTGACATTCTGTAGCATCACAATTACAAAAGCTTTTATCTGAAGCTAATTAGGATGAGGCAGAGGAGGAAGCCAAAGTACTGACTTATCAGACACTGGAGCACTTGATGCATTTTGGAGCAATAATAACCCTAAGGACTTGGATGTGGGTGGTAACTTTTGAAGGCATTGGAAGCCTTGCAAAAAGAAAATAATAAGTGCAGGGCAGCTATTTGCCACCTGGAGGCCCTGTCTGAAAGCCAGAGTATTTCTGTAGTCACTTTAGAGGAGGTTCTCATCTCTAAAACCCACAGGACAGAAGGTTATTAAACCTGGGATCTGATTATAAGGGTGGCAGAAATGCAAAAGAAGCAAAATGCACAGCCTTAACACCGCCCCAGTGTCAAAGTAAAGACCTGACAGGAGAGTGGACCACCAAGACCTTGGATGGTGATGTTTGCGTGGCCAAGGCTGAGAATATTGTAGCCCCCAATTCCCTGAAGCTTCCTGGCTGGCCGAAGCTGTTCCCAACAACCTGGGGAGAGAACAGCCTCGTCTTCCCAGTGCATTACACTATGACCTCACCTGGAGGTGCTCCACACAATGATCATTGTTTTTCTCCAGATCTGTCCCCACTATCTCTCATTATGTCCTGGCTAACAACCAGAGTCAGGCCTGAGCACAGCTTCAATGAGGAAGTACAATCCCTGCTGCAGGAGAAAACAGTCTATGTGTCAAAGGCTTACAGGAGCTGGCAGGCACGAATTAGCAAACACCTTGTAGTAGCGTATCTTGAGGGTGTTAGATCATCATGATTACCTGGAGCTGGTCCTAATAGTCTTTTGAGACAGCTCCATGACATTTAGATAGGATGACGGCTGCAATTGATAAGGTGGAGATGCTGGAGCATATTTGGCATTATGTCGAGAAAGGGGTTAAGGCTCAAGGAGTTGGGAATGTTAGAATGAATTTACTATGTAAATCCTGAGAACCTGCCACATCACCGTGTTTCCTGAAAAAGACTGGGAGACACTTTTGCTATGAATGCAGCAGGAGTACACAAGTGAAGGGCTCACTAATATCTTTGAGAATCTTAGTGTCTGTCTTCTGTAGGCAGGGGTTATGGGTGTAGACACTTCCATCGAACTGAACTTCTTCTTCTTCTTTTTTTTTTTTTTTTAATAGGAGTCTCACTCTGTTGCCCAGGCTGGAGTGCATTGGTGCAATCTGGGCTCACTGTAACATCCATCTCCTGGGTTCAAGCAATTCTCCTGCCTTGGCTGAGATTATAGGCACCCACCACCATGCCCGGCTAATTTTTGTATTTTTAGTAGAGATGGGGTTTCACCATGTTGGCCAGGCTGGTCTTGAACTCCTGACCTCAAGCAATCCTCCTGCCTCGGCCTCCCAAAGTGCTGAGATTACAGGAGTGAGCCACTGCACCCGGCTGCAACTGAACTTCTTTATATCAATGGGGATAGTGAGATTCCAGAATTATAAAACTAGAAGGCAACTCGTAACCACCAGAGGCAAGGTGGCCATAATGATTATAATTGGAAACACTGAAGAATAGTACTTAGGGTGCCTCAACCTTCAGAGATTTGTAGCAATGGTTAAGAGATCCTGGTGTTCCTAGGCATGAGACAGAAGGACAGCTAACTAGGATGTTATTAAGATTGTATAATAATAATAAAAAGAAAGCTGGAGAATAGAAGGTTGACATCAGTCCTTGCAATAAAAAATTGTGGACTCTCACTCAGTTTTCAAATGTAAGCCAGTTTGAAAACCGGCTTGAAGTAAAGTTTTCAAACTGGCTTATTAGGTTGATGCAAAAGTAATTGTGGTTTTGGCCATGACTTTTAATGGCAAAATTGCAATTATTTTTGCACCAACCAAATACATTTGAAAACTGAGTGAGAGTCTACAATTTTTTATTGCAATGACTGATGTGTGGATTGAGGGGAAGACTTAGGCTTCCTTGAAGAAGGACCCTTCTATTTTCCACAGTATACCTGAAAATGTGTTCTTCTAATCTTCCCCTTTAAGGAATTTGCACCCATTTCCCCAAGTAACTAGTGCCAGAGAATAGGGACAATTCAGACTTTTTGAGGATTAGTAATATACAAGGTTTGAGCTGATACTGATAAGGAGTTAAGAAGAAATTACTTAGGCAGGTAGTGAGGGTACGGAAATCCTCGGTAAGGTTTTTCCTTTAATGAAAAGCAGCCCCAAATCATTTTCTAACAAAGAGCAGCCTGTAAAATCAAGCTGCCAACATAGATGCTGGCAGCTGTGCCAATCATGTTCAAGATAGCAACTCCATCTTCCCTTTTCTTTGATAGCCACGTGTACAGTAAGGAACAGACAACATGACCCAGCCAAGGGGAAATTTCATTTGCTAAGTAAGATTAGGGTGGGTGGCCAGCCTTCCCCAGTGGTATGTAAACATCATACCTGATTGAACCAATCTGTGAGCCCTACGTAAATCAGACACCACCTTGAACCAATCTGTGAGTCCTATGTAAATCAGGCACCACCTTGAACCAATCTGTGGGCCCTATGTAAATCAGACACCGCCTCCTCAAGCCTGACTATAAAATCTGGCGCATCTGCCGCCAGCGGGCCTTTTCCTCTCGGAAGTTCCCTCCCTCTCACTAGAGAAAGAGAGCTGTTTTCCTTTCTTTTTCTTTTGCCTATTAAACTTCTGCTCCTAAATGCCTCATGTGTGTCTGTGTCCTAAATTTTCCTGGTGTGAGATGACAAACCCTAGGTATTTACCCCAGACAACATAGCTGCTTCAATACCAAGGGATCTTAAATGATACCAAGGAATATTAAATGCCTTATGTTGTCCCTCCCCACCTGCCCTGTCCCGTTAGATTGGCAGTTTTAGGAAGTCTGGTGATAAATAGAGTTTTACCCCAAGTCTGTTTCACAATGGGTCCATTTGGTCCACTGGGTCCAAAAACTACCCTGTGGTTATTTATCAGGTCCCCAAATATACAATTGGGGTAGATATATTTAGTGGTTGGCAGAACTCCCACTTATGGAGTAAGGAACTATGGTGGGAAGGGCCAAGTAAAGTATCGGAAACTGTTCTTTCCCCATTATTCAAGATGGCAATCAGGAATAACAAGGCATTCCAGGAGGAAGTACAGATATGATTGCTATCATCAAGAACATCAAAGCTGCAAGGAGGTGGTGGTCCCCATAATATCTCCATTCAGTTTACCCACTGTGTCCGTGTAAAAACCAGATAAATGATGGCAGATGCTATTAGGTGATAGCCCCTTGAAGCTGTTGTGCTGGGTTTGCTATATTTACTGATGAAGAGCAACACGCCTTCTCAAACTTCATATGTGACTACTGATCTGGCAAATGATTTCTTGTCAACCTCCATCAATAGGGGGACTCTGCAGTGGTTGGCCTTTCCGTGGCAAGGATAGCAGTATACATTCACTATCTGCATGTCTGCAGGGATCTTGATCATGCTGACATTCTGCAGAACATTGCTCTGTCTCACCTATTAGTGACATCATGCTAATTGGACTTACTGACCTGGGAGTAGCAAGTATCATAGATGCCCTAATACAGGGCATCAACCTGGGATGATTTTAACCCCCAGGGGATATTTGGGAACATCTGCAGATATTTTGGTTGTTATAATTGGTTGACGTGAGCAACTGGCATCTACTGGGTAGAGTTCAGGGATGCTTCTGTACACCCTACAACACAAAGGATAGCCCCCTACCCAAACAAAGAATTATCTGGCTCCAAATGCCAATAGTGTCAAGGTTGGGAAACACTGTCCTAGAAGACACCTGTGTACCAGTGGTGGGAGGTCAACCCTATGCAAATTCAGGAGTCTGTTACATCAACGAAGTTTCTAGGAGTTAAGTAGTCTGGGGCATGCCAGACCATCCTTTTTAAAGTTAAAGGATAATTGGCATATATCAGGCTCTTAAAAATATTTGCTGAATGAATGAGCGAATGAACAGCATATAGAAAAGTTCCCTGTGCAAAGAGAAGGAGGCTTGAGAGAGAGAGTTTCCCAGAGGAAGGCAGAAGTTTGCTGTGGCCAGAGGCCAGGAGAGGGGCTGGAGGTGCGGCCTGGGAGAAGGCTGTGGTTTATATGGTTTACATGCTATTCCTTTAGACACCCACCCACAGAAGGTGGAGGGCAAACAAATGAGAAACAAGGCCTGGTTTGTATTCTAGAAAGATCACTTTTGGACTGGTTAGAGAGGTTGTCCTGAAAGGTTATGAAACCAGAGTCAGTCAAACTAGTCTGGCCCCCCTTTTTTTGCAATAGTCTGGTTGGGAAACCTTGGGCACCTGTTCTGGGTCAGAATGGAAATAAATGGAAGAAACAGATTCCAGAAGATTTGGGAGAAAAAAATTATCAGGAGTTGGTGACTGAATTGAGAGTGTGGGTAAAGGGAGAAGCAGGGGTAGAAGAAAACTCTCAGTTATCTTGGTCTTTGGGTAAATGGGAAGTGCAGGAAAATAATACAGTTTTAAATGGCATTTTTGAGAAGGTTTTGTTCTGGATATTTTGTAATTTAAAGATGTGGGGCTGGGTACAGTGGCTCACACCTGTAATCCCAGCACTTCGGGAGGCCGAGGTGGGCGGATCACTTGAGGCCACCAGCCTGGCCAACATGGTGAAGCCCCGTCTCTACTAAAAATACAAAAACTTGGTTGGGCATGATGGTGTGTGCCTGTAAGCCCAGCTACTCAGGAGGCTGAGGCAGGAGAATCACTTGAACCCAGGAGGTGGAGGTTGCAGTGAGCCGAGATTGCACCACTGCACTCCAGCCTGGGCGACAGAGTGAGACTGTCTCAAACAAAACAAAACAAAGATTGGGGGCATACAAGACATAAAAGAGGAAGAATCCAGCAGGTACCTGGAAAAACAGGGCAGGTTTCAGCTGAAGAAGGAGACTTGGGAGCCTTCCTTGATGGGTGATGTTTGAAGTGATGGATTGCGTGAGAGCATGCAAGAGAAGTTAAATGCTTCATTTGTGTTATTCTGTTTCATCCTCAGCCATGTCTAGAGGAATATTGTCTCCATTTTATAGATGAGGAAACTGAGGCTCAGAAAGTTTATCTAACTCAAGTTGACATAGCTGATGATGGCCAGAACTCATATTCAAACCCAGGCATTTCTGTCTTTAAGGCTTACTCCACCACCTCCTAACTTACCTTTTTTCAACTTTTATGAACCTTTACTTTAAAATGCTATGGGTCTCAGTGACTCACGCCTGTAGTCCCAGCACTTTGGGAGGCCAAGGTGGGTGGATTACTTGAGGTTAGGGGTTCAAGACCAGCCTAGCCAACATGGTGAAACCCCGTCTCTACTAAAAACACAAAAATTAGCCAGGCGTGTGCCTGTAATCCCAGCTACTTGGGAAGCTGAGGCAGGAGAATTGCTTGAATCTGGGAGGTGGAGGTTGCAGTGAACTGAGATCGTGCCACTGCATTCCAGCCTGGATGATGTAGTGAGAACCTTGTTTCAAATAGCAAAAGACTAAGCAGCAGGATGGGAAGGGTTAAATAAAGGATGCTGCATCCATACAATGGACTGCCATGGAACTGTACAAAAGAGTAAGGAAGCTCTTAGGGAATGAATCAGAGGGCTTTGGGGTATGTTGTTACCTTAAACAAAAGCAACAACAAAATCCAATGTGTCAAACACTGTGTCTACTATTCTCTCTTTTGTGTAAGAAAGTGAAAATAACATTTACTTGTATCTGTGTAAAGAAACACAACAAATATAAGATACTTACTGAACTAGTTACTTATAAAGGCAGTGAAAAATGGAGTGGAAGGACACAGAACAGGAGCAAATATTCTCAGTGGACATCTTTTAGATTTGAAGTATGTGAATATAGCACCTATTCAGCAATTAAAACATTAAAAAAGTGGTATATTTACCTATTAGCCTTTATCTACATTTGATATTTATTTCTGCCCCTGGAAAGATGGCTTATGGATTTATAATATTCTGGCTTATGGCTTTATAATATTCTGGTACTTAGCAATCAGTCAATCAATGGATCAATTGACCATCCATCCATCCATCCATCCATCCATCCATCCATCCATCCATCCATCCATCCAATTATTCATCTATGTGCCAGGTGCTGGGCTAGCCACAGGTGAAATAATTGAGAAAATTAAAGGCAGGCATAGTTCCTGCGTTAAGTCTAGACAGAAAAACAGATTAGTCAAACCACCCTACAAATATGCTAAAAATGTCAGCCATGCTATAAAAAGTGTAATATATATATATGTATATGTATATATATATATATAGAGAGAGAGAGAGAGAGAGAGAGACTGAGTTATTCTGGGATGGGGTAGGCAGGGCATGTTAGGAAAGGTTTTCCTGAGGAACTGGCTTCTGCGCTTCAGGAAATGCAGGAAGTAATAGGCAAAGAGAGGGAGGAAAGGTGGAGGGGACAGTATTTGCAAAGGCTCTGAGGCAAGATGGAGCACAATATTTGATGAACCCAAAGAAAGCCCGTGTGGTTGCTGCGTAGGGACTGAGGAGATGGGGCGGATATGTTAGAGAGGGAGGGGTTACAAACATGCAGGATCTTGTCAAGCATGAGGGATTTTGTGATGAAAACTGGATTGGAACCCACTAGAGAGGTTTAGACTACAGTGGAACAATATGATCCCATTAATTAATTAATTTATTTATTTATTTGAGAGGCGTCTCACTGTTGCTCAGGGTGGAGTGCGGTGGCATGATCTTGGCTCACCGTAACCTCCACCTCCTGGGTTCAAGCGATTCTCCTGCCTCAGCCTCCCGAGTAGCTGGGATTACAGGCACATGCCACCACGCATGGCTAATTTTTTATATTTTTAGTAGAGACGGGGTTTCACCATATTGGGCAGGCTGGTCTTGAACTCCTGATCTCAGGTGATCCACCCACCTCGGCCTCCCAAAGTGCTGGGATTACATTTATGTTTTAAGAAGACCACTGAGGACTCTTTAGAGAATGATGGGCGTGTGGAGCAAGAGTTGACTCAAGGAGACCAGCTGGATGGTCCATCGTTAAAGAGTAGGCAAAATGTGACCTTTACTTGGACCAGGGTGGACATTAGGGTTAAGAGAAGTGGATGGATTCAAGAGAAAATGAAACCAAGAAGACTGGGTGATGTGGTTGTATAGGAGTGAAGGAGAGAAGTTGTCAAACATGGATAGGTTTCTGATGAGTACAATGGAAGAAATGGGGTTTCCATTTCCTGAAAACAACAACAACAACAAACCCACACATTAGGGCAGGGTGTTTTCTGGGGAACACGTTGAGTATGAGGGTTCTTGGGCTTTCTGGCAGTTGCCTGTTTTCTTCTGGTTCCTCTGAAGGCTTAGCTGTTAGTCTTCCTTCATGTTTTATAATTCCTTTGTTTTTAAAGGGCTGCCCTTCTATTGCTACTCTCTTCACTGCTTCCGTATTTACAGGGATCTTTTCCTTTATTTTCTCTCGGCCTTCCACAGAATGATTTTGGTAACTTGAGACTACCTTGGGGAATGCAGCCATTATATTTTCAGTCTCTCTGTGTGGCAACACTACCACCGATATTTTCACAGGTTCTCGGTTTGCTAGTGCTGTTTTTGTTTTTTCCTTCTCAACCTTGAAAATACAACACTAACACAATTTTTTGCATCCATGGAAGAATCAGTGGCATCATTGGAAGTTTCCTAAGGGGAACACTTTTCTGTATGAAAAGGAAAGGATGGGAAATTGCTTTATGATTCAAAAGCTGGCATAAACATTTGTTATTATTTTTTTAATCGTGGTTTATTCCTGCATAAGTTATCCAACCATGGAGCCACATTCAGTCAAGGGCATTGTGACCTCTGTGGGGAAACAGAACAACCTGAACACCTGATGCAAACTTTCTGGCCTGAAGGCAGCTCCAGTGACTGATTTCCAACAGATCTGTAAGGACAGCTTGTTTAGAAGTTGTGTCTGCTCCTAGCACAGGTCCTGCAAGGTCTGTTTTTCAAGGAATGAATTCTTTCCATGTTTCTGAATGGAATGGATAGCTACACTTTCATTTGGTCGGTAGTGAGGTATAGGCATGGAGAGATGACAGTTGGTGAGAGAATGAAGCATGAGAGTTTAACAAGGGCCTAGGCAGGCTCAGATTGCTAGCCTTCAGGTGTATTCTATTGGGCACTATGGAGGATATGAGAATGGCCTCAGATCTATGACTGCAGTTGGCATCGTTGACCAACAGCCCCAGCTGCTGTGCTTTGAAATCCATCACTGATCGGCCCGAGACCTTGCTTTTCATGACTGAGCAAGGTGGGATACCCAGACAGGCCTGTTTCTGGGAGAGGTGATGCCTCTGACTGTGGCTTGATGCCTCCCAACTGGCCTTGTAGAACTTCCTGGAGAAATGCACTGTAGTTGAGGAAGCATCTAATTCACCTTGCTTCCTTCCCTCTCTCCTTCATGCAGGTCAGACCTACACGATGGTCTAACATCTCTAGTAGCCTGCTCCTCATGTTGTCTCTGTTATGGACTGAATGTCTTTGCCCCCCAGATTCATATGTTGAAACTCTAATCTCAATGTGATGGCCTTTGGGAGGTGATTAGGTCATGAGGGTGGAGCCTCATGAATGGTATTAGTTCCCTTTAAAGACACTCAGAGAGTTCTTTTGTCCTGTCTTGCCATATGAAGATGTAACAAGAAGTCAGCTGCCTGCAACCCAGAAGAGAGCCCTCCCCAGAACCTAACACTGCTGCTGGCATCCTGATGTCCAACTTTCAGCCTCTGGCACTGTGAGAAATCATGTTCAGCTGTTAATAAGCCACCTAGTCTATGATATTTTGTTATAGCAGCCTGAATAAGAGACTCATAGGCGCTTCTCTTAATAAATTACTTGTACATTGAATCCTGCCCTGGTTTATGCTTTTCAGAAGATCCTGACTTGATTAAAAATTCAGAAGATTCCTTGATTAAAAAAAGTGGGCAGGCATGGTGGCTGACACCTGTAATTCCAGCACTTTGGGAAGCTGAGGCGAGTGGATCACTTGAGGTCAGGAGTTTGAGACCAGCCTGGCCAAAATGGTGAAACCACGTCTCTACTAAAAATACAAAAATTAGCTGGGTGTGGTGGTGCATGCCTGTAATCCCAGCTACTTGGGAGCCTGAGGCAGGAGAATTGCTTGAACCTAGGAGGTGGAGGTTGCAGTGAACTGAGATTGCGTCACTGTGCTCCAGCTTGGGTGACAAAGGAAGATTCTGCCTCAAAAAAAAAAAAAAAAAAAATTTAGAAGGTACACATGCAGTCCCACTGTCTTACCCCTTCTGTCTTGTATTCAGCCTGGTTCACATGTTTATGTTACATGTCTGACTTCTGTAGGTGTTTGATTTTATTTCCTAGGTCTTGTATTATCTTTTATAGAATAGTAGAGACAGAGAAATAGGGAAGGATTGACAAATTGGGAAAATATGACTCTGTTGGTGTATTAGGGTTCTCTAGAGGGGCAGAACTAATAGAAGATACGTATATATATGTATATGTGTGTATATATATAAATATATGTATATGTGTATATATATGTATATGTGTGTGTGTGTGTGTGTGTGTATATATATATATATATATATATATATATATATATATATATATATATATATGGTCTGAGTCCTAAAACTGAAGAACTTGGAGTCTGATGTCTGAGGGCAGGGAGCATCCAGCACGGGAGAAAGACGTAGGCTGGGAGGCTAGGCCAGTCTTTCCTTTTCACGTTTTTCTGCCTGCTTTTTGTTTGTTGGCAGCTGATTAGATTGTGTCCTCCAGGTTAAGGGTGAATCTGCCTTCCCCACCCTACTGACTCAAATGTTAATCTCTTTCGGCAACACCCTCACAGACACACCCAGGATCAATACTTTGTATCCTTCAATCCAATCAAGTTGACACTCAGTATTAACCATCACAAGTTATATGAAGTTAAACTTTTTGATCTTTTGAAATTTATCAAATTTGGATATCATTATCATTCAACATACGAATGATCCATCTAACTTTTACATTTTAGCAATTCATTTAAATTTTTTCTATTTTAATTTAACCTGTGAGTCTATGGAGTTTTCTCAAAATTAGAAAGTTATAGAATTAATGATGCATTTTGCCTTTTGTTAATACACATAATTGTTGAATAGCCAAGTTCTCTTCAGTATTTGTAAAGCCTTGGGTTTTATGTCCACGAATCCTGACTCTGCCCTTGGGAAGAGGTGGATTAAACAATTCCCTTTTGGTACATGGTGCACATGTAGTAGAAATTGTCATATGACTTCAGTAAATAACTTTCTGAAGTTTCCAAACAACAAAAATAGCTTCCCAACAACAAAAGTAGTTTCCCAGCTACTCTTATTAGCTGGGAAAATTTATTAAATTAGCTTATTAAAATTTCCAGTAATTATTTTTATAAAAGAATTTTCTGTATTATTTCTTTCCTTCAAAGCAACTAATCAGCTCAATTATTCTCCTTGATTTGGGATTTATTAGAATCTAAGCTTTGTTGTTGCTGTTGTTAGCCAGAAAGAGATGGCCACACCTCTATCAAGTTGGGAGAACAGAACCATTAGACAGAGTGGATTTTCTCCACCTTAGAAAGTTTTCCCTCCACAAAGAACATGAATGCATCCAGGACCAACTACGTAATTTTTAGGGCTCAGTACAAAAAGAAAATGTGGATCTGCTTGTTGAAAAAGCAGAGAAAAAAATGCTGCTAAAGGTACTAAAATATAAAGTTTTTCTTTTGGTTTTATGAATCTCTTCTGCTCATATGCATGCTCCACTGTCCCAAGTTCAAAGGTAAAATTGGAAAGAATTTCCAGACGGCCACAGCAGAGCATGAAACCAAGCTTGGGACTCTTCTGAGTATGGGACCCTGGGTGTGACTACAGCAGTTCCCATGGAGCTGGCCCTGGATACAACTCACCAGCAAGCCACGAGCAAGCTAGAAGCCAGAGGGAACATTACCCCTCTTCCCTCTGGAGTTTCAGGTGGAGGTGTGGGCAGGGATCATGGTAGCTGCCTGAGTCTGGGCTCCCAGGTGACATGGAAGGCACGGTGCTTTGTATCTGATGTTGGAGAACAGGAGCAGTTTTTCTCTCTCTTCTTTGTTCTCGACTCACCTGGGCAGTGGCTTCACCACACTGTCTATCTTTGTGGAGAGAAGGGGAATGACTTGCTCATGATGGGCAGCGGTATTTTGACTTTCCATTGTAAATACTTGATGTATACGTCTCATTATATTTATTGAGTGCTGGCTCTATGTTGGCTTCTGTTCTAGGTGTTGCTGGGATCTTCCTGTCCTCATGGAGCTTACATTCTCATGGTGGGGAGGCGTGGAATAATCAAAAGGGAGGAGTAGACCCAATGTAAAGAATGTCAAGCATGGGAGTGCTATGGAGGAAAGCAGGGTGGAGAAGGGATGCAGATGTCGGGGCTGCTGGTTTATAGTTGTCAGTAGGGTGGTGAGGGAAGGTCTCACCAAAAGGTGACACTTGATGATGAACTGAAGAAGATAAAGGAGAGAACCATGCTGACCTCTGGGAAAGAGTGTCCGGGACAGTGACAGTCAATGCAAAGATTCTGTGGTGGGAGCAGAGAACTTTGTTCTTCATTGACCTTGCATGAGTTTTTGGTGTGATTTTAGCACATGAAGATCTATGTGAAAACATTCTTTCCCTCTTTTTTAAGGAGAAAAGCAGTCCTTCTGGTACTGGCTGGGTGTGGTGGCTCACACCTGTAATCTCAGCACTTTGGGAGGCCAAGACAGGAGAATTGCTTGAGTCCAGGAGATTGAGACCAGCCTGAGCAACCTACGGAGACCCCCCTCTCTACCAAAAAAAAAAAAAAAAAAAAAGAAAAATAGTACGCCTCTGTCCTTGCAGTTAAAGATGAACAAGGAAGAGTTCCAAAGCCTTGATTGAATGCGGCTTCGTCTCCTCCAGCAGCCGCACAGCTGGGCTCTGACGTCGAGGAACTTCTATAGACAGATCTCTCTTATTAAAGGACATTTCTTATTAATGGCTGACTTCAAAGCAAACTTAAAAAAAATCCAATCGATTTCTCATTTATTACATTTTGTTTTGTAAAAGATTTTATGTCAGTGATTGCAGAATGAAGGTGCCAATAGTAAAATAATTGGTTTATAAATGGAAAGTTAATTAGGCATTCCCCTTTACATCGTCCTCTCCAAGGTCAGGGCATGACTGAAATGCAAAGAAAACACATTTGTACAGCAGGCAGATGAGAGGCTCACGTGGAGGGCTGTTAACCTTGGGGCTTGCCTCCTCAAGTGTTGAAGCAAATGGCTTGATGAGCTTCAAAGGAACGGGACATTATTGTACCTGGGAATATAAGAATGGTGTCTGCAGTTACATTAATTGGGATAACAATTATGAAAGCTTGAGAAGCCTCAAATTTCAGAGCCCACTCTAATCCCCAGGAAGACTTTTCCCTGGGTGGATATAATATTGCTATATTCCAGGTGCATTCCTAAGATGTATTACATTTCTCAGACTTACTTTGTATAGGCCATTGCCAGGGGCAGGTTTGGGGGTGGCCAGAAGATTCTTTGGTTTCAGCCAGGCAACTCTCTGCCTCCCTGGAGGGTTCATGTACTTGGGGAAAGCCAGGGTCAAAGTAGACTTGACATTTGTCTGGAAGCATGAGCTCCATGTCCTGGTTTCAGTGAAACAAAAGGCAGGAATGCAAAGATCTGTTTCCTGGAACTGTTCGTATTTACACAGTGATAACGTATTTCTTCATGTTGTTGACCCAGATGTAGTTGTATCTTGCCTGGTGACAGAGTCTGCTTTGTTGATTGTCTGCTTTGGAATTTTCTGGGCTTCTGTTGAACATGGGACTATGTTTTCCTGGAAAATAGAATATTAAAATAGTTGACAATTCTCCCATAAGTGGAGCTGCGTTCCAAGAACAGCAATGTAGGTAATCCTACCTGATTCACCTCTAGATCTCTACTTTGAGTTTCTGTTGGTGGCAACAAAGCTATCATGAGAAACAACATCCTTCACCTTTGAAAAAGAAAACTTCCATTAAAAAAAAAGCAGGAAGCTTTTTAAAAAATTATCATTGAAGGCTGTTGTCTGATCCTTACTTTAGGGGAAAAACCTTGCAATGTAACAAAAATATCAATGGGTTTACATGAGCGATTCCAAACTCCTTGCAGAAAAACTCTTAGATAGCATTTGGAAGTGTCATTATGGCAGAAGTATATTGAATAACCATGCTCATCTCAATCAGTGATGTTTCTGTATTCACATGGGCCTTGACTTTTGAAGCCTTTAGAGAAGGAAGAGTTGGCATATATTAGACACCAAAGTTTTTGCCAGCTGAATGTGTCATTCTTTCCTTTATCTCTTTACAGGAAATGTTTAGTTATTAAATTCATTGATATTTCCTGAAATGATATTGCTATTTCCCATCTGAAGGACCATAGAGGTGAGCCTCTAGAACATTGTCCCTGAAGATGTTCATGTGATGATTCTAGCACTTACGTCCTCCACAATCTTTCTTTTCTATCGGGCAGTGGCACAGAGGCATTGGGTCTGACATGAAAAGCAAAAGCATGCATAGCCTTTGCCCTGATCCTTCCCACTAGGAAGCCATTTCCTTCCCTCCAGAAACCACTGCCAGTTTTGGACAATCTCCTGCTGATGTTGTTATCATGGGGGACAGAGAGGAAATGGGACAGGAATGTGCTAGAGCTTCTAGCCCCTGCATTTCTGCTTGATTGGCCAAAAGTGATGGACAGACACAGCATTTTGGCTGATTTTGGCACAGAAAATGAAGGGAAGCTGGGCAGGACACCCAGCACAGACCCATGCACTTCATCCATAAAGAAAAACAT
This sequence comes from Homo sapiens, assembly GCF_000001405.40. NCBI lineage: Eukaryota > Metazoa > Chordata > Mammalia > Primates > Hominidae > Homo > Homo sapiens. The sequence goes on along the minus strand of NC_000021.9, from coordinate 35,952,649 downwards.
ATTTCTTTAAGTTAAATTAACTTCAGAAGCATGAGCCAGGATGACTCAGTTGGAGTTATGAGGTTCCCAGTTATTGGCTCTAGTGCTACAAACTGGCCCTTACCTCTGTCCTTTCACATCAGGTCCTTCTTCCCTATTTCAATGTCCGTGGGTCTGGAAATGAGTTCATATCTCGTCTGAGAATTTCTACAACTGCCGGAGGCTCACAGGTTTGTTGGAAACTCACAGATGAAAGCACCCGGAAGCTTTTATCTCTCTGCTGAAATGTCTTCCCTGAGGACACACACATAGTGTCATTGTGACCTTTAATCTTAATTCCTAATCATTTTTTTTTTTTTTGAGACAGGGTCTCGTTCTTTTGCCCAGGCTGGAGTGCAGTGGCATAATCTCGGCTCACTGCAACTTCTACCTCCTGGTTTCAAGGCCTCAGCTTCCCGAGTAGCTGGGATTACAGGCACCTGCCACCTCACCTGGCAGTTTTTGTGTTTTTAGCAGAGACGGGGTTTCATAGTGTTGGCCAGGCTAGTCTCGAGCTCTTGACCTCAAGTGATCCATCCATCTTGGCCTCCCAAAGTGCTGGGATTACAAGTGTGAACCACTGCGCCCGGCCAATCCTTTTCTTATCACAGAATAGTTTTGATCACTGGAAAACTGCCAGCTTCTCCAGGAAGCCAGATCTTTTGGAAATCATGTAAAAACACCAACAGCAATTACAAAACTAGCAACACAAAATGGGTTAAAAAGTCTTAATGTAGATCTATTCCTATTGGCTTTTTTGACAGTAGCTGAGAGAGGCTTAGAAACTATGATTTCAGGTTCAACGACACATGGCAGAGTGTATTTGGGGAGGAGAGGCTGCAGGTGAAATTCCAGGGCAGAGGGCCCTTACTTCTCAGGCAGCAGCTACCTGGCCATGGGTTGGTCACACTTGTGTTTGAACAGTGGGCATCGCTCAATCTGAGACAGTTCATGGGGAGTCAGGATGGTCTTTAAGGTTCTTCTTTATCTCTTCTTCTGCCTCTTGACTGGCTCCACTCTTCATCTTCCAAAAGGATAATCCAAGGGGTCACATCATTAGTGCACACTACTGTGCACCCCATTGGTCAGCACAGACATAGGGTGGAAGGATCGGGGGTGACTACTGGCTCATTGAGAAGCTCTAGTTCGCACTGATTCTCGGTCCTCACTTGGCCACGCATAGCAGAGGGTCTTTTGCAGATAGGCAGTGTCTCCAGGGCCCTCCCAGGATGGCTTACCTTGGAGAATTTGCCAGGCTTGGGTTTGGCCCTAGGCTGGCAGGCTCAGAGAAGATTGGCTGAACACATTAAGAGATGGTTTTGTTTCTCTCTCTAGCACAGACACACACCTCTCTCATGAGACTCAAGTGTAAAACCGGATCTCCAATCCATTGATTTTTTACAAGAAATGTAACTGCACAGAGCCTGGATTCTCAAAAATGCCAGGCAGGTCTGATTACCTGGGGAATGAAATCACAATCAGAAAGAAGTGTGATCAGCTTGGATTCAGAACTGGGGATATCAGTGGCAAAGGTTCAGTCAGAATAATGTATGCTTTCTGCAGTGGATTGAATGGTGAGCCACTCAAAAGGTGTGTCCACCTGAACCCTATAAATGTGACCCTATTTGGAAAAAGAGTCTTTGCAGATGTAATTATGTTAAGGATTTCAAGATGAAATCATCCTTGATTAGGTGTGCCCTAAATCCAGTGTCAATTTACAAATTCTATATCCTTACAAGAGAAGAAAAGAAGGCCATGTGAAGACAGATGCAGAGATTGGAGTTCTGAAGCTACAAGCCAAGGAGTGTCAAGGATTCCTGACAGCCCCCAGAAGCTAGAAAGAGGCATGGAATGCACTGTCCCTCAGAGCCTGTAGAAGTAGCCAACCCTGATGACACCTTGATATCAGATTTCTGGCTTCCAAAACTGTGAAACCATACAATTCTGTTGTTTTTAACCACTCAGTTTGTGCTAATTTGTTATGGCAGCTCTAGGAAATTAATACACTCTTTCATTTAGATAGAGCTGCCCCTGGGCCAGGCAGCTGGAGTCCTTGGGCCAGCCCCTTCCCTGCACAGTGCTTAGATGGGGCCTGCCAACATTTGCCCACAGGCTGGGCAGATTCCATGGCTGGCCACTCTAGTTTACAAGGAGCACATTTTGTCTTTCGACATGGTAATCCAACCCCATGGGTGGATTGCTGGACTGGGAGCTATTCTTTCTCTTAAACCTGCCATTTACATGTATCATCTGATGGTTTTGCAGCTTAGCTATCCAAGTGGCCACCTTATTCCCCAAACGTTCTTGGGGACAGTGATGAAAGTGGAAGATATACTTCTGCAGAAGTATATTTCACAAGGACTCAAAATACCTTGTTTGCATGTTTTACTTCTATGCACATTTTCCCATAAAGTCTTGCCAGCCCCGCTTGGTTCCAGGACTTGTCTATTCTCCTGGGGCTTTAGTAGTGAAATCAATGTGTGGTACAGAGTCCACCTCATCAGTAGTTACTGGGTACTGAATAAAAGAAAAAGCAGGGTAAGATTCTCTAAGATTGGGTATAACTTTCTCTCCAGGGCCAAACCCATCCCTCCGGTCTTCTTCAAAGAAGGTACTGATTTAAATTTCTTTCCTAATTAAACATTTTTCTAAGAAACATGTTTCATGGAAGATGGGATGCTTGTGCAGATAGGAGTTGCTCTTCTGGTGATGAGATGGGATGAGGATGGTGCGGGTTTGGGGAATGCATGTGCACAGGTGTGGGGCTGTCACATTGGCTGCAGGAGTGGGGACGGAGCCAGCAGGGATGACCAGAAAGGCCTGGAATATGCATGAGCAGTTCTGACTGTCCTTGGTAAGTGACATGGAACCATTGGAAAGGATTAGGCCAGGTAATATCATTATCAGATTTGATTTTTTTTAAATTAATCCATTTATTTATTTATTCATTCATTCATTCATTTATTCATTCATTTTAGAGATAGGGTCTTACTCTGTCACCCAGGCTGGAGTGAAGTGGTGCAATCATAGCTCATTATAACCTCAAACTCCTGGGCTCAAGTAATACTCTTGCCTCAGCCTCCCAAGTAGCTGGGACTACAGGCACCCACAACCATGCTCAGCTAATTTAAAATTTTTATTTATTTATATTTTTTGTAGAGACAGGGTCTTACTGTGTTGCCTGGGCTGGTCTTGAACTCCTGGCCTCAAGTGATCTCCTGACTTGGCCTCTGAAAGCATTGGGATTACTGGTATAAGCTACTGTGCCCTACTGGACTTGAATTTTTGAAGTCCATCTGAATTGGTTGGGGTGGGATAGGGTGGAGGAGGCAGGGAAAGCAGCAAGCAGACTATGGAAGTGAATAGGAAGTATCTATGTGGAATTTGGTCTTGAGTTGCAAAGCTTTAGCATAGTCCACATTTCAGTGCATGCCCCATTGCCTTTTCCATTCATCTTGCAAAGATGTCGTAAAACATCTTTCAAAGATGAGATAAAAGTAGAAAGGAACATGCAAAAGCAGTAAAAATAGTTAGTGTTATAGCAGCTCATTCAGTGACATTTCATTATCCTGGGCAAACCAGTACAACTGACCTTTTCACACAAGGCAGCTGGGAGTAGGAGCAGGAGGAATGGATAGGGATGGGAAAGGCAGTGTCCCATGGACTGTATCACTTGGGGCCTGACTTTGCAACCTTTATAGGAATCTGTGATCCAGATGCCTTGTTAAAGCCAAAATAAATTTTATACACCATTAAACCAATGTTGGTTACCAAGTATTTTTGGAAGGACGATTATGCTTCCATAACATGTATTAAAACCAAAAATAGGCATAAAAAGATTCAACAATTGGGAAAGAAGTAGCCCCACTCTTCCAAGGATCTAGGGCCACATTCTCATGGCATCTTATGTTTCTAGCAGTATGCATGGCACATGGTGGCTGCCCGTTACATTAAAAATATAATGAATATAGGGAACCCTCAAAGCCCATTAAGGATTTCTTAGCTGTTTGCCAGGGTACAGTTTTTTCTCTTTTTCTTATATCACACAACTAGAATTATTCAAGCTGAATAGAACTAATCAAACATTTGCCTTTACAAATACAAGGGACTTCTACCCTGTACTCTGTCTGGTTGTGCCTGCATATGCCTTTGTTTTTCTTGGTCATTTGAAAACACAGGCTGAACCCTGAGTTTGGAACCCATTTTGCCCCTTTCTCCTTTTTTTTTTTTTTTTTCCTTGTTAGCTGAGATTGGGAAGTAGAATGCTGAATAAATAGAAACTCATTCTGGGGCTCAGGGCTCTTTAGGAGGTAATTCTGACCTCCAGCCACTTACAGAATATTGGTAATTTGACCTCGACTTGATTTCCGCATAAGCTGTCATTTTATACACTCAGAGAAAGCAAGAGAGGACATAAACGAAGAGGATATATTTCTAGTGGCACACTAAAACAGAATCAATTACCAAAAACTATCCTTGCTGAAGTGATAACACCTCATATATTTTCTTTAATTTTTGTTTGCAGTTGTATATCTTGAGCTTCTATGGGTTCCAGTACACAGTTTGTAATAACTTTTGGGGTTGGTTATAAAATTTTCCTAATGGGCTAGCAGCCTGGTATGTAAAATTAATTGGATATTCATATACTTATAAAGTAGATATATAATTGTTAAATGGTTAAGATACAATGTAACTTTTTTCTCTGATTAAAAAAGTAATATAAGCTTATTTTAATAAATTGGGAAAATACAGAAACATGCTGGAATTGCCTGGAACTCATCATTCAGCTATAATGACCATTATTTAAAGTATTTCATTTTTTGTGCCTTTACAGAATAATTGTGTGTGATTATACATATATTATGTAATAGATAATTCTGAATTCTACTGTTTACCCCTTAACATTGTTGTACAAATATTTTCCCCATGTTATTGAATATTCTTGGACTATAGTAGGAATGGTTAAGGCTTTAATTGGTCAATTAATAAAGTTATTTGATCCTTGGCATGGCAAGATGTTTGGTGCTTCCACGCGAACACCGCATAAAGGATTCTTTTCTTGTTGTTTATTAAAAATAAAGATATCTCTATTTCATCCACAGGGCGATAGCTGTTTGAAGGCAATTAGGATCTATATGTTCTGTATTAAGAAAAATATTGTCAGATATCTGGAGCTACCTTTTCTGTTTTTTAAATTTATATCTTGTACATTTTCTTTTTTCTCCTGGTAGATCAAAATCATAGAAGTAATCAAACCTCAGTAAGAAAGGTAATTCCTACAAATCTGGAGGGTTTAATTCAAGCTGGTGTGGAATATAAATGCAATATTTTACAGAGTGCAAATCATCCTTGATCCTCGTATATATCCCTTTCCACGGCACCAGCCCCAGAATGGCGATCACTGAGCATATAGGGGAGTGAAATTTAAGGGGGCAGAGTGGAGTGTTCATAGGTAAGTGACCAGAGGTTGCACAGAGGTTTGGGGTACATAGGCCTATAGTTACTTTCAAGGGAAGGCTTGAGGTCAAGGACAACGATAAGAGTATACAGGGAAGGCTGGGCGTGGTGGGCTCACACCTGTATCACAGCTACTTGGGAGGCTGAGACAGGAGGTTCTCTTGTGGCTGGGAATTCAAGACCAGCCTGGGCAACATAGTGAGACCCTGTCTTTAAAGATAATAATAATAATAAAAGAATATACAGGGAAGGACTTCTGCTTTTTCAGGGTAGCACCCTCAGGTTCAACTGCCTTCATTTGCTACACCTCTGCCAATTAGGCAAAGGGTTAATCTAGGTGGAAGGGAACCTGTGGAAGGGGAACATACCCCTGTCCCAGGTTTTAATAAAATAGGCCTCAGTGGTGATGACTGTCAACCTCGAGGGGGCGGGGGTTAGAAATAGAATTGCTAGAGCAAGGGGCTTCCTTGCCTGTTCAGGGCTGGCCAGGGGAGCTGAGCTGGATGGGACTTTTCTTGGCTTCAGTGGGCAGGTGACCCCAGTGGCAGAGTGGGGACTCTCTCAGGGTCTCCTCAGTCAGCAGCAAGTCAGATGGGAGGAAGGAGAAGGGAAATGGATGTTTGCTGAGCTGTGTGGCTTGGCCCTTCCTCTGTGGGAAGCAGGGAGTTTAGGCACCACTCACCCTCGGCCTGAAGTGGCTGCTCTGTTGATGAACGACCTCAGGCCTCCACTCAGAGCATGTGGACCCTCTTATGCCAAGAGTGGGGTTCTGCTGGTCTTGCCTGGGGGCACTGAGCTCCCTGTCTCTGCCCATTGTCTAGCATCTGCTCACTGTCCAGCTTATATGAGTTCTTTGCAGGGTTGTTTCCTTCTGAGGGCTGTGAGGAGAATCTGTTCTGGGCCTCTGTACTTGACTTGCAGATGGTCATCTTCTCTCTCTCTCTGTCCCCCCCTTCTCTCTCCCTCTCTCTCTCCCTCTTTCTTTCTCTCTCTCTCTCTTTTTTGAGACAGGGTCTCTATCTGTCACCCAGGCTGGAGTGTACTGGCATGAACATGGCTCACTGCAGCCTTGACCTCATGGGCTTAAGTGATCCTCCTGCCTCAGCCTCCTGAGTAGCTGGGGCCACAGGCACGCGCCACCATACCCAGCTGATTTTTTAATATATTGTAGAGATGGGGGTCTCCCTATGTAGCCCAGGCTGGTCTTGAACTCCTAGGCTCAAGCAATCCTCCTGCTTTGGCCTCCCAAAGTGTTGGGATTACAAGTGTGAGCCACTGCAACTGGCCCCTGTGTCTTTTCAAATTATCTTCCCTCTATGTGTGTCTGTTTCTGTGTCCAATTTTCCCCTTTTTTGTAAGGACAGCAGTAGTATTGGATTAGAACCGACACTAATGACATCATTTTAACTTGATTACTCCATAAAGATCCTATTTCAAATTAAGTGCTAGAAGTTAGAATGCCAGCATGTATTTTTTGAGGGGACACAAACCCGTAACAGACCCCCATCCCCCACCTACTCGTACCCTAGTGAGTTCAGGAAGTCCTTCAAGCTATCACTAAATTATGATTTTCCACTCAGTGTATCTCTGAAGTAAAGGTTGAATTAAGCAGCAGGTTCTTTGAAACACTTTCACTTTGAAGGAATGATTCAGCATTGCTTCTTTATCTGGAGATATGGTACTGTTGGATGCATCTTCTCTCCACGTCTGTTCGTATCAGTGCAAAAGGGAAAATGAAGATAAGTTTTTTCTTTTTTTTAAGTAATAGAAGATAATTCAGGATCCATCTGGGTTTAAGATGGAATGAGCTGGCTGCTGGTTATCTCTATGGATCAGCTTGCTGGGGGTCATGGTAGCAGTAACTGTACCGCTCAAGTCTGTGCCAAGACACCACCTGTGGAGCTTCTCACTCAGCTCCTGGGCTTTCGGCCTCCATGAGCTCTAGTTAATTCTCCATGTGGGCTCCAGCAATGTTGAAAAATGGAATAGCAGCTATCTTAGTCCATGTTGTACTGCTAAAACAGAGTGCCCGAGACTGGGCAATTTATGAAGAATGGCAATTTATTTCCTCACAGTTCTAGAGGCTGGGAAGTCCGAGATCAAGGCACTGGTGGGTTGGATTGTCTGGTGAGGGCTGCACTCTCTGTTGGGGAGGGAAGTTGTGTCCTCACTTGGTGGAAGGTAGAAGAGCAAGTTACAAACACTGCTGTGTGAAGCCTCCGGGGCCTTAAACTCATTCATGAAAAAGGGGTTCTTATGGCTTAATCACCTCTTAAAGGCCCCCACCTCCAAATATCATTTTACTGGCTGTTAACTTTCAACACCTGAATTTTGGAGGGAACACGTTCAAACCATAGTGGCAGCCTAGTGCAGCATGAAGAGAGTAGAGTCTGGAGCCAGGCTAACTGGGTGGTAACCAGCTGTGGGACTCTGAACAGGGACTTACCCTCTGTATGTGTCAGCTCTGCATCTGTAGAATGGGAACAATACTAATATCTATATTTATATCATGGGGTTGGCCAGGCACAATGTCTTATGCCTGTAATCCTAGCACTTTGGGAGGCTGAGGTGGGTGGATCTCCTGAGGCTGGGAGTTCGAGACCAGCCTGGCCAACATGGTGAAACCCTCTCTCTACTAAAAATACAAAAATTATCTGAGTATGGTGGCATGCACCTGTAATCCCAGCTACTCAGGAGGCTGAGGCAGGAGAATCGTGTGAACCCAGGAGGCAGAGGTTGCAGTGAGCTGAGATTATGCCACTGCACTCCAGCCTGGGCAACAGAATGAGACTCTGTCTCAAAAAGAAAATTATACGATGGGGTCGTTAACAGGATGAAATGAATTGATATATGCTAAGCGCTTAGAACAGGGCCTGGCACATAATAAGCACAATATGAATTTTTTAGGTAAAAATAAAGATTGAAAGCTTTCTCAGTGCCGGGCACTGTGATAAGGACTTTAAACGCGGTACTATAATGATGCTAGGGGATTGGTTGCTATGATCCCTACTCAAAGGCAGGAAACAAACTCAGAGAGGTGAAGGGACTGTTCAAAGTCAAGAGCTAATAAGGCAGAGCCAGGCTTTAAGAGAGGCGTGTCTGATCCCCACCTGACCTCATCACCACCTGCGATGCTGCCTGCAGATGCAGCCTGAGAAATGGTTTTGTTCTGCGAATAAATGAGCCAACAAACACTTGCTGAGTGTCTGTCATGAGGTGACAGGTTCATGACACACTTGAACAGAATACTGATGACATTTATAAATAAAAGGCTTATTTACACTTGAATGTCAGTTCTAATAATTCATGTGAACTATGCTTTGCCACCTTCTCTACATTTACTAGTATTAAGAGTAAATAAAGAGGTTCATGGATTTCACCCCATTTGAATTTTGAATTGAGCTTCTCTAAAAGGTTTCAGTGATTACTTACTACTGAGTAGCTGAATATCTTCCTTAACCTTACAGATAATTATTTTTATTATGGATCCATTAATAGGCTTCAATACATTAGAGTTCTTCTCTCTTGTTGAGTATTCACTCACCTGTGTATCTGATGCAGATTCGAGTTCAACATGATTGAAGGTGGAAGGTAAAAGGCAGAAGGCACGTGTGATCCATTTACCTTGGACAACAAGTACATGGCCTACAAGGTGTCCACAATGACCTCTGGGAACCACGGACAGGGCCAACATATAATCACGGGGCTATGCAAGGATCTGCGTCCCGTGCTTACACTGACGCTGCAACTGAACAGTTAAGAAAGGTGTGTTGGTGGAGAAAACATTCCGACAGGTAAATTGCTATGTAACATATTATCCAGACCAAAGCTCTTCAGAATAAAAAGAGAGTGCTAATAACAATTATGCCAGGGCAATAGGAGTAACTGGGATTGTCCTGGCCAATGGGGTGATGGCCACCCCAACTACAGTCTACCAGGATGACAGAGCACTGGGTGCAGACCCAGGAGAGGTGGGGAGGAGTGGCACGAGATCCTTGCTGGGGCCTGTGACAAGAGGACAGGCTGGAGCTGTCTGGATGGAGGTCTTGCTGGGCCACTGTTCTGTCCCGATGTGTACGTTCTTATGCTGTTGTGAATAGAGGCATGAGAGAAATCCTGTTTGAAGGTAAATTCTAAGTCTTCCAATTTGATTAATCACCATAACTGTCTTTGTAATTTCTCTGGGTATTTTTCATCTGGAAGCACACTGTCCTTTCTGCTGACACGGCAGCATTGACCTGGCCTCCTTTCTGGGGAGCCGACACTGTTGAAATCAGGGGTGAGCAAGCTTGGTTTAATGACAGTGGCCACCAGTTGTTCATTTATTTCATACAATTCTTCTTATCAAAGGCTGTGTGTGTGTGAGTGTGTAGATATATGATGTGTAATGAGGTACACAGGTAGGGATGTGTGTGTGTGTATGATGTGTAATGAGGAAGTATGTGGGAAGGTGTGTGTGTGTGTGCAGATGTGTGATGTGTAATGAGGAGGTAAGTAGTGGTGTGTGTGTATGTGCAGATGTATGATGTGTAATGAGGAGGTAAGTGTGTGTGTGCAGATGTGTGACGTGTAATGAGGTAAGTAGTGGTGTGTGTGTGTGTGTGCAGATATGTGTAATGAGGAGGTAAGTAGGGATGTGTATGTGTGCAAATGTGTGATGTGTAATGAGGTAAGTAGGGATGTGTGTGTGTGCAAATGTGTGATGTGTAATGAGGTAAGTTTGTGTGTGTGTGCACGCAGGTGTATGATGTGTAATGAGGAAGTAAGTAGTGGTTGTGTGTGTGTGCAGATGTGTGATGTATAATGAGGAAGTAAGTAAGTAGGGGTGTATGTGTGTGCATGCAGGCGTATAATGTGTAATGAGGAGGTAAGTTGGGGTGTGTGTGTTCGTGCTTGCTCATGCTGTGTGTGTGTGTGCACACCAATGTGTATACAGCATGCATGGATCCAATAGGTCTGACCCCGGCCCCATCTCAGTGGCCTATCTGGTTGGTGCCCTTTGTGGGCTCAGCCTGGCCTGGTACTGGTATTCAAAGCCATCTGGAAGACACTGTCGGAAGGAGATGGTGACAGGTGAGCTATTTGAGAGCCATGACTATAGAAAAGGCCAGAAGGAAAGAGGCAGAGCTGAGACAGTCATGAAGTTTTATGGGCTGAGCCCCCTTGCCTTCCTCTGGCCAGCATGGGACTGTGGGGTTTGCTACAGGGCTGCTGGGGTGAGAGAGGCCAATGCAGCTTAGAGAGGGCTGCAGGAGTAACCCTAAAGGTTGGGAAGAAAATGAATGAGGACAAAAAGGCATCAATGGCCATAGCTAAACACATTTAATTTAAAAATCCTGGAAATATTCATTCACCCTTTTAATCTGAAGAGTTGAGATTTTCCCAAAGATAGCCAGTCTACCTTCAGGGCATGTGGCTCATGGTAAGGTCCACGTTGGTCTCATGGTCTCTGTTTTATCCTGATTACCACCCTCATCATAGCGTCTTTTTCTGAAATGTATATAAGGTAGAACTGGAGCTTATTTTTACTTACTGCGTTTACTGAATAATTTAATGTTGCTTAGTCTTCACTTTGAAGATAACGGCAATATCCTGTATTTCTTATTCACCAAAAACCTCAAATAAAATAAACTCTGAGTTGAGTTGCTTTTACTTTCATGGGTCTTACATGACCCGGTGATTTGGGTTGTCACTGGCTCTTCCCAGAAGAAAGGCACTCGACCCTCTCTAGGATTGCTCACAAACTTCTTGACGTGCTCCATGTACAGCAATATTTAATTGTTTTCCTCCTCTTATAACAGAAAAGAAGTGCATGATAGTGTGGTTTGCAATGTGCCATTTTATGTATGCAAAACATTATGATATTCAAAATAAAATACATTCCAAAACTTTCACATATTAATATTTTTTTAGTGGTGGTGGGGAGTAAAGGATTAAAACACACACACACACCACACACACACACACACACACACACAGATTCCTTTGGATGTTAGGTGAGAAAAGTTCCTGCTTTCGTGTCTTTGATAGTAGTTTTGGGGCTTGAATTCAGCATTTTCCAGTTTTGTATTTACTTTTGGTTAGTTTGTGAGCCTAATGTTGGGACTGATTAACTTAAAGAGTAGGATAAAGTTAATTTCTAAAATTATCAGGGCTAAGTTTGTTTTAATTTATTTTGAGAGCACTGTTCTATAATACTCATCCCTTTGGGTTCGGGAAGAAATATGGGAAATTGTTACACAAATCAAAGAAAAAACTTGTTGCATGTATTGCAAGTTTGGAATTGCTGACATAGAATATTACTTTATTTCTAGTGCTTTTGGAAAATTATCTTACAATAGGAAAGCAAATAATTTGGGTTTCCTTTGAGGGATGTTCTCTTTTGAGTGTGAAATTTCGTTTTGCCTTTCATAAATAGAGACAACAGAAAAATTACTCATTACTTAAGGAGATGTTTTTCCATCAGCTTTAAATTATGGAAAATCCTGTCTCTCATGGAAGGATTTTTGTCTTGTTCTTTGTAACCCCTAAATTTAGTGCAGTGCCTTGGACATAATAGATGTTCAATACTTATTCATCAAATAAAGCACAACTTTAGGTGAAGGATCCATGGCCGCCTCCATGTAGTTTGCAGGCTGCACTGTGTTTTTTACTTAGCTGGTCACTAGATGTCCCTCTGTATCCACGCTAAATCTCCATTACTATGCATGCTCATTAATGCACGCAGACACAACCGCTCAGGCTGTGAAGCATTTGAACGGCTCAGTTTTGCCCTTTCACTGGGCATCAGTTACAAGTACTCTAGACTGTTGTACACCTAAGACAAAGCTGGCGATGGTAATGTTAAGTCATTGAAAGAAGAAACAGAGAACAGAGGAGCTGTTTTAATTAGAGAGGTGCTCTTCCCTATACTGGCAATACTGGGAAAATTTTATAGTCAGCACATTTTAAAATTAGCCAGACACGAACTTTAGCCGTTCGCCTGAATACTCATCGCACAGAGTGCTAGAACCCTGCAAGTATTGTTTGGGTTGATGGTGCATTTGCTGAATGGCTTATCTGTGATAATTGGGAGGCAGGATCATCTGTTGTTGAATAGACAGAACCCACTCTGCTAATGCTGCTTTGTGGTCAAACTTTGAGCCGTCAATGTAACTGAAAAGTCACTGTTGGCCTGGTTCTCTAGAGTGTCTGTAATAGTATTCCCCCTACGGGTGTAGACACTGCCTTTAGCAGGAGGATACCTTGCTGAGGAGGCACGGAGAGAGAATGTTTTAGAGGTTGGGATCATGGTAATCTTTATTGTAGTCACTTCTCTTATCCATGTGCTGGGCTATTGGAACCATACTGTCACTGAAAAGGGGGAGTTTTCTTTGGGACAAATCCATTTCTTTGAATAATAATTTTCCCCCTGATTATAAAAGTCATGGATTTCCATTGTAGAAAATTTGGAAAATACAGAAAAGTATTATGAAAACAAGAATTCTTACCATTTTAGAGATCAAACTGAAATCATGTTGAATGTATAACTTTACATCCTCCTTTTAACGTTATATTATGTAATGAACATACTGTATTCCAGATCATTACTCTTCAAAAACTGATTTTTGACAGCAACATACTATTCTACCTTTTGCCTATGCTGCATTTTTAATCATATTTAATCATTTAATATTAATATTTAATCATTTCTCTATCAATGGACACTTAGATATTGTTTCAAATTTTCTTTCAGAAATGATGCTGAAATAAACACTGTTACAGATGCATTGTTCTCACATCTCTGTTTCATTTCTTAGCATGAATTTCTGTAATTGGAATTAAAGGGAGGACGAATGGCTTCTTGACATAGAAGCAAAATGCAACCTTTCTCAGGAAGAGTTCTTCACCCTTCTGGTTATAAACTCATGGCTGGATCAAGGGTCTCTGAAATTAGGATACTATCAGAATTCTCGGAAGTATTTCTCATGTAGCATCTTTTTAGATAAGTCCATGTCAGAGGTGGAAAACTCAGGTTGTTCTGTTTTGCAAACAAGTTCTCCTTGCCTTATACCAGTATCATTTATTTTCTGACAGCTTAACCCTGAGGGTTTCTGTCAGCAAAGGCTGCTTTTTCATACCCTCGTGTATATTTATAGCATCTTCTATCACTTGGAGACATCCGTGAGAGGCCGCCTGTGTGTTTCTAAAGACATCCATTGCTCACTGTGACACTCTCCTCCAATCACTGGTGGGTTTAATGCAGGTGACACATGTGAGGTTTACCTGATTTGCAATTGGGGATCTCAAGGAAGTGTTTTTGGCATGGCCCTTGTAACTATGTTCTTTCACCAGGAAGGACACATTTTATTCCCATTCTAATAAAAGAATCACAATGTAGTGGTTTGAAAGTGTGTCTGTGACCATGCCATTGAGAAAGGAAAAGCCAATGTTTCTATTCAACATTGAAGACAATAGTTTAAAGGCTGTCAGGCAGGAGGAGTCCTCTCTTCCTTGGGAGAGGGTTGGTCTTTTTGTCTATTCAGGGCATTGACTGATGGGATGAGGCCCGCCTACATGAGGGAGGGAAATCTGCTTTACTTAGTCTACTAAGTTCAGTGTTAAACTCCTCCAAAAACACCTTCATGGAAACACCCAGGGTAATGTTTAACCAAATGTCTGGGCACCTTCTGGCCCAGTCAAGTTGACACATAAAATTAGCCATTACGGTTAAGTAATATATCCTTTGAGTTTCATCCTTCTTATTTATTTGTATTGTCTTCTATGGTTGTGCTAAATATTTTTAAATAACACAGCAAACACATGTTACAGCTGTCATGTTCCCAAAGTGCTGATAGCATATCCTTTCTGTGAACAATATTCACATTTGGAAATAGAGATCTCTGACCACAGTGCTCCTCCTGCATGATCCCAGCTATGGCATTGGGTGAATTCTGTGGCATATGGAAGCTATTAATTTCTTCCTTTTTCTACTTACTCCCCAGCTACTTTCTTCTTTAAGGCCCAGGCCGCATGTTCACACGTTGTCTGTGGCTTCTTCTGAGCTATAGCACCAGAGTTACATGGCTGGGACATAGACCGTCTGATCTACAAAGCCTAAAAATATTTCCTAACTCGCAGAAAAAGTTGATTGACCCCCTACTCCACAGTTTCATAAAATAAACCTTACCACTTCAGTTTTAAATTTGAAGAAACCAAGACTCTGGAAGATTATTTACTTTCCTAAGGTTCCTAACCAACAGGAAATTGGCAGTTGTGTGACTCAATTTCAGAACCAGGATATTTCCAACATACCATGCCACCTTGGGGGAACTTGTCTTTAGTTTGTGTGGTCCACTTTTTCTGCTTAGAGAGCATGATTTTGACCTGTCATATGGACCTAATTTTGTTGTTGTCAATCTCCTTTTTAGCTCAGCAAACTCACACTCAATACGTAATCTCTGTTTCTGGGTCTTAGCTATCTTCTAATTTATTATGAACTCAATAAATACTTCTTTTATTTTGTAATTTAAGGTTGTTGATGAAAGGGTTAAGGTTGTGTTGGATAAAGGTGCGATTGTCTGTGAAATGCCACTAGTTATGCATCCAGAGTGAATCATTAAAAACAAAACCCACCTTTTAATGTCGAAATCATTTTAGATTTATGGAAGAGTTGCAAAGGCAGTACAGAGAGCTTTTTGTATACTCTTCACCTGTTTTCCTTAATGTTAACCTCTTACATAACAGTGGCATATTTATAAAAAGTAAGAACTCAACATTGATACAATACTATTAATTAGACGATAGACTTTATTCTGATTTGTTTTTCTACTAATGACTTTTTTTCTTTTCCAGAATCTAATCCAGGATACGATGCTGCATTTAGTCATTACAGCCCCTTAGTCTTCTCCAATCTGTGACAGATTCTCAGTCTTTTGTTGTTTTTTACGACCTTGACATTTCTCAAGAGGACTGGTTAGACATTTTGTAGAATGTTCCCCATTTGCATGTGTCTGATGTTTTCTTGTGATTAGACCAGGGTTTTGGGTTTCTGGGAAGAATACCATGAAGATGAAGTGCCCTTTTCATTGCCTCATGGCAGGTGCATGTGATGTCAACATGACTTCATACCGCTGATGTTAACCTTGATCATTCGGTTGGGTGAATGATTTTTAATGATTGATCATCAATATTGGGTCACACTAATTTTGTATTCAGCACAATGGTAGGTACTTACTGGGTGAGATAATTGAGAAACAGCATAGAAAATCATTCCAAAAAATGGATAAAAAAGAATATTCTTTATATAATGTGCAAGGAAATAGTGAGTAGGCAAAGAATAGACAATTCACAAGGGAAAAGTTTTTTTCTTCTTTTCACAAGGGAAAACATTTTGAAAAATACGTGAAAAAGTTTCTCCTTATGGATAAATAGTAATTGTCATATCATTATAATATTAATTTTAAAATGGTACACAAACTTAAGAATATTAATTGAAAAGCTGGTGTAACCAATTTGTATTTCCAGTCTAATTACAATTATTTAAAAATATGCAAAGTTAAAGAAGACCAGATCATAGAATAAATGTTAATAGTGATTGCTTTTGGATGATGAGTTTGTGGGTGATTGTTTTTCTCCTTTTGGCTTTTCTATAGCTTTGGAAAAATTTAACAATGGGCTTGCATTAGTCTTCTAGGGTTGTCCTAACAGAATATCACAGACTGGGTGGTTAAACGACAGACATTTATTTTTTCACAGTTCTGGAGTTTAGAAGTCCAAAATCACAGTGTTGACAGGGCTGGTTTCTTCTGGGGCCTCTCCCTGTGGCTCTCAGGTGGCTGCCTTTTCTTTGTACACACACATTCCTGGTGTCTCTTTCTCTTCTTGCAAAGACATTAGTCCTATTGGATCAGGGGCCCACCCTATGACTTCATGTAACCTTGTTAAAAGGTTAACATTATCTCCTTAAAGGCCTTATCTAACAGTCATATTGTGGGTTAGGGCTTCAACATATAAATTTTGCAGGGACACAATTCAATCCCTAACAGAGCTTTTTTTTTTTTTTTTTTCCTTGAGAGTTTCACTCACGTTGTCCAGGCCGGAGTGCAGTGGTGTGACCTTGGCTCACTGCAACCTATGCCTCCCAGGTTCAAGCAATTCTCCTGCCTCAGCCTTCCGAGTAGCTGGGATTACAGGCCCCCACTACCACACCCAGGTAATTTATGTATCTTTAGTAGAGACAGGGTTTCACCATGTTGGCCAGGCTGGTCTCAAACTCTTGACCTCAAGTGATCCACCCACCTTGTCCTCCCAGAGTGCTGGGATTACAGGCGTGAGCCACTGCACCCAGCCAGAGCTAAATTAACAGATGCGGTGTGAAGTACTGGAAAGAACATAAAAGTTAGAGTCAAAACCGATTTGAATAGCTACTTAAAGGCCATGTGAATTTAGGTAGATCTGCACCTCTGTTAGTTTATTTGTCAACCTGGAATACTAAAATAATTTTGCAGGATGTTTGGGAAAAAAACTTAAGTGATCCAATAAGCATGGAAGTGCCTAGCATGAGTTATACTTAACATTGACTTTCTTAAAAGACGTGGCACCTGTCCTTGGGATTTTTATAATCTCCTTAGAAAGACAAGATTAAAATACATTAATGGATGAAATGCCAAGTATTGTGGAACCTCATGTAGTCATGGTAGGAATGCAGAGGAGGTGGAGGGAGAATTGGAGGAATACTGAGAAAAATTCTAGGGAGTAGGAGGTACTTGTATGTTGAATGTGTTAGACACTGTTCTAAGTCATTTTGGATCCACGTTCATGCAAATATGTATTAAGTGCCTATCATGTGCCAGGCATTATTCAGGGCATTGATGCTACAGAGGAGAGCAGAATAGACAAAAATACCTGCTTTCATGTAGTTCATAGTCCAGTGGAGGGAGACAGGTAATAAACAAGTAAACAAGCAAGTATATGGTAGCGCTAGGGAGAAAAACATAGCAGGAAGCGTGTTCCCTTTAGGTAAGGTGACCAAGGTGCTTAGTGCTCACATGCAAAGATGAAGGCAATATCTTCTTGCTTTCCACTCAGGAAGAGAGTCTTAAAAACAGATCAATTACCAGAAACAGGGGAAACACTATTATATTAACCCAAGGCGATAGAGGGATAAAAGAGAGATGTACAGACTATGCCTGGGGAGTTAGGGATGTCTTCACAGAGAGGTGGTGTTTCAGCTGAGTCTTGGAGTGGATAGCATTTCCCCGGGCAAAGACCTGGAGGGCACCCCAGATGAAGGGAATGTGATTGGATTTGGGGGCTTGGAGGATAATTGGGTGTGTTGGGAGCATAGGGTAAGGAGCGGAGACAGGTTTGAAAGGTAGATGGGCACTTATATGTGAAGAACTTTTCTCTATGATGCTGGGAGAGTTTGGATTTTATTCTATAAGTGAAGGAAGTGACATTTATTTCAAGCAGGGGTTTTTCAAAATATTGCTTGCGTTGGAGGTTGGATGGATGCCGACTTCATTAACTGAGGTCTAGGAAAGAGTGCAAGAGGGTTGAGAGGAGAAGGAGAGATGAAAATGGAAGAGGAGATAGAGTGAAGGAAGGGGAAGTACTGAGTTCAGTCTGGGAAGGTGGAGGGTCCAATGGCAGTTGGATGAGGAGGCTGAGCTGGGGGAAAGTCAGGAGGAAACATCTAGATTTGAGTTGCACATCAAGACTCTAATTCTATCTGCCTTCCTAAGGTAGTTGATTCCACTTGCACCAAAATCTTGATTAGATTAAATCAACATCTTAAAAAATTAAAACAAATGACACGCCTTTCATTCTTCTGTAAATGTGAAGTTTAGTGCTTTTTTTTAAGAAATAAAAAACCGAGAAAGTTGCATAAATACGCATTTGTACTCTGCCTATTTGTGCTGATTATTTCTCAGCTAGGTTTCTGCCTATGGGTTTACAAAGTATCATTTACACAAAAGTACTTTGCCAGTTAAGGAATTACAATAGGAACATTTATTCACAGAAGCAGGTCATCCCTTTCTCCCACTCTCTCCACTCCCACTTTTGAAGCAGCATATGTTTTCTGTACATTTTTCTAGCCTTCAGAAATAACTTTGTAACAAGTTACAAATCCCTAGGGCCTGCGAATTTGAAGACATGTGGTGTATTTAAGTGCTCTCCTTCTTGCTTTATTATTCCTGTGGGTCCTCCTTCCTTCTCCTTCTAAGTCAGCTCTTGGCTCCTTACCTCAAGTGCCTACTGAGGACATTTGGGCTCATCTACTCTTTCTCTCAAGATCCCTGGGTCCAAGAACTGGTCAACCCTCTCCCAACATGATTTTGAGCTAAATTATCTATTGCCTTTTTTTTTCTTCATTCCTTTCCTTCTTGAAAGATGTCTACAGTCTGCCTTGGTCCTTTAGGGGTCAGTATACCCTCTTTCTTTCTCACTCTCTGGCTGGCTATTGTCGTGTGTGTGTGTGCACACACATATGTGATTCAGTGACTTTCTCCAGAGGCGCCTGGCTTGAGTGAGTTGGTTCTGTGCCATTGGGAGGAGGATAGTTTCTTCCCCACAGGGGCAGCGCTGCTCTGACTTAGGGAGTTTAATGTCTTGTCAGATGTTGATGCTTTTACTTCCCTTCCTGTTTCAACTGGAATGAGTCATATTTGAAAATATTTTCATCCTTTTAGTGACTATATTGAATAACACACATTTTTCATTATTATTTACTGCAATTAACCTTAACCTCATTCTTTTCTTCTTTTAAACATTAGCACAGTTATTTCTATTATTATCTAGGTTCCCTCTGTCTCTATACTTAGCTTCATTAAAACGGATTGCAGCTTAGATAGGTTGAGAAACAGTCTTTTTTAATTTCTGGAGACTCAGCTTTCATTAATGCAATAATGAAAACTATGGTGGGAGAGTGTAGATAGTTGGCTAATAGATTGTCCCAACCTATTTTAGATCGGCTTTCTCCTCATTTGTCCTCCCCTAAACCAAGCTACTTATAAATGTTCTCCAATTCTGAGCTCTTTTTTTTTTTTTTTTTTGAGGTGGAGTCTCACCCTGTCACCCAGGCTGGAGTGCAGTGGCATGATCTTGGCTCACTGCAATCTCCACCTCCCAGGTTCAAGCGATTCTCCTGCTTCAGCCTCCCCAGTAGCTGGGATTACAGGCATGTGCCACCATGTCCAGCTAATTTTTTTTTTTTTTAAGTAGAGATGGGGTTTTGCCATGTTGGCCAGGCTGGTCTCGAACTCCTGACCTTAGGTGATCCGCCTGCCTTGGCCTCTCAAAGCGCTGGGATTACAGGTGTGAACTACCACACCCGGCTGCGTTAATTAAACTTCCTTTACTGCCCTGAGCTATTCTTATGACATTTCTTTGAGACAGGACAAGTGACTCAGTCTCTTTGTAATTTATTGAGTTCTTTGATTAAAAGAGACCATTACCAGCTAAAAATTCTACCCTCTGCCCTCGCTTTCACATCCTTCGAATGGATAAAGGGAAGATCTGTACAACACAGCCAGATATCAATACTGCTGCATCGTGTGCCTGGCTTCCTGGTGGTAGCCACCTGCTGCTTAGAAACTGTTTCAAAGGGGAACTGGCGTACTTCCCTTTTAAGCAAGAGTTACAGCGCAAAAGCTGCCTCAGTCATAATTTCTAACGTAGTCATCTCCTCTTTATAAGTGCACTTCCTCAGAGACCTGTGGACATAAACTGAATGTGTTAGGCAGAGACCTTTCAAAATTTAGACTTGTTTTCTGGACAGATGCCAGATTTCCTGGATGGCTGGTTACAATCCCCTTGTCCACCCGCGCAGTGCAGCTAAGATTGTCTGTCTGAATCATCATCCTTTTTTAGTGTGTACTTAAAGTGGAAGTGATGTTTTCCAGACCCTGTGTAGGAATGAGCTCATGTCATGAGGTTTTGCTCTGATGTTGGTTTCTCTCAGTTAGTTTAGTGACATTAGGATCTGAAGGCCGACGAATGGCTTTGATACCATTTTAAGGTGTCTTCCATTTCCAGTACTCCAGGATTATTGGGAAATTACTGGGGAGATGAAGACATTATGTAAGGTGGCAGGTCAACCTACTAGTTATTCACAGCCATTGGAAGATACTATGGGACTGTTAATAGTATGTGCTGAAAAGACTTCTCTCTTGTTGCTTTAAAAAAATGTAGTTTATTTACATGTATATTGACTTCTTTATGGTCCTATCCTAAGTGGATAAATGGCTGAATTCTATTTTTCTGCTAAGATTTTAGGCAGGAGAGTATTTTTCATGAATGTCTTGTAAATCATTAGTAAATGTTCTCTGACAAAGGGTTCCATGGCTAGATAGGTTTGAGAAATGCTGGGGAAGAATATGATGATGTCACCCGTAGGACATTTACATTGCTCTTCCTGATGCTGATATACAAATATATGTCTGTTTAAATTGATTTAATGATCTAATAAAAACTAAATTTCTCCTCTGAGAAATTGATGAAAACAACCAACCGTGAATATCCTAGCAAACTGTTTTCATGTCTGTTTTCAGATAAGCATTCCCTGAAGAATTTTATTTATTCATTTGTTTATTTGTTCATTGAACACATATCTATTTTGTGCCTTCTCTGTGCCAATACTTAGGGAAACGCTGCACCTTAATGAAAAGAAGGCTGTGGCAGACATGGCTGGTCTCAGCCATCCCTTTCCTTTAGTAAAGTTGAGTCCAATGCAGCCCAGAACAAAGGTTATGTTTCCCAGCTTCCCTTGCAGCAAGAACTGCCACATGGCCCGTGGGATGTGACCTTGAGGGCTATGTGCAGAGTTGCTGTGGGGCCTCTATGCACAGGCTTAGGTATGCACAGGTATGCACGTGCTATGTGTTTTGGATGGCAGAACAGCAGGACAGGAAGAGCGGGAACTCTGATACTATGGAGTGTTATAACACTTTGAATATTTATGATTAGACCATATTTAAAATAAATAAACTATTATCAATTTAAGTTACTGTTACTTTGACCTTTTTTAATGATAGCCAAACTAATAACCTAACTGATCCAGAAAGGATTTTCAATGATCAGGCATTGTCATAAGATTCAGTAGGCACATTTAGGAGCTTTTTTTTTTTGAGATGGAGTTTCACTCTTGTTGCCCAGGCTGGAGTGCAATGGCGTGATCTTGGCTCACTGCAACCTCTGCCTCCCGAGTTCAAGCGATTCTCCTGCCTCAGCCTTCCCGAGTAGCTGGGATTACAGGCATGGCCCACCACGCCTGGCTAATTTTGTATTTTTAGTAGAGACAGGGTTTCTCCATTGTTGGTCAGGCTGGTCTCGAACTCCCGACCTCAGGTGATCCACCCACCTCAGCCTCCCAAAGTGTTGGGATTACAGGCTTGAGCCACTGTGCCTGGCCACATTTAGGAGCTTTTAAAAGTCAAGCAGTACATAATGACCATCTCAGTTTAGATAAAAGGCCTGAATATAGAAGGGTAACTTTTGTGAGCTTCTGAAAGTTCTCATTCCTACATTTTGAGAGAGGAAATGAAAGACCTAAGGAACTGAAATTCCTTTCAGTGATGGTGGAGAGAGGCCCATGTTCTTTTCACTGCTTTAGCCAACATATGTAGAGAAATAAGGCCAGGTTTTCATATGATGTCTGAATTTGCCCAGTTAGTCCAGGGGGGACAGGCGCTCAACATAGATTCAAGGGTTTTAAAATAATCAACATTTATTTTTCAAATTCCTTCTATATATCTTTGTAAAACAAATTCTGGCATAGCAAACTTCCTTCTTACCAACAGGCTACCTCTATCCACATAGTGGGCATATGTAAACACACGAGTATATATATTTAGATGTGGGTTCGGCATAAAATAGCTTTTTCTTCCTAAGTAAGGAAAAGAAAACCTCAACGCATTACTAAATGTGACATTTTGGATCCAAGTAGACAAAAAGAACCACGTGAAAATGTGCTAAGCTTCCACATAGTTAGCAACATGTCACTTTGTGAGAGAATTTTCATAATTAATGAGCCAGGTCAATTTGCTCTGCATTTGACTTTGATGAATATGTCGTGGAGTATTCCCACTGGGACTCTTTCCAGTTGGTTTGGGAAGCTCTTATGTCTATATCCTGTGTGTGTGCATGGATCAAAGTGCTGGCATCTAATGCTGCCATGTTAGGTTAGGGAACAGCCGTGCGAACCCAGTAACAATGCCTGAGATCCCACACTGGCCCAATACATGACCCAGATGGACGGACCCCAAGCCAACAAACATAAAATTGAAACCAAAGCTATTTGGAAAGGGGATTGGACCACTCATCTGGCTGTTTTATAGAGTCTTAGAGAATTTATGTAATTAAATTTTCCTTCCTAATTCTGGCATTAATTTGTTTATTTATGTATTTTTTAAGACACAGCCTCATTCTGTTGCCCAGGCTTGAGTGCAGTGGTGCAATCATGGCTCACTGCAACCTCTACCTCTCAGGCTTAAGGGATCCTCCCACCTCAGCCTCCTGGGTAGCTGGGACTACAGGCGTACACCACCATGCCCATCTGCCATGAATTTAGAGACTGAATGAAATGACCTTAGCATTACCATATCATCTTTTTAATTTATTTTTTATTTTTTGAGACAGAGTCTCACTCAGTAGTGTGGTCTTGGCTCACTGTGATCTCCACCTCCCGGGTTCAAGCGATTCTCCTGCCTCAGCCTCCCGAGTAGCTGGGATTACAGGTGTGCACCACCACACCTAGCTAATTTCTTTTTTTTGTATTTGTAGTAGAGACGGGGTTTCACCATGTTGGCCAGGCTGGTCTTGATCTCCTGACCTCGTGATCCATCTGCCTCAGCCTACCAAAATGCTGGGACTATGGGCATGTGCCACCATGCCCATCTGCCATGAATTTGGAGACTGAATGAAATGACCTTATTGTTACCGTATCATCTTTAACCATCTGATTAACATTTGCTTCATAGCAAATACAGTGTGTGGGGATAAATTATTTGCATGATAAGTTATCAGTCAGTGTCCAATCAGTGCATTATTCTGTCTAGAAACCGCTGTAAATATTTCAGAGAAGGAATTTCATACAAATTGGTGGTGCATGATTTGAGAGGAACGAAGGAGTAAATACAGGGAGTCAAGCTTACTTACAGATTGGTAACTGCAGGAAGTCACTATCCCCCTAGGCTTGAAAGCCAAAGAGAACATGATGCTTGCTGATCCACCAAGATTGTTGCTATTAACACTGAGCTGACCCAGCAGAATCCCAGAAGCCACCCTTGCCAGCCTTTGCTGCTGCCACCACCATCTCTAGAGGCACTACCAGAAGATGGAAAAAATAGCATCTCCCTTGCTTCCACCTCCAGTTTGCTACTAGTGCCTCCCATTGTAGAAGCTAACAAGAGGCTGATTGGCAAGAGGGATTTGGAAAATGTAGTTTCCAGGCTTTCTGCTCCTGGGTCACAGGGGAGGAGAAAGGAGAGAGAGTGGAGCTGAGAATAAGAGACTTCAAGCAGCACACAAGTGTTTCCAAGGATATATTCTATATACATTTAAAGTAGGTGTACATTATCTGATTACATTAATGAATGAATCTTTTTTTTTTTTTTTTTTTCCTGAGATGGAGTCTTGCTATGTTGCCAGGCTGGAGTGCAGTGGCACAAATCTCAGTTCACTGCAACCTCTGCCTCCTGGATTCAAGGGATTCCCCTGCCTCAGCTTCCTGAGTGGCTGGGACTACAGGTGCATGCTACCATGCCCAGCGAATTTTTGTATTTTTAGTAGAGACAGGGTTTCACAATGTTGGCCAGGATGGTCTCTATCTCTTGACCTCGTGATCCACCCGCCTCGGCCTCCCATAGTGCTGGGATTACAGGTGTGAACCACCACACCCAGCTGAATGAATCTTTTATTGCAGCCAAAATTTCACCTCTTTAAATCCACCTCTGTGAAAGTATAATCCAACATATACATACAATTCCAAAGTTTTGTGGATGCTAATGGGCTTTATATTGAAAATGTTCATGTTAATATTTACTCAGAGGAATTATCCAACTGGCATGTTGTACTGGGAAAATAAGACTGAAACTGTCATACATATTATCCCATTGCCATACCAATCACGTCTTCCTACAATAACCAACAAGGATCAAAGGTAAACAGAAAAGTAGTGAGGAAATGAGAAGGAACGTAGCTTAAATCTCATGTAGCTCCCATTGCAGATAAGAACCCAGATGGTCTCTTTTCTGGGCAAGTATAATCCCAAAGGCAACCCCAGCCCCAAAAATACTTTGGGGAGAGAGGAACTGGTACAAGGGTAGACCTACACCTCTCTTTGGGCTTCTTAATGGTCAAAGCAAGTCAAGGACTTAATGGTCTCAAGGAGTGGACATATAAGCGCTTTGTTCCACTGTGTGGCCCAGAAATGAAAGCCATTAATAAGAAAAAAGCCTGTTGGTCATAGTGGCATTGTATAAACAGGACTGGATAATTTTCTTTTATGAATTCATTCCTATCTCTTCACATGGGCCTGAGAAGTGTGTCTGGAAGGCATTTTCCTTTTTGGTTGGAGGTGACTTAACAGACTGGCAATTACTGTCATTATGAGCCCAGTCACATAGCTGGAAGATCTAGGCGGCTGCTGATTCCTGAGCAGCAATGGGACAAGTGGGAGCAGCTGAGACCACACTGACAGGCCAGGGAACTGTAGACGAGTAATCTGCCAGGGGAAAAGGCCCCTTTGATCTTCACACCAGACGATAATTGCAGCAGATGTAGAGTCGATGTGGTATTTTTTTTTTTTATTGCAGTGGGACGGGCATTACCGATCTGTATGCGTAAGTGTTGCCAAGAGAAAGGAAGGATGATGGTTAGCTTACCTGCATCTTAAGCCATGCAGTGAAAAAGGTTCAGGGTTTTCTTAACCAGAAATGGTCTGAATGTTTAATAAAGGTAAACATTTATTATTTAGTGTTTTATATCATGTGGCAATTTTAGCTGATGTGGGATCTGACTCTTGCCAACCAATTTGAGTCTGTTAATGGCTGTTTGTTGTATTTTTTATTTTCTGTTTTCACAGAGACCATATTGCCCAGGCTGGAGTAGAGTGGTGCAATCATTGAATCACTGATCACTGTAGCCTCAGACTCCTGGGCTCAAGTGATCCTCCCACCTCAGCCTTCCCAGTAGCTAGGACTACAGGCAAGCACCACTATGCCCAGCTAATTAATTTTTTTTTTTTTTTTGTAGAGATGGGGTCTCACTATGCTGCCGAGGCTGGTCTCAAACTACTAGGCTCAAGCTATCCTCCTGCCTTAGATTCCCAAAATGCTGGGATTACAGGTGCGGACCACCTTGCCTGGCCTGTTTTCTTTTTGATACTTGGGGTGGACCAAAAAAAATCAATCATTTTCATTAAATTCAGTTGTGTGCTTGCCTTCAGATTTCCCTGGAAGCATCCACTGTCAGCCTCGAGGGAATTAATAGACCTACACCCTTGGGATAGATCAATGTGCCCTGAAAAATGTGTCTGGTTTGTTGTAATGCCACACTGGAAATAACAGAAAGGCTGTTTATATAGACAGTGGTCCAAGGAAGAAAGTGGGTCTGGATGAATGGCATCTGCTTATGTCCTGGTCTTGGTTACAAGACAGGCATCTCATCATTCCAGCCATTCTGCCTGCAGTCAGGATCTGTGGAGGACCCAGTGCCTTCAGAAAAGGTTAACAGAAGCTGCAAGAGGGCTCATCCATGAGTCTTCTCCGTTAAGCACATAATTCAGCTCATTAGACTTCAGGTTTCAGAATCGTGGTCTTTTTGTGATCTAAATAAGTTATGGTCTCTCTAATTGGACAGGATGTAGGGTGTTTTTGACAGCCACTGTTATTTTGCTCTTAAATACATACCAACAGGCTATTAATAAATAAATAAATTTAATATTAATTAATAATTAAAAATCATTAATAATTAATAAATAAATTATTTATTAATAATTAATAAATTATTAATAATTAATAAACAAATCACTTATTAATAAATTATTTATTATAATTAATAAACAAGTTATTTATTAATAGATTATTTATTATAATTAATAAATAGATTATTTATTATAATTAATAAATAGATTATTTATTATAATTAATAAATAGATTATTTATTATAATTAATAAATAGATTATTTATTAATAATAAATAATCTATTTATTATATATAAGAATGAATTAACAAAAATTCTCTGTGGCCATTGGTTTCCTGGTAGAACTCCCTCTTTTTCTTGTATCTACAGGAAATGTCTTTCTAGCTTGTGTGTATGTCTGCCAGGCTTGCCAGTTCGAAGTCGGCCATGGGAGGGGTTGTGTTCAGAAGCACACACCATGTGACCTGTCAGGCAGATCAAAGCAGGGATTTCAGGGCTGACTACAAGGGGAAATGGTTAGTAATTAATAAAAGGATGTGGAATTGGTCATGTTGACTGAAAGAGCCCAGAACCTTGGCGAAAGGCTCCCGGAGGCTGCCAAGATAATAAGAGTGGCTGAGCTGAGTTATGTATGGGTGAAGCTCACGGGTGTTAATGCCACTGGGTGAGGGGAGTGGTGAGGGGTGGAATGAGAGGTTTACAAGCTTGACGGATCTCACCCAGGCCCAGGCCTCACTGATTGTAAGAGTCTCTTCAGCTCTGGCCAGAGTTTTGGTTTGTTTTTAAATGGAGCTTTTAGGAGCCATTAAGGACATACAAAAGCTTGATAATGGTGTTTAACTCTGAGAGTCAAGCTGTGGTTTCTCATTGGCCATTTCTGGCTTTTCATGGCTTTATGTAAATATATTTCATTTCCAGATTTAGGATCAAAGAAACCTTTCTCTTGCACTTGCTCATTTTCTTCCCATGTGTGGTCTAATGCATCGATGAAACCAAATAAATCCGCAAGGGATGTGGGAGTCTGCTGGTGTCTCACCATGGCTGTGGCCACTGTACACCTTCTGGTGGTTTGGTGGTGAGGAGTAGCCTGTGGGAAGGGGAGGTGGCATTGATGACGATGTTGGGAAAGAGGGTATGAGAGGTGAGTCACATCTCAGCAAGGGGCTGGTGAGTATGTCTTGGCCTGTCTCAGCTAACAAAGTTGACAGCAGCAAGAGGTGGAAGGTCTGGATGCAGCTGTGTGTGCCTGTATGTGCGTATTCTTGGGAGTTGGCAGACAAATCATGGAACCTCCAAAGAAATTTTCCATTCATTTGTTAGGAGATTTCAGAGCTTATAAACTGCCTCATGGGTTTTGAAGCCATTTCCCCAAGAGGATGATGACGTTTGATCTCTTGTGCAATAGTCATAAATATCTCAGGACGTGATGTCCCTGTAAGGAGTAGATTCTGTTGGTTCCAACCAAGTGTCAGTGCAGTTTCTTAACTTCTCTCTTGTCCTTTGCCCCCCTTCCTTTCTCTTCCACCCTCTACCAACCTCCTGTAAGGTTAGTGCCAGGGACAACATGGCACCAAGTTGGGGAAGCATAGAGAGCCAAGTAGGCAGCCTTGATGGACTTTGCTGGCTCATCTTCAGTGGGTTACAGTGGAGTTTCTGACCTCAGGGCATATTTCAATCTCATGGGTAACATATATTTTGCACATTTAGAATAATTTGATATAAATATGACAGATGTTACGATAATAAGCAATATGAGCACTTGCTAATTATTCTTTGTCTTCATCTGTAATTTCAAAATGCAAAAGGGGTTGCAAGACTGATGTGGAGAGTGATAAATGGCCAACAAATGCTTGCTGGGTGCCATAAAGTTCTCTTTATGAAGAGAACTCCACACGCCTGTTATATCATTTGTCACATCATGCCACATAGTAGCACCCCAAAACTCAGTGACTGCAAAGGAGAACTCATTGTGGCTGCACACCCGTGGTGGGTGTGGCTGGGTGGTCCTGCTCCAGGCATCGCTCATTCTCTGCCTGGGGTTGGAGGTTAACCACGGGGTTAGCAGTGGCATGCTCTTCTGGTGGAGAGGTTTGGGAGGCAAATGGGAAAACAAAAGGCTGCTTCAGGTCTGGGCTGCCCTGGCAAACTCTCCTTCTGCCCACATGCCATCAGCTGAAGCAAGTCACATGGCCAAGCTGAAAGTCAAGGGGAAATAAAATGCATTCTTTGCACGATGAGGCTGGGCAAGGGTATAGACACAGAGAGAGGCTGAGATGGGGGCCAATCCTTCGGACCACAGTCTCTCTCTCCTTGCTCATTTTGGCAGATACATCACCTTACCGTTGTCAGGGATGGCTTCTATGAGGAGATGACATTTAAATTGAATTCTGGTGGGTCGTGGTGGCTCAC
Organism: Homo sapiens; assembly: GCF_000001405.40. Taxonomy (NCBI): domain Eukaryota; kingdom Metazoa; phylum Chordata; class Mammalia; order Primates; family Hominidae; genus Homo; species Homo sapiens. The sequence goes on along the minus strand of NC_000021.9, from coordinate 35,923,860 downwards.
GCCTGTAATACCAGCACTTTGGGAGGTCAGGGTGGGTGGATCACTTGAGGTCAGGAGTTTGAGACCAGCCTGGCCAATATGGTGAAACCCTGTCTCTACTAAAAATACAAAAATTAGCTGGGTGTGGTGGTGTGAGCCTGTAGTCCCAGTTCCTTGGGAGGCTGAGGCAGGAGAATGGCTTGAACCCAGGAAGCAGAGGTTGCAGTGAGCCGAAATTGTGCCACTGCACTCCAGCCTGGGTGACAGAGTAAGACTCTTCTCAAAAAGAAAAAAAATAAATAAGTTGAGTTCTGCATGACAGGAAAGAATCAGTCACTCAAAACCTGTGGAAAGAGATTTCTAGGTAAGGAGAACAGCAGGTATAAACATCCTAAGGGAGGAGCAACCTCTCCAGAAATCTCCAGCTTCCAAAGGTGGCCTTCCACGATGCTCCTACCTGCACTTTTCCTGTGTTTTGAAGGGAAACATTCTCCCTCAAATTTTTAAGAGCCTGTGAGTGCAGTAGCAAGGCCAGCTTCCAACAGGATTGGTTACTTATCTATTTATTAATAGACCTTATTTTTTAGACCAGTTTAAGTACACAGCAAAACCGAGAGGAAGGTGCAGAGATTTCCCACACACCTCAGGCCCCACACATGCATGGCTTCCCCAACTAGAAACATCCCTCATCAGAGTGGTGCATTTATTCCAATTGATGAACCTGCATTGCTACATGTCCATCACCCAGAGCCCGTGGTTTACTCTAAGTTTCACCCTCCACATTGTACATTCTGTGGGTTTGGACAAACATATAAAGACACAGATCCACCATTACAGTCTCATGCAGCATAGTTTCGCTGCCCCAAATATCCACCAATTAATTTTAAGTGCAACAAAACCTCACAAACATCATGGACATAGCAAAAGAAGGACAAAGGAAAGCAGCCAGTGCAGCGTCTCCACTTTTTCTTTCTTTAAGATCATAAAGGTCTTTGACGCATGGAAGGCAGGCTTTTATTAACTAGGCACTTGTATCATAAACATGATTTCCAGACTAGCAGGAAAGTCCCAGAATTCTGAGTCATTGATGTTTGAATAGATGTTTTGTAAGGCTAAGAATTTACTTTCACAAATAAAGCATTGATGAACTCAATAGTGGCTTGAAATGAACCGGGAAAGTTTTATGCTGTGCACTCGGCCTTTGGAAGACAGTGCCATGATTTATAACAATTTCTCCCGCTTAAATCTGTATTCATATTCAAGAAAATCTTCTCTCTTTTTGGCCACCCATTGTGGTCAATGCCCAGTATGAAGGAGACCTATGTTTGCAAATAGAAAAACAATTAAGCACAATTTAACATGGAGAAACAAGATATTCACCTGATATGTGCTAGGTATCTGCCCTTGGATCACGGGATGTGGGGCTGCAGTGGTGTCTTCTCTCATAATGACAGTTACGATATAAAACAATGAGGAAGAATTCTGTTCGTGAAATACAGTTTTTTCAAGAGTAAGATCAGTATGGTTTATTCCGTGTTCTGGGCTGCTGGTAGCACAGCTGGGATATTTTAACACATTTGTGGGACTTCAGTAATAGAAAGGTGTAGAAGCAGAGCTGGAGAGAGATCAGAGAAGGGCAGAGAATCTGGTATTTGATGCTGCAGGCTCTGATGTATATTCATAAGAACTAAATACCTTGTGTGGACTTTGACTTAGCAACAGCAAATGGTGGGAAACACGAGCTATCTGCACACAGTTGAACAGAATGTGATGAGAAAGAGAATAATTTGCCTTGATATAAAGAGCTGGAGTTGGGTTGGGGACTCAATGGGTAGAAGTCAGGGAGATAGAAGAGCCTCCTTGCAGAAATAAGGTCTTAGAACTTCAAATGAAAATACCCATGTCAGGGGCTTGGGGTACCCCCTTTCCCCCCTTGCTCTACCCTAAACTTTCAGTTTTCTTAGCCATTCTAAACAAATGGTTCCCTGACTCAAACTGTCCATTTGGACAAAGAAATCCACTCTGAGGACTGGTTCCATCTTCTTTTTCCAGGAGACTGAGTTGGCACGGGGTGGAGGGAAGAAATATGGTCTGAACATGGCACGGCTCCCTCTGCATTAGGAATCTCTGGGCTGTTTCTGTTGTTCAGTGGAATTTAATCATTCTCTACCCTGGAGTCTAAAGCTCATCTGCCTGATCACTTGATACAGGACTTCTCTATAGTAACAATACTGACAGCCACTCAGACTTGCTTAAACCTTTTTGTGGTTGGCTAAGTCCCTTCTTTGTGAGCAGATCATTTATTGATATTTGCTTTAGGTCCTTTCAATGTACATAATCCTGGCAGTACAATGTCATCACCTGATCCATTTTATAAAATCTTTACTGCTTGCAACCCATCCTCAGTGACTCTGATAGAATTGTCCTGGGGAAGCTGCTGGCATCAATATTATTATTAGACTTTTGTTTTAAGTTAAGTTTATTATTATTATTAAACTTTTGTTTAAGTTACATGTGCAGGTTTGTTACATAAGTAAACTTGTGTCATGGGGGTTTGTTGTGTAGATTATTTAATCACCCAGTTATTATGCCTAGTACCCATTAGTTATTTTTCCTGATCCTCTCCCTCCTCCCACCCTTCACCTTCCTATAGGCCCCAGTGTGTGTTGTTCCCCTCTGTGTGTCCATGTGTTCCTGTGTGTCCATGTGTTCTCATCATGTAGCTCTCACTTATGAGTGAGAATATGTGGTATTTGGTTTTCTGTTCCTGGGTTAGTTTGCTAAGGATAACGGCCTCCAGCTCTATCCATGTCCCTGCAAAGGACATGATCTCATTCTTTTTTTATGGCTGCATAGTATTCCATGGTGTATATATACCACATTTTCTTTATCCAGTCTATCACTGATGGGCATTTGGGTTGGTTCCATGTCTTTGCTATTGTGAATAGTGCTGCAATAAACATACGTGTGCATGTGTCTTTATAATAGAACAATGTATATTCCTTTGGGTATATACCCAGTAACGGGAGTGCTGGATCAAATGATATTTCTGTTTTTAGGTCTTTGAGCATCCATATTATTTAACATTCTTCAGGTGATGCCAGTAGGACAACTGAGGTTGAGCGCAAGGACTCTGGGTGTTGGGAAACGCTTTTTTATTCTGATGAAAGTTAGCTCTCCTGAAACCACCACCTAGCCATGCTGGTTCTGTCCTCTGGAGCAAAGTCCATTTCTTCTTTTATGTGACAGCCTTTCAAACACGTGAAGTTGATAACTTGCTCTACCACTTCCCTAAGGCTTTCTCTTCTCCAGGCAAAGCCACTCATTTTGTCCACAGTTACTCCTATGATGTGGTTTTATTTCCTTCACCATCCTGAGCACAAGCAGCTTTGTCAGGATGCCACTTACAGTGTGTGTCTCTTCATGCTTTTGTTTCATTGTGAGATTGCTGTCAGCTAAATCCCCCCAATTTTCTCCCACTAAAAGCTTACAGCTTAGTCTGGGAGGTAAGCATGCCAGTAAGCCAAAGCCTCCTCATCCTGTAATTATGAAATTGATTTTTAAAGTCTAAATGCAGGACTTTTATTTACTCTTACCCAATTTCATCTTGTTGGGTTTAACCAATTTAATTCTGTCCTCCAAAAATATTGGTAAGTATTACCTATTGGGTAAGGCATCTTTATATTTTTATTCATGTTATTAATAACAATAATAATAGCCTCTATTGACTGCAAGCACCACCTGATTAGATTGAAAGAGACAGAGATGGAGCTCCAACCTCTAGAAGCAGGAAGTAGACTGAAAATCCGACAAAATCACCAACTCGGTATTCTTATAGAAGAGGAAGATATTCAGGAGCAGAAACAGGAGACCAGAGGGTACAACCAAGAGTATTGGAGAGTACTAGGCTCTAGAAAGGAATTTGCAACACCTATGGAGCTGGATTGCAGAAGTGCTCTGGGGGCCATTGCCAGCTCTGTGCCTTCTGTTTCCCCCTTTTAACGGGAGTGTCTCTTGTGGTTATCCTCTGCTTATTCCACTATCGTATGTGGAGTGTGTGTGTGTATTTGTGTGTGTCTGGGGGGTGGTGGTCAGTAAAGGTAACTTGCCTCTTTAGTTCCTAATAGTCAGATGGTGATGAACAGTACTCAATATGTTGTACCCAAAGGGCCACTCTCAGGGAGCTTCATTTCCACTTGGACAGGATTTAAAGGGTTGAGATGTTTGCAGGATCCTGGGAGGCATAAATGCATTTTGCATGCTAGAGGGATGTCAATAATTGGTGTCCAGAGGCAGATTGGATCTGGACTCTCTAACTGCTTGACCAATGGCATATGGTGAAGTGACATCGTGCCATTTTTCAGGCCTTAGTTTTAAGAAACTGGTAGCATCTACTTTATTAATATCTCTTGAGAGGCTTATTCTTGGAATCCAGCCACCATGTTGAGAGGAAGCCCAAGCTGTTTTGTGGAGAGGCTTTCATGGGGAGGGTCCAACACCCAGAACAACTTGCCAGCCATGTGAGGGAGCCACCTTGGGAGTGATCCTTCACACCAATCCAGATGTCCCAGCTTATAGCAGTAGAGCCGAGATGAGCTGTCCCTGATGAGCCCTGCCCAAAGTCAGATTTAGATGCATGTTAAATCATAGTCATAGTTTTAAGCCACTAAGTTTGGAAGGGTTTGTTTTGAATCCATAGCAGTGCCAGGCACTGTGCTAGCAACTTTTTATATAGTTGATTATTTAATCCTTCAAGTGATGCTATGACTTAGGCATTATTTTCTTCTCATAATAGATGGGAAAACTAAGGCTCAATGAGTTTAACTAACAGCCCAAGGTCATACAAGTAGTAAATGGCGATAATGAGTTTCAAACTGAATATTGTATCATTCTTTGAACCTCTAAAATGTTGAGTGGGACAGGTCCAAGGGCAAGAAAACCATGCAGCCATTTATCGGACATTTATAGAGCACTGCCTGTGGAGAAAAAAGACAGTCTGTCAAAAAGTGGTAGCTTAGAGGGGGGACAGACATGAAAACAAATAAATACAGTTCAGTTTGACATGTGCTAAAACATTTGTATATTACATTCCTGACAGCCAAAGTGAAAGGATGTGACTATACTTCCAGTTCTTTCTCTGCAGATTTTGCACCTGCAGAGATGTGTAGACTGTACTTATATACATGTTTTAATAAACAAGTGATAGCGTACTATAAATATTCTATGATTTATTTTTTTCATCATGTATAAGAGCCCAATATTTTAAACTGATGACCACAGTTTTTTAAACTGCTCTCCTATTAGATGTTTTTAATTTTTTTCTATTGCCCACAGTGTTGCCTAAGTATCTTTATATAAACAGCACATACATAGGTATATTTCTTTAGAAATTATTGACTCAAAGGTTATGATTGTGATTTTAAAAAAATTATTGCCAGAAAAGCTTTACCAATTTGTACTTTCACCAAGAATGCGTGAATGGGGAAATTTCTCCCCTTCTTCATCCCTGTGAACACTGCTTTTTTATCAGTCTGTTAAGTTTTTACCATATTGATGGGAGACTATTGTGTTATTGCTGTTTTAATTTTCAATTTCCTGGTTATCAGATAATTTCATTTGCTTTTGGCCCTGTGAGTATGTATGTGTGTATATGTGTGTGTGTGTGTGTGTGTGTGCATATGTGTGTGTATGGGTGGGTATATATATTTGTGTGTGATATATCTATATATATCTATATATATTTTCAAGACTTTCTGGTAAACAATTTTTTCCTGCTTAATTTTTTTTTTTCTTGGCTGGGCACAGTGGCTCACATCTGTAATCTCAGCACTTTGGGAGGCCAGATAGCTTGAGCCCAGGGGTTCAAGACCAGCCTGGGCAATATGACAGAACCCTGTCTCTACATGGCTGGGCATGGTGACGTGCACCTGTAGTTCCAGCTACTTGGTAGGCTGGGGTGGGAGGATCACTTGAAGCCTAGGAGGCAGAAGTTGCAGTGAGCCAAAATTGCGCTACCTCACTCCAGCCTGGGTGATGGAGAGAGGCCTTAGCTCAAAAATATATATATATATATATATATATGCATACATACATTTTTTTTCCTTATGAATTTGCATGAATTCTTTAAATATTCTAGATACCACTCCTGTTAATTGTTGCAAATATGTTCTTCAAGGCTGTTGCTTGTATTTAATTTTGCTTAAGGAGTCTTTTCTTATAAAGGCTTTAAAATTTCATGAGAACATCTTTCAATTTTTGCTTTTGGAGCTTCTGGTTTGGGTGTGGTTAGGAACACTTGTTCATAGGTTATAAATTCCCTGTATTTTCTCCTAATATTTATAGTTAAAAAATTTTTTTTAGCTCCTCAATCCATCTGGAATTTGTTTTGGAGTATGCTTATGAGGGAGGAAAGTCTAACTTAATTTCTCTTATGAAATATATAATGGTATCAACCCAACTTATTTAGTGACCCATCCTTTTCCCACTGAATTGAAGCCTTATAAAAATGAAATATATATCAGGGACTGTTTCTGTACTGTTTTATTTTATTTCATTGGTTTGTCTCTTTCTATTTTAGTGGATTTATGAGACATATAATGCAGATTTAAAGTATGTTTTGATATTTAACAGGAGTTTCCTTTAATTTTTTCAAAGCATTTGACCATTCTTATGTACTTCCTCTTCCTGATGAACTTTAAACTCAACTTGCCAGCTCCATAAAAAATTCTGTTGAATGTTGATTCAGATTGCATAGGATTTACAGATTAATTTGGAGAGAACTGACCTGCTTAAAATTTTTTGTTTTTCCATCCAAAATTACTGCATTTGCATTATTAAAAAATGACATCATTACAATTTATAACAGAGATTTAAAATCCTGGCTGCACATATTCATGCCTGGATCTCCTCCCTAGAGTCTCTGATTTAATTAGTCTTATAGTGATTCCAATATGCACCCAGGGGACAAAACCACTCCTGTATAGGTTTTCTTTTTTTTTTTTTAATTTAGTTCTGGAACATTTTTCATTAGGGTTATTTCTAGGTGTGTTATGTATACATTTATTGTTATTATTAATAATATTCCTAGAAGTTCTAAAAGTTCAACTTAGATTCCTTCTTTATACCTTATGCCAAAGTGAATTCCAGATGAATTAAAGAACTAAATGTAAAAAACAAAACTCTAAAAGTATTAGAAGAAAATATGAGAGGTGTTCAATTTATTATTGCTTATGTGTTAGAAAGCTACTGATTTTGTATCTGATCTTATTATTTTAAATAGTATTTCAGTCAATTCTCTTGGGGTAACAATTTGCCTAGAAGTAGAAAAATTTTTATCTTTTTGTCTGCATTTTATACCTCTTATTTACTTTACTTTAATCCCTTTTTAGATAGGACCTATAGGACAATGACAGATGGTAGCTGTGATGATAGGTATGATTGTCTTGTTTTTGACCTTAATACAACATTTCTAATCTTTCATTATTAAATATAATATTTTCTATGAATTTTCCCCTAGGCTACATGATTTTATACCCTTTCTTAGTCTACTAAGAGCTTTTAAAAAATTCCAGAAAGGGTGTTAATTTATCAAATGAATTTTTGGCATACGTTGAGATGAGCAAAATGTTTTTGCCCTTAAATCCATTAATATAGTCAACTATGTCAGAAATTTCCCAATATTGAACCACTTTGCATTTCTAGGTAAATTTTGCTTGACCGGGGTTAAAAAATAGTGAAATATTACAAAATGTGATTTGCTAATATATTTTTTAGAATTTTAAATCTATGTTCATGGTAACCTTGACCAATGGCTTCACTTTTTTGGTGATAATTTTGTCAGGTTTTGGAATCAAGGTGTTGCTAGCTGTATAGAATGATGCTATTCGGATAGAGTATAGAAGTTAACTTTGTGTATTTTCAGACACATGTAATTTAAGATTATCACTAGCTGATATGGTTGGGCTCTGTCCCCATCAAAATCTCATCTTGAATTGTAGTTCCCATAATCCCTACATGTTGTGGGAGGAACCAGGTGGAGATAATTGAATCATGGGGGCTGTTTCCCCCATCTTGTTCTCATGATAGAGAGTTAGTTCTCACAAGATCTGAGGGTTTTATATGTGGCTTTCCCCTTTGCTGGGCACTCATTCTTTTCCTTCCTGCCACCATGTGAAGAAGGACATGTTTGCTTCCCCTTTGCCATGATTGTAAGTTTCCTGAGGCCTTCCCAGCCCTGCAGAACTGTGAGTCAATTAAACCTCTTTCCTTTATAAATTACCTAGTCTTGTGTATGTCTTTATTAGCAGCATGAGAACGAACTAATATACTTGCTTCAAGGAGTAGAAATCTCCATAAAATTATCTGGAATTGGTACCTGTTTTTTAATGGATTAGAGCTTTGACTATATTTTCAATTTTTATAAGTGTATTGTAAACCAAAAATAAAACTGTAAGCCCCCCAACTGACTGATGAACCCTCCTCTTGGCCAATGGCATTCCAAAGTTAACCTGAAAAACAAGTTCAGGCCATGATGAGAAGGGGCACTTGAACATGCTTCATTATACCCTCCTCCCTTTTGGAATTCAGGCACAGCTGACCAACATTAATGTCAGCACAAAGATATAAAGACTGAATAGAATAGTCTCTTTGAGTCTGAAAAGAAACATTTACAATCTATTCTCTCTGAAGCTTGGTACCTGGAGGCTTCATTTGCATGATAAAGCCTTGGTCTCCACAACCCCTTATATTAACCCAGACATTCCACGTCTTTAGATAATAACTCTTTCAACCAATTGCCCATCAGAAAATCTTTTATTCCACCTATGACCCCCACTTTCAGTTGTCATACCTTTCTGGACTGAACCAATGTTCATCTTACATGTATCAATTAACGTCTTATGTCTCCCCAAAATATATAAAACCAAGCTGTAGCCTGAACACTTTGGGCACATGTTCTCAGCATCTCATGGGGCTGTGTCACAGGCCATTGGTCACACATATTTGGCTTTTCAAATATTTTAGAGTTTGACTCTTTTTGTCAACAGTCTATCAGTCTATTCACATTTTCTATCTTTTTTGGGATCAATTTTGATTAATTTACAGTTTTGTAGAAAATTGCACATTTTTTGAGATGGTCACATTTATTTTTAATATAGCACTTATTTTTTTATGTATAAGATCTTATATTGAGAGTTATATCTCTTTTCTCATTGCTAGATTATTTATTAATATTTTGAATCAGTGGGTATCTATTTCTACTGCACACCCCAAACAAAACTAGAACCTTACCATGTTTTCACTTCATCCCCTTTATTCCCCCAACACCACCACCTCTCATGTTGAGATATTTTGGTTTAGTTGCAGATTGTTGTTAAAAATTGTAAAATATATTTCCAAAGTGTACTTCACTGGTTTCTCTGTATACTGTTAGTTCTTGGGCCCAACATTTTCCCCTTTTTGAATTCTCTTTTGCTTGATTAAATCTGTTAGAGAAGGTCTGTGTGTGAAAGGTTAACTTTCAGAATCTTTAAAGGTTTATGAAAATGTCTTTATTTTGTTTTTCCTTTTGAATGTTGACTTGAATAAGAATCAGGATTTAGATTCAAAGTAATTCTTTTGAACTTTTAAGGTATTACTGTATTGTCTTTTAGCCTCAAGTATTGTCAAAGAGAAATTTGGTGCTGGTCAGACACTCATCCATTTCAGGTAGGCTGCTTATTTTCTCAGGAGGCATTTAGAATTTTCTATCTAGCTCTGAACTTTTAAAATTTACAACTGTATGTCAAAGGGCAGGTATTTTTGAAAGTGATGAGCATTTTTAATTCAAATGTTTCTTTGGTCTTGGGAAATTTTCTTTTTGTTTCTTAATTACTTCTTCTTTTCCATTTCTAAAATTTTCTTTTTTCTATTTCTAGTATTTTCATTAGGTAGATATTGAAATTTTATAAAAAAAAATTATCTGTTTTTCCCTTTTGATTACATATTTGTAAATAATCCCTTGGCTTGATTTTCCAGATCAACAAGTTACCATTTAACTATGAACTTTTTGTAATTCTGTTTATCCAATCAATGTTTTATTGTCTGTTTAAAAATTTTTAATTTCTAATTTTACTTCTCTTATATAATAGCTGTTTCCTAATTTATGGATATCGTAGCCACGCTTGTATTTTTAAAACTTGACACAGCAATCCTCTTCTGTCTGCTCTATGAGTTATGTTTCCTTTGGTATTATTTCTTCTTCACGGTGACTTTTATGCCTCTCTTTCCTTAAGTCTTTGATTCCCTGTTGTCTGCTCAATTTTGCTTTTGGAACACTATCTGCCCCTCTGTGGATGCCAGTGCTGACCACAGGTGCTTATCTCTGGTGACTGGGGGTTGGGCATGATGATCTGCTGGGAGGATGTTCTGGTTTTTTTCAGTTTGTCTTCCAGGTCCAAGCTCTGTCCCAATTTGCCTTCTTCTGGGCCCCAGGAAGCTGATCTCTGCATCAGTGGACTTCCCTTGCCGTCAGCCTTCCAACTGGTCCAGTCAAAGGGAGACTCCCACTGAAGCTGGAGGATAGGAAGAAAGGTTGGAGTATTGCTCTTCCTTTCTTCCCTGCCCTGGGCTAGGCAGTGGTGGTATTTTCTAATCTACAGCGAGAACTCCTGGTGGGACACTCTCTATTGTGGCTACTATCCTCCCTGGTTTCTGGTAACTGCTCCTTCTCCTCTCCCTTCAGGACCGAGGGAGGTCATGGTTTTCCACTATTGCTAACTTCTGGGAGCTTTATCATCCCTTGATGGTTCCCTCAGCCCCATCTTTACCTCTGGAAATAGTCCATTTGTAAATTTCTCTTTGGTTAAACCTTCAAGCATGCCATCAATTTCCTGTCAATACCTTGACTGAGATGATGGAGATGCTGCGTAAGTGTTTTCTCTTGTGGTACCTCCATATCCTCTCAGGGCTTCTTTCACTATAATATTTGTTGGATAATTTGTCAGCTGTAAGAAATAATCCAAAAATCTGAGTAGCTCAATAAAGATTTATTTTTCTCTCGATTACTCTTAGGATCCCGGCTGTTTCCATCTTGGGGCATTGTCCTCTTTCCAGGGCTCCTCACAAATCTTAATTGGATCCTGATCTAGTTTGGATGCTGTCCCCACCACATCCTATATTGAACTGTAATCCTCAATATTGGAGGCGGGGCTTAGTGGAAGATAATTAGATCATAGAGTTGGATTTCTCATGAATAGTTTAGCACCATTCTCTTGGTACTGTTTTCGTGGTACTGGATGGGTTCTTGCGAGATCTGATTGTTGAAAAGTGTGGCAGCTCTCCCCTACCCTCGCTCCTGTTTTTGGTCTGTGAAGTGCCTGTTCCCACTTTGCCTTCTGCTATGAGTAAAAGCTCTCTGAGGCCTCCCTGGAAGCAGATGCCACTATGCTTCCCAAACAGCCTGCAGAACCGTCAGCCAGTTAAACCTCTTTTATAAAATTACCCAGTCTCAGGTATTTCTTTATAGCAATGCAAGAATGGACTGATACAGATCCTTTACTTTTAGAGAGGGAAGAACAAGGAGCATAAAATGGGGCATTGTATGGCCAGGCCTGGAAGGGGTACATTTCACTGCTATCCATTGGCTGGAAACTAGTTATATGATCTCAACATAACTGAAAGAAAACTGGCAAATACAGTCTTTCTGTGTGCCCAGGGAAAGGAAGATAAGCCTGGTGAGCATAAGGCCACTTTCTGCCATAGGTTCCATAGGTTCAGTTAGAATGATGCCTCTTAGACTTAAGTGCCCCACTCATCACTTTAGCCTGTGCAATATGCTGCTGTTGGTCACCACTCAATTCAAGAGCGGGAGGAAGGAGGAGCCAAGAGATGTGGCTGCTCTAAATGCAGTGACCCTGTTAATCTCCTATTGTTTTTCCCCATTTGCCTTCTTGCTTCTTGGACCCATCCCCTGAGAGCTTGGAGTACTCTGTAACCACTTCTCTCTCTGGCAGGCCTCTCCTGCTACAAGTGTACAAGTGTTTGGCTGTCGTTTTCTCCAACAAGTTGATCCTGTCTGCCTTATATCTTTCTGCTTTTTGTCTCAAAATTTCTGGTTAATGTTGGGTACTGTTCCTTGTTTGGCGCAGCTCTTACGGTTTCAGTATGTAATAAAACATCTCTCCTGTCATTTCTAAGGGTGTGGAGTAGGAAAAGAGCTAGGTGAATATACCAAGTTTGCCATCTGGGTCATGTGTCTTTACCTTTTCATGAAATATGTGGAAAGAATGTGGAATGGTTGGTTCAGGAGCAGTTCCAATGTGCAGTGTGTAGAGGTTGGTAAAAGAGAAATGAAATCACAGGCTATTTTGGTAGACATGAATTGATATCCAAATAGTGATTAGTGGTTCCATACTCTCATGTTGTCTGGAATACTATTTCTGGTTCTGAATATTGCAATTTATAACAGGCAGACAGACAGACTGGAGTTTCAAGTGGAGGACATCTATGATGGTGATGTCAAGGGTTATTGTAGAAGCAACCAGGGATTTTCTGCCTAAAGAGTAAAATGTAAAGTGGGATATGGGTGTATATGTGTCAAATTATCCAGACTTTATAATAGCTCTTTGTTAATTTGCTCTAGATTTTAGGGGGTTAATATTAAGCATTGTGTTCTATTGTATGAGTCTCCCCACCCGTTTTAAATATTGGGGCAATATTTGCCTAACACTGTTCTTGAACACTTCTTGGTCTGTAAGGTGATTGGCAGTGGTTGATAATCCCATATGTCTGGAAAATTTTGTACTATTTTGTTTTTTTTGGAGTTTGGAAGTTCCCATCTTCAAAATGGTGATAATCTACTCTCTAAAAAAATATCCTTTTAAGTTATGCTATGGGAAAAAATATGTAGAGTTTTGCTCAGGAGAACAAGTTGCAAAATGGAAGGGGTGAACACATTCTCCCACAAAACAATAAAATATTCTTGTTTTGCCCCATTGTGTCTTTCTCTTAATAACAATGGTTGGATGAAAGAATGAATGAATGAACATCTTTATTATGCATAATGCTGGGGGAAAGGTTATAGTCAGTTAGCCTTGCTTTGCACATGCATCCATCTATCCCCTCTCTGACAACAAAGAAGCAAAGATTTTAGGAAACAGAGGCACAAAGTCACAGTGAAGAAGAAATAATACCCAAGGAAACAGAGCTTATATTAGTCTGTTCTCACTCTGCTAATAAAGACATACCCCAAACTGGGTAATTTATAAAGAAAAACAGGTTTTATGGACTCACAGTTCCACATGGCTAGGGAGGCCTCACAGTCATGGTGGAAGGTGAAGGAGGAGCAGAGGCACGTCTTATATGGTGGCAGGCAAGAGAGCATGTGCAGATGAACTCCCCTTTAAAAAACTATCAGATTTTGTGAGACTTGTTCATTAACATGAGAACAGTATGGGGGAAACTGCCCCCCATGATTCAATTACCTCCCACAGGCTCCCTCCCAAGACACATGGGGATTATGAAAGCTACAATTCAAGATGACATTTGGGTGGCGACACAGCAAAACCACATCAGAGCTTATAGAGCTAATAGAAGATCATTAATGTAAATATCATGTTTTGGAAATAAGCGTGGCTACCATATCCATAAATTAGGAATCAGCTATTATACAAGAGAATTTGAGATCTTAGAAATTAAAAGAATTGATTCAGATAACAAGACATATTTTATTCATTCAAGAAATATGTATTTGTACATATTTTCTTGTTATGAGTCAGACATTATTTTAGGCACTAGGAATACAGCAGTGAACAAAGTTGACTGCCTTCATGGAGCATTACATTTGTCTGTGGAGGAAACACAATAGATGAAATGATAAATGTAGTGAAAATTAAAGCTGGGGCTCTCAGCCCAAAGTCAAAGTCCCAGCCAGGGAACCTGATTGGCCATGAGAGGTCATGTGACCAACCTTCTACCCAGGGCCCTGGCATTTCAGCTGCTGTAGTGATAGGCTTTCATGGTGGGTAGTATGTGTCAGAAGTCCCCAAATATGGAAATGAGGTTAAGATGCTGGACAGTTGAAACTGGCAAAATTGCTCAGTACCATGTCCAAAACTTTATGTAATCCTTCATGTAAATTGGTGCTGGTGCAATCTAGTTTCAGGGCCCAGACCCACACCCAGTTCCCAGGATTGTTTTTCCAACAACCTCTATTTGGTTAACACTGGGAGAGGAAACGCTTTACAATTTTCTTTTAAACCATATTCAAACTGAGGTTTAGAGTGAAAATTTTTTGTTGATGCATGTGCTATGATCAAAGCTCCCTTTTTTTTCCCACCAGATATATAACACAAGAGGTATCTCAAAAATGTATAACATGCATATTTTGGAGAAGTTTACTAGACTGAGCTATGTTTTTGGGTTTGTCCCAAAAACATATGTTTTTGGGTTTGTTCAGTAAATGAACAAAGAGACCATTTTTATTTCTATTGTGAAGCAGGTCTTTTGTTAGAACAAATAAGATCTTATTTCTTTGATTTTAGGTAGCAGTGTACTAAAACATTGGATGAGCCTGTGTCCTTGCTCTGAAAGACAAAACAAGAAAATCCTAGCATGGTTAACTTATGAGGGTCAAAATATCTGAGGACAAAAATGTTTACACTTAAAAATAGAAGTAGGCCCACTATGAGTGAATCTGTTAATTTTTCAGAGGAAATGAGAGGGGTGGTTAAGAGTTTATGCCCAGGATCCAGAGTGCTCGGGTTTCAATCTTTGTTCTGTCACCTATAAGATTTTGAGCAAGGAATTTAACTTCTGTGTCCCTTAATTATCTAGGATGCAAAATAGTAAACCCTCACTAGATTGTTGAGAATTTAAGTGAGTTAATATATGTAAGATTGGTGCAGTGCAGAAGGTCAGTGGTCAATAAATATTAGCAATTTCTATTTGTAATAATAATCTTTCCTCACAAATGAAGGAAATAATGTATATAGTGGTCCATTTCTAAGACAAAGTGACTTAAATTGGCTTAGGTCAGCAAACTACAGAAAAAAACAGGATATACTAGGCCCCTGCTTGGATAGCTGATGCCTGCTTGTTGGCACCCCACCCCCGTCCCTTAGTTGCCTTCACCTAATCCAAAAAAGTTTAGTCTAAGATGAAAGTTTACTAGCCTGCAAAATAGCTTGCTTTGTCTGTTCTTATGAGCTGCCCAGCTACTTAGGACATAAGTCAGATACTTAAAGAGCCCCTGAGCTGACTAGGATTGTAATGCATTGTGGGCTGCAACAAAATGCAGCAAGACAACCTTAAAGAAACCACCTAAAGCCCCAACCCAACAACCAATAGGCGACGTCTGGGAAGATTGTGACCCCATAGTTCTCAGCCTATGAGGAACTGGGGGAGGGACCTGCACACTAGGGGATAAACTGCTTGTTGTAACTGTGCTGGGTGTGCCTTCCCATCAGACACTCGATCTTGCAAGACTGTCATTAAAAGTCTCGCTTTTGCTGTTTTCCAGGTCTCTGAGTCCATTCTTTGGGTTTGGACAAGTGAGCCTCTGTCTCACAACAAATGAATGTCAGAAAGACAGCCAAGATAATTCCTAGCAGTACTGGGCACAGTGGCTCATGCCTGTAATCCTAACACTTTAGGAAGCCGAGGCAGGCAGATCACTTGTGGTCAGGAGTTCGAGACCAGCCTGGCCAACATGGTGAAAACCCATCTTCACTAAAAATACAAAAATTAACTGAGTGTGGTGGTGGGTGCCTGTAATCCCACCTACTTCGGAGGCTAAGGCACGAGAGTCACTTGAACCTGGGAGCTGCAGTGAGCTGAGATCATGCCACTGCACTCCAGCCTGGGTGACAGAGTAAGCCTCTGTCTCCAAAAAATTAGTGAAATAAAAATTCCTAGCAGGGCTTCTTTCGTGTTGAGAGAGATAATTATTAATTAATTTTACCCAACAGGTTAATGCACTTTGTTTCCTGCTCGACATTAGCCCCGAGTTTATTTTGGGGGCCCATCAGTACTCATCAAGTCAGAGGTTCTTGGGGACCACATAAAGCAGCATTGTAGTAGAGATTGGTGGGTATCTACATTTGCCTTCCAAAATCATGTAGTTTAAGATCTTCCCTTCCTGCATCTTCAGAGCATAGCCCTGGGCATTGCACAGGAGCTCATTACTGGGACCTGAGTAAATCCAAAGTGAGATCTGAGTGCATTCTGTATCTGCAGTTGATACTCCCACAGACAGAGAAAGTCAGGTTCTTAAATTCAGAACATTTAAAAAATTTAAAAGCTAACTATACATCTGTGTTTGAGAAATCCAAAGCACATGGATCTATTTTTATTTAGGAAAGGAGACAGCCAGCCTGCCTTTCTGTCACTTGTTAGTGCTTTTTTTTTTTTTTTTTTTTTTTTGAGATGGAGTCTCACTCTGTCCTCAGGCTGGAGTGCAGTGGTGCGATCTCAGCTAACTGCAACCTCCGCCTCCCAGGTTCAAGCAATTCTCATGTCTCAGCCTCCCAAGTAGCTGGGATTACAGGTGCCCACCACCATGCCCAGCTAATTTTTGTATTTTTAGTAGAGATGGGGTTTCACCATGTTGGCCAGGCTGGTCTTGAACTCCTGGCTTCAGGTAATCTGCCTGCCTTAGTCTCCCAAAGTGCTGGGATTATAGGCATGAGCCACTGCCTGGCCTCATTAGTGCTCTTAACCTTGACAGAAGACAGGTCAAGAGTTGCATGGGGGCAGTGAGTACTGATTTAAGATACACACATGTGAATCATTCTCTCTGTGGCTGTGTCTCAAGTCAGAGCATCAGACCCTTACCTCCTTCTGCTTTAGCCCTGGAAGAACTAGATTTCTGCTATTATGATGTGAAATGATGCCTTGAGCATCTATTATTTCATAGGCATAGGCAGAATGTTTGCCAACATGGTTCACTAGGCCAGGTCTTCTCAATTTGTGGCCACAGACCACTTGAGTTTCTAGTTAAAAATACCCATTTCAGTTGAAAAATACCCCTAAGATTCTCAGGATTCTAAGTGGCACCAACATATTTAGTAAAGAAGGGTAGGCTGTTATTCATAGTGTTAACCTTCAAAATATGATGACATAGCACAAATATCCCTAGCTTTCCTTTATAGCTGTTTTTGGATGCACCATCAATGGATTGATTTGAGCCCATTATTGAATGCTTTTAATATTCAGGCAATGAATTTCATTAGAGCCTCTACTGCTTCCTCTGCCTCCTCCTTCTTCTCATTGTCATTGCTGCTTCAAAGTTTTGAGAACATGCTACATGCCAAGATCCCTCTGAATGGCTCCGCAGCATCCTCCAGGTTCCTGGACTCCCCAGCTGAAGTAGCACAAGCCATTCATCCTTTTGGTTTAGGTATTAATCCAATGATGAGGTCATTCATTTGAAACTAACAAAAGCAAATCCAAAATGTTCTCTCCTTAAGGGAAAACCCAGCGTACAATTTTCTGGGTGTCGATCTAAAGTCACAAAGTTTTAAAAAGTTGTTATGGGTACTTGTGAATTTTGAAGCCATTTGAAAAGCTTAAAATTGTAAGAGATGCTTTTGAAGCCTTTGTTTGGCTAAGAAGAAATCTACTTTTTCAGCCATCTCCACTAAAAGGGTGCCCAAGTTATCAATCTGAATTTCAAGAGTTGCAAAACTGAAAACCAGCCACTGGGAGGAGGAGCTGGACAGCTTTGGAAGACAAGGAGCGGGGCTGCTGAGTTCCCTGTGGGGTTATTGAACTTGTTGCTTTGCCTTCGGTTAGAACCATACTCACCAAGTATCTCAGAGTATGAAAATCTGCACGGCGAAAAAGTAATTTCGAAAGAAGAAAATGTTCATAACCTCTTGTAGGGACTTGCGTGGGTGTTTGTCAGTCCTCGCAATCGAGAAATTCTTCCTTGGCCCTCACACAGCAGATCAATCTCAAATCTTCTGATTGGGTGCCTTTCAGGGTGCATCACATTCAATTAACAATTATTCTAGAGTAGCTCTAGGTCTGCAACTGGTTAGATCTGAGGAGAGCAAGGCCAAGTATTCGCTGGGTATTTTATGCCTTCCCACTTCTTCCTTGGCCTTAGCCTTACAAAATGCTTATGACCCTGTCTCTGAACTCTTTCTTACCCTTCCTTCTGCTTTTTCTGTTTAAGCCTTCCCCTTACCTTAAAGCACCCCTTCTTTGACTCCTGCCTGATTCTCAGCCTTTGCCGTCCTCTTCTGCTGGGAGTCTTTGAGCCAAACATGCTACTGCCCAGGCCGTCTCTGCCCTGCTCGTGGAAGGGGCTGAGGAGTTCTGGCCCAGTGCTCTGGGCTGCAATGACTCACTCTTTTGGCCCTTTCAGTCCTGCTTTGCACCCAGGTCTGCTCACTGGCTCACAAAGTCTCAAGCCACTGATCTGTCTTTGGGAGCCTGCTCCTCCACTCCTCCATGGATCCAGCCCTTTCTTCTTGCCCTTGCCAGCTCTCCCCGGGGGCTGGAGTCTTGCCCCTGAACCACACAGTCTGTTGATGGGAGCCCGGTTATCGCCACTGATTCTCTAATGCAGCTTGGCTGCCTTTCAGCTGACTTCCTAGAATATTTCTTGTTCCGGATTTCTTCCTGTTCCTGATTCAGTTTACTTGTTGAAAAACATCACGGTTCACCATGATGCAAAGGCGTTCTCCTCTCTCCCCTGCCCCATGCTGTCTGCCTGCCTGGGTGACTGCTGGTTAGTTGCAACATCGGGCTCTGCTTTGCACCCCTTTGCACATTGGGCTCTGCTTGCTGAAATGATTTCAAGGCTGGTCCACCCTATCCCCACCCCAGTGGGTCCTTCATGTTCTAGGTTGGGCCCTTTTGCATCTCTTCCATCCTATTGCCGTTACCCAGCCATTATCTATACATTTCCTATGCCCAAATCTCACACTTGGTTGTGTTCAATCTTCCTACTATATGCTTTCTCTGTCCTAGTTTTGCTGGTCTGTCTCCTCATGTGCGGCCTCTGCTTACTGGTGAGGTAATGCGAGGTGTAATTATTGGTGATTGTCCCCACCATTCTATTACAAATATGCCACCCAAAGACACCAGTGGCTACCTTACTGAAAAAGCTTTGTGTCTCTGTCCTCTTGCCTTCCTCATAATCTCTTTCCAACATTTAGCGCAGTTGACCACCCATTCTTTCTCAAAACACCCTCCTGCTTTGATGGGAATTTGTTCTCCTTTTTTCCTCTTTGGCATCTGTAACTATGACTGCCTTTGCTGCTTTTGTTCCTGAGTGTTCGTCCTCTTCTTCCCCTCCTGGAGTCCTCACCGTGTCTTCTAAGGCCTCCACCTTTACTCTTTTGGGGAACTCATGTGCAGCTCTAAGTGTGCAGCTCGGAAACCTACCCTCCATGCTCCAGTGGCTCTCCAGTTTTACCTTTCTGATTTTAGAGTTGAAGAGGCATAGGAGAAGTTCCTGGAGCCAACTCTTTCGTGCCAGTTCATTTTTCCTATTGCTTTCATCTTGTTATTCCTCCATTCCCTGAAACAGAGAACCTTCGACTCTTTTTCCTTTTTTAAACAACGACATCCTATATTGATACATTCCTGAACCCTGCCATCGTTAGTCTTTCCTTGTAGGAAAACAAAGAAAACCTACTCACCAGAGTTGTTTCTCTGTAGCAAGAAGTCCAGCCTGCTGGAGTCGTTGGTGATCAAGTTTTCTTGAGGTAACTTGGGAGAAACACACACATAGACACTTGCACATACATGAACACACACACACACAACAAGAATAGATCAAATGGGAAGAGACATGGGTTCCTGCTTCTTCTGGAGCTTTCTCTACACATTCTGGTGCCCATTTTGGTGTTCACCCCTGGGTCCTGAGCTGTAGGTGACTGTGATGGGCTATCACCTGAGGTGTCTGATGCATTAACAAACCAAGATATGACAGAGCTAGTGTAGGCATGGTGGGAGGCATGATGGTCAGAATGATACTCTTAAATAAAACATTTATATATATATATATTTTTTATTATACCTTAAGTTCTGAGATACATGTGCAGAACTTGCAGGTTTGTTACATAGGTATACATGGGCCATGGTGGTTTGCTGCACCCATCAACCCGTCATCTACATTAGGTATTTCTCCTAATGCTATCCCTCTCCTATTCCTCCACCCCTCAACAGGCCCTGGTGTGTGATGTTCCCCTCCCTGTGTCCATGTGTTCTCATTGTTCACCTCCCACTTATGAGTGAGAACATGTGGTGTTTGGTTTTCTGTTCCTGCGTTAGTTTGCTGAGAATGGTGGTTTCCAGCTTCATCCATGTCCCTGCAAAGGACATCAACTCATTCTTTTTTTATGGCTGCATAGTATTCTATGGTGTATATGTGCCACATTTTCTTTATCCAGTCTATCATTGATGGCCATTTGGGTTGGTTCCAAGTCTTTGCTATTGTGAATAGTGCTGCAGTAAACATACGTGTGCATGTGTCTTTATAGTAGAATGATTTATAATCCTTTGGGTATATACCCAGTAATGGGATTGCTGGGTCAAATGATATTTCTGCTTCTAGATCCTTGAGGAATCACCACACTGTCTTCCACAAAGGTTGAACTAATTTACACTCCCACCAGCAGTGTGAAAGCATTCCTGTTTCTTCACATGCTCTCCAGCATCTGTTGTTTCCTGACTTTTTAATGATCACCAGTCTAACTGGCGTGAGATGGCATCTCATTGTGGTTTTGATTTGCATTTCTCTAATGACAAGTGATGATGAACTTTTTTTCTTATGTTTGTTGGCCGCATAGATATCTTCCTTTGAGAAGTGTCTGTTCATATCCTTCACCATTTTTTGATGGGGTGGTTTGTTTTTTTCTTGTAAACTTATTTAAATATCCTTGTAGATTCTGGATATTAGCCCTTTGTCAGATGGATAGATTGCAAAAATTTTCTCCCATTCTGTAAGTTGCCTGTTCACTCTGATAATAGTTTCTTTTGCTGTGCAGAAGCTCTTTAGTTTAATTAGATCCCATTGTCAATTTTGGCTTTTGTTGCCATTGCTTTTGGTGTTTTAGTCATGAAGTCTTTGCCCATGCCTATGTCCTGAATGGTATTGCCTAGATTTTCTTCTAGGGTTTTTATGGTTTTAGGTCTTACATTTAAGTCTTTAATCCATCTTGAGTTAATTTTTGTATGAGGTGTAAGGAAGGGGTCCAGTGTCAGTTTGCTGCATATGGCTAGCCAGTTTTCCCAACACCATTTATTAAACAGGGAATCCTTTCCCCACTGCTTGTTTTTGTCAGGTTTGTCAAAGATCAGTTGGTTGTAGATGTGTAGCATTTTTTCTGTGGTCTCTGTTCTGTTCCATTGGTCTAGGTATCTGTTTTGGTACCAGTACCATGCTGTTTTGGTTGCTGTAACCTTGTAGTATAGTTTGACGTCAGGTAGCATGATGCCTCCAGCTTTGTTCTTTTTGCTTAGGATTGTCTTGGCTATATGGGCTCTTTTTTGGTTCCATATGAAATTTAAAGCAGTTTTTTTCCAATTCTGTGAAGCAAGTCAATGATAGCTTGATGGGGATAGCATTGAATCTATAAATTACTTTGGGCGGTATGGCCATTTTCACGATATTGATTCTTTCTATCCATGAGCGTGGAATGTTTTTCCATTTGTTTGTGTCCTCTCTTATTTCCTTGAGCAGTGATTTGTAGTTCTCCTTGAAGAGGTCCTTCACATCCCTTGTAAGTTGTATTCCTAAGTATTTTATTCTCTTTGCAGCAATTTTGAATGGGAGTTCACTCATGATTTGGCTCTCTGTTTGTCTATTATTGGTGTATAGGAATATTTGTGATTTTTGCACATTGATTTTGTACCTGAGACTTTGCTGATGTTGTTTATCAGCTTAAAACATTTATCTTTAAACAGAAGTGATCAGGCTATAATCTCTTCAGCTAAACAATAAAAGAAGTCAATGTGTTTGGAATTATATTTTTCTTAGCTTGCTTTTTACAAAGGTAGCAACTCTGAAACACTGAAATCTGTCTCATACCTTTTAAAAAACAGTTTTATTGAGGTATATTGATATGCAAAAACCATACTCGTTTAATATAAACAATTTGATGAGTTTGGACATATGCAAACACCATGATTTCATCACCACAATTAAGGTAATAGACATATTAATAGACATATCCCACACCTCCCAAGGTTCCTGGTGTCTCTTTGTTTGTTTGTTTGTTTTTGTAGTAAGAAAACATGAGATCTACTCCTAATAAATTTTTGTATTTCGCTGGCATAAAGTGAGTAGTATTTCCTGTTCTTATCTTTCACAGATAAAGAGGTTGAGAAGTGAAGAGGTGTCATCCTGCTCATTAGCAATGGCAGGTGCTTATTCCCAGGATTTCTCATTAGGCCAGCATTCTTTCTACTATGCTTTTCTACTAGGCTATTTTACTTCTTGCATTACATAATAGTACATTGTTAACTAAAGATCATGCCCCATAAAATTGTACTGCTGAAAACTTTATGAGAAAATAGAAATTCAAAAAAGTAGAAAAAGGAATATGTATCAATTTCATTCTAACATTAAAACACAACTAATATGTAAATTTATTATATATTTATCCAGAATATATTTTCTATAATAGCTGCTTTTTCCAGTTTGTGAGATTGACATGCTGCCAGCTATGCTAAGAGGGCTCCCTGCTTTTTTCAGTTTGAAAAATACTGTCAAAACAATTTTTATTTTCTGCTTTGTTACAGTTGTTTCCTCATGTTATTTAATCTTCATCAACATTTATGACAGTGATATATAATTTTGAGCTTATATAATTTTTAAGTGGATGTTTTAGTATTTAATGTTTTTTTCTATGCTAAATTTAGAATGAAACTGTCAAATTATTACAAGCCTTTACTTGTTGTTAGTATTGTTTATTCAGTGAGTATTTGTGAGCTTCTAAATGCTGCATGCAAAGGGAGAAAGGTGAAATGAGTGAATGAGTGACTGAACTGGAACAGACGTGGCATAACGTGGTACTGAGTTATTTCAGGCAGTGAATTTGAGGTTTGAAAGATCTTGATCATTTATCAAAATAATGCTTCCCTCTAAGTGTTTGCTCCAATTCAGAACCAGTTACTACTCATATTTCTTGCTAATTGGAGCTGTCCAAGATGGTCGTAATATATTGTTCATAATAACCGTGCTTGGCTAGCTTGGCAGCTCAGCTTGCCTCTTGTGAGAACAGGGCTGGCCATGAGTGAAGCAACAGGAATATGAACAAGGCATTGAAAATATCCAATGCTGTAATAAGAAAGTCCTCTTGGTGCATTATCTATGCCCTCCATTAAAGCAGAGAAACAAAGATTTCACTTGGTATCGCATAGTAGGTCTCCACTAAGCAAACTAATGACCAACAGTGAATTCCAAACTGAAGACCATCTTGAAATTTAAATGTGGTAGCCAGCCTCCAAGATGGTCCTCAGTGATCCTCACCTTCTCATGATATTCATGTCCTGTGTAGCCCCTATCCACGTCGAAGCAGCTGGCCTGGGTGACCACTAGAACATAGAGAACATGGTGGTATTTTACTCCAAGGCTCATAGATAAGCTCTATTTCACATGGAAGTTACAATTACAATTTGGTTATACAGGGAGTTCACTCCCTGCCCCTCAATCTGTGGACTCAGTGTTCTTTTTGAAATGAAGTTCAAAAATATTTAGAACCATTTGAGCTCACTTGGGGTTTAGTTTGTGCCTCCAAACCTATAGTAGTATACATTCCTGCCTTTAAACTGTGGATTGCAAACAAACAACATTAGCACAGTGATTGTAAAGATGAAGAAACAAGACTCGAGTTACTCTAATTCTGTTATTCTGTGTGAACATTTGGAGTTTTTGTGTTTAAAATTTAACATGAATTTTATCTTATTTCATTTTTAAATAATATATATTTTTAAAGTTCTAGGGTACATGTGCAGGATGTGCAGGTTTGTTACATAGGTAAAGATGTGCCATGGTGGTGTGCTGCACCTATCAACCTATCACCTAGGTATTAAGCTCAGCATGCATTAGCTCTTTTCCCTAATGCTCTCCCCTCCCAACTCTCCCCTGACAGGCCCTAATGTGTGTTGTTCCCCTTCCTGTGTCCATATTGTTCAGCTCCCACTTATAAGTGAGAACATGTGGTGTTTGGTTTTCTGTTCCTGCATTAGTTTGCTGAGGATAATGGCTTCCAGCTTTAACTGTATCCCTGCAAAGGACATGATCTCATTCCTTTTTGTGTCTGCATAGTATTCCGTGGTGTATATGTATCACATTTTCTTTATCCAGTCTATCATTGATGGGCATTTGGGTTGATTCCATGTCTTTGCTCTTGTGAATAGTGCTGCAATGAACATACATGTGCATGTATCTTTATTTATTTATTTATTTTTTAAGACAGAGTCTCACTTTGTCACCCAGGCTGGAGAGCAGTGGTGCGATCTCGGCTCACTGCAAGCTCCGCTTCCCGGGTTCACGCCATTCTCCTGCCTCAGCCTCCCAAGTAGCTGGGACTACAGGCATCCGCCACCAAGCCTGGCTAATTTTTTGTATTTTCAGTAGAGATGGGGTTTCACCGTGTTAGCCAGGATTGTCTCGATCTCCTGACCTCGTGATCTGCCTGCCTCGGCCTCCCAAAGTGCTGGGATTACAGGCGTGAGCAACCGCACCCGGCATGTACATGTATCTTTATAATAGAATGATTTACATTCCTTTGGGTATATACCCAGTGAGGAGATTGCTGGGTCCAGTGGTATTTCTGCCTCCAGATCTTTGAGGAATCACCACACTGTCTTCCACAATAGTTGATTCTAATTTACATTCCCACCAACAGTGTAAAAGCATTCCTATTTCTCCACAATCTCACCAGCATCTTTTGTTTCTTGACTTTCTAATAATCGCCATTCTGACTGGTGTGAGATGGCATCTCATTGTGGTTTTGATTTGTATTTCTCTAATGATCAGTGATGTTGAGCTATTTTTCATATGTTTGTTGGCCTCATGTCTGTCTTTTTTTTTTTTTTTGAGAAGTGTCTGTCCATATCATTTGTCTACTTTTTAATGGTTTTTTTTCTTGTTAATTTTCTTAAGTTTCTTGTAGATTCTGGATATTAGACCTTTGTCAGATGGATAGATTGCAAAAATTTTCTTCTGTTCTGTAGGTTTTCTGTTCACTCTGATGATAGTTTCATTTACTGTGCAGAAGCTTTTTAGTTTAATTAGACCACATTTGTCAATTTTTTTTTTTATTTTATTTATTTTTTTATTGATCATTTTTGGGTGTTTCTTGCAGAGGGGGATTTGGCAGGGTCATAGGACAATAGTGAAGGGAAGGTCAGCAGATAAACAAGTGAACAAAGGTCTCTGGTTTTCCTAGGCAGAGGACCCTGCGGCCTTCCGCAGTGTTTGTGTCCCTGGGTACTTAAGATTAGGGAGTGGTGATGACTCTTAACGAGCATGCTGCCTTCAAGCATCTGTTTAACAAAGCACATCTTGCACCGCCCTTAATCCATTTAACCCTGAGTGGACACAGCACATGTTTCAGAGAGCACAGGGTTGGGGGTAAGGTCACAGATCAACAGGATCCCAAGGCAGAAGAATTTTTCTTAGTACAGAACAAAATAAAAAGTCTCCCATGTCTACTTCTTTCTACACAGACACAGCAACCATCCGATTTCTCAATCTTTTCCCCACCTTTCCCCTCTTTCGATTCCACAAAACCGCCATTGTCATCATGGCCCGTTCTCAATGAGCTGTTGGGTACACCTCCCAGACGGGGTGGTGGCCGGGCAGAGGGGCTCCTCACTTCCCAGTAGGGGCAGCCGGGCAGAGGCGCCCCTCACCTCCCGGACGGGGCGGCTGGCCGGGCGGGGGGCTGACCCCCCCACCTCCCTCCCGGACTGGGCGGCTGGCCAGGCAGAGGGGCTCCTCACTTCCCAGTAGGGGCAGCCGGGCAGAGGCGCCCCTCACCTCCCGGACGGGGCGGCTGGCCGGGTGGGGGGCTGACCCCCCCACCTCCCTCCCGGATGGGGCGGCTGGCCGGGCAGAGGGGCTCCTCACTTCCCAGTAGGGGCGGCCGGGCAGAGGCGCCCCTCACCTCCCGGATGGGGCAGCTGGCCGGGCGGGGGGCTGACCCCCCCACCTCCCTCCCGGACGGGGCGGCTTTTGGCTTTTGTCGCAATTGCTTTTGGCAATTTCATTATAAAAATCTTTGCCCATGCCTATGTCCTGAATGGTATTGCCTAGATTTTCTTCTAGGGTTTTTATAGTTTTGGGTTTTACATTTAAGTCTTTAATCCATCTTGAGTTAACTTGTGTATAAGGTGTAAGGAAGGGATCCAGTTTCAATTTTCTGCATATGGCTAGCCAATTCTCCCAGCACCATTTATTAAATAGGGAATCTTTTCCCCATTGATTAACATGAATTTTAAAATAAAACAATGAGAGCTGCAAGGTAAAATGTTTTTGTTTGGTAAGTGCAAAGTTTAGTTCATACATTAAGTATTTTCTTGAATTTGAATAAAATTTTTAAAATAGAAATGTATTTTTAACTTTTTAAATTGCTGCAAAATTAAAGAAAATAATGGTTGTTGCTTATTATTACATAATTATTATTGAAAATAATTTAGTTGTATAGAGGTTCTTCTTCGTGTGTCATATGTATAAGATATGCCTCTATCTTTAGACCGTCTTACTGGCCAGCACCTTAGTACGGTGATAGGACAATGACCAAATCTATCCCAGTCAATGTGTTCTGGGCTCCCCATTTCATGAATTTAGGGTTTTTCAACCTCTCACTATTGATAGTTAGACTAGATAATTCTTTATCTTGTGGGGCTGCTCTATGCCTTGTACAATAGGTAGCAGCAACCCTGGCCTCTACGTACCAGATGCCAGTAGCATCCCTTTCTCTGGCTGTGACCATCAAAAATGTGTCCAAACACCACCAAACGTCTCCTGGGGGGAAAAACTGCCCCCAGTTGAGAGCCACTGCACTAGTCCCTCTCCCTTTCACCATTACTGTTTGATGCGCTTAGTTGATACAATTCGTGTGTTAGAGGTAGTTGAACGGTGGGACGAATCTGACATCGTGACAAAGAAGCAATTCAATTGCCATAAACACCAAGTCCTCTTAGTTGAACTGATCAAAGAAGGACTGAGACATCAACTTTATAATTAGAAAGCACAGACCTGGAGAACAGGCCCAGTAAAAGCAAAACCTTCTCACAGTGTCTGAGTTCTGTGTCACATTGGATAGCTAGATTAAGGACTCAGAATCTGTGGGTAGATTCTTCTGGAATTCTTTTCCTAAAGAGTGTTTTTTGAGAGAGGAGGGGGAATTTGATCTCCTGCCGAATGTGAAAGAAAGACATTCTTTTTGAAATTCATCTCTAGGTGAGTGAAAAGCAGCACGATCTTTAATGAGCAAGAAACAGAGGCCAGGGATGAGAAGGGTGACCTCCACTAAGCGCCCCTGAGTGACCTCTAAAACTGCTGGATCTTTACAGACAGTGGCCTGGGGTTCCAGAGGTCTAGGCATGTAACAGATACAAAAAACTTCAGGTTGAAAAGGAAGTGGGTTTGTTGCTTTGATGGTCATGGGCTACTGCAGTGGAGCTTACAGTTTCAGTTGTGTTGCTCTCATACATACAGTGCTTAGTTTGGGCTGGTGGCAATGCTGGCGTCCTGCTTCTTTGGTCCTCCCCTTACCCCATGCCATCCCTGAGGTACCTCCTGGTGTCTCCTCCTGGTCATGAGAGTGACTGTGTGCAGCAATTCCCAGCTCTGCATTCAGTGACCACACACTGGGAGCTTGAAATTGGCCATAGGGGGAGTGTTTACACCATGGAAATTGGCAGCAACTGCACATCAGGTCTCCCACACCCTCTCCTGAGAGCCACTTATTAAACATCTACCCGGGACCCTAGGGGCCAACGGAACAGAATTGGAAAACTACTGGTATGGTGGCTTAGTGGACTGGGAAGTAGTTATTTTAGTTTGTTAAGGCTGCCTAAACAAAATACCAAAACCAGAGTGGCTAAACCACAGAAATGTATTAGCTCAGACTTCTGGAGGCCAGCAGTCTGAGATCAAGGTGTCTGCAGGACCAGGTCCCCTGTGAAGGTGCCAGGGGAAGATCCACTCCAGACCTCTCTTCTACCTGCTGGAATTCCTTGACTGTGGCAGTGTAACTCCAGTCTTCACAGGGTGTCCTCCCTGTGTGCATGTCTCTGTGTCCAAATTTCCCCTTTTGATAAAGACACCAGGCATATTGGATTAGAGCCCTTCCTGAGCACCTCCTTTTATTTATTTGTTATTTTTTTATTTCCATAGGTTTTTGGGGAAATGGTGGTATGTAGTTTCAAGAGTAAGTTCTTTGGGGGTGACTTGTGAGATTTTGGTGAGCCCATCACCTGAGCAGTATACACTGAACTAAATTTGTAGTCCTTTATCCCTCAACCCCCTCCCACCCTTTCCCCCAGGGGAATGGAAAACCAAACATCGCATGTTCTCATTCATAAGTGGGAACTAAGCTATGAGAATGCAAAGGCATGAGAATGATACGAAGGACCTCCTTTTCACTTGATGACCTCTGTAAAGATCCTACTAAGTAAGGCCATTTGGAGCTTCTGGGGGTAGGACTCCAACATATCTTATTCTGGAACATACAATTCAACCCATAACCATAGCCAAGCATGGATTTGTGTTCTGTTCTGTCTCTCATTGACCGCATGGCCTAATTTTGACACTTAGCTTCTGTTCTATAACTAAAAAATGATAGAATTGGATCATGCCATCTGTGAGATTTTCTCTCTCAAATCCTATGGCTTTCCAAACACATTTACTGTTCCTGGCCCCCCATTAGTAGGATCCAGCTCTAATTTGCTTTCATGCCCACTTTATGTATAAGGGGAGCTGTTGAAAGTTGGCTAGTTAATAGCAGTAGCTACTTTTTTTTTTTTTTTTTTAAGGCAACTACTATATGTCAGGCATTCTGTTAGAAGCTTGACATGTTTAATTTAACGCTGAAAAATAGTCCTGCAAAATATCCCATTAGATATATTCTGTGTGATAGCTGAGGCATCCAAGAAGCAGAGAGGTCACCTAATTTGTTAAAATTCATACTATGAGCAAATAGAAGAACTGGGATTTGAATTCATATCTTTACAATTCCAAAGCCGGTGCCCTTCACTTGTTCTTAGCCAAAAGCTGAGAAGTGATAGCTAGTCCTCTTTATACTCTTTATACTCTCCTACTCGAAGGCATTGAGTAGGATGTCAGGTCATAACTGGTAGATGACCATCTTCTTAGTGAAGGTGATTATTCACCAGACAGGTGGAACCCATGGGTCTAACCCCTTTGGCACTAGGTTATAATGATAGCTGCCAATCTCTGTTCTGCAGTCCCATTTATTCACCTGAAACCTTCATTTTTCAGCACCTTTAAGTCTCAGGTTAAGCTGGTGAAACCTGATTCTGAAGAGAGATCAGAGAAGAAGGAATCTCTGAGCTGCCCGTTGGAGGAACCCACAAGCTTTCAGTGTGTCTGCAATTTTTTTTTTTTTTTTTGAGACGGAGTCTTGCTCTGTTGCCCGGCTGGAGTACAGTGGCATGATCTTGGCTCACTGCAATCTCTGTCTCCCAGGTTCAAGTGATTCCCCTGCCTCAGCCTCCAAGTAGCTGGGATTACAGGCGTGTGCCACCACACTCAACTAATTTTTTGTGTTTTAGTAGAGACGAGGTTTCCCCATTTTGGCCAGGATGGTCTCGATTTCCTGACCTTGTGATCCACCCACATCAGCCTCCCAAAGTGTTGGGATGACAGGCGTGAGCCACCGTGCCACCAGGCCACAATTTTTACATCCTAGAAAAAGTTTGAAGTTGTAGACTGTGGTTAAGATCTTACAACTCATGGGGCTTAAAAGAGGTTCACACTAGTATTGATGACCTTATTTTTCTAGCTGCTTTGGGACATTGGCCCTCAGAAACCTTTCTCCTAAATGGTTCCAGGGCTTAGTTACCGTGTGGCAGCTGCCATTTTATTTCCTTGATGCCTGGGAAGGTGCCAGCAGAGACTCCTCCGTTGTCATCCAGGTCTACCTGAGACCATCTGCCACCCCTGGGGTGAGCGACACCTGCCCTCCAGGCCACTCTGCTGCTGCCCTGGGCGCCATCTCCTCTGCTTGTGCTGATGATACTTGGAGCCCTTAGGAGCCACAGCTGTGTAGTTTTTTGTGGAGCAAATTCCTCTTTTCACCTGGTGTGTACTTCATGAAAGGTCACTGAAGCAGAGCCACCCCTTCCTCAGTGCCTTGGATATTGTTAGTGAAAACAACCTCCCTTTTCAGTTGCGGTCTCTACATATTGCAGATTGGGCTGGGCCGGGCTCAGGAAACCAACCAAGCACCAACGTCTTCCCAGAGTCACTTCTTCACTGATGACAGTGGGTTGCTTCTTGGGCTATTATCTTCCAGGAAGTTCTGGTTGCTCATTAACATAGATCCTGGTGACACAGCACCTCTAATTATGATGAAAGCACCTCATACTTTAGTCACAATCCAAGGATAGCAAAAAAGATACCATTAATTGTTTTCCATGCAGAGGAAGAGGTGGGGCCACACCTGTTGGGAATGTTACTAGTGATCATATATTGCAATTGATGTTGTAGCTGATTACCAGACCCTCCTACCTCTATTGAATCATGCTTATCTTCTTGTGCAAAATACCATTACCTGTATATGTGGCAATGGAAAACTTTGGAGCAGGAGATATGAATAAGGAGCTGCTAATCAGATCAGCTAGGAGGAGAAATCCTGGATAAGAAGGCCCTGTTCCACTGTAAACAGAATCACCATTTACCTGGAACCTCTGTATATGTTTACTCAAGGCCTTAGCTCATAATTTGGGTCCCAGTTCCATTCTTTACAACTCTTATAAGTTTGCTTGTCTTCTTCCTCTTGCCTACTGGCAAGAATTGTCTGGCTGAGATAATAAGCCCCCTGTGGGAAGGGCCAGCCTCTGTTTAATGAGCTTGATCAGAGGCTGACATTTAGGACAAATATGAGAATATGAACTAAAGCTAAAATGTAATCTAGGAAGGTCTGAGGCTAAAACCGTGAGTGTCCTCAGCAAAGCAAGATGTAGGAATTGGTATCTTCCAGTGTCACAGCCCTATTGTTGTAGATCATTACCATTTATGGATAGAAAAAGCCCTTTTCATGTGCGTTGAAGATTCCAGGCCATAGAATGTCCTTGCACTCATGTCTGAGCTGGTGCAGATTGACCACCTCGTGGCTGGCTCTTTGCTCCTTTCTTTGTAGTGGGGGAAAATGGGGATTCTTCCATTGATTAAGGAAAAGGTTTGGGCCAAGATCTTTTCCTCTTAGGCAGCCTGGTAAATTTTCTCCTTACATGTGAGTCAACAAACATTTATCTGAAATGCTTTCATCTCCAATCTAACTCCACCTGCTGTTGCTCTCTGGTTGTGGGGAATCCAGAGACTCTCTGGAACCTTTTGTGGGAAGCACACCTGAGGTTTAGATTGGGGCCCATCTTACCCATTTCCTTCTTTGCTCCCTATCTTTCTCCCTCCAAAAATGACATGGCAATGCTTACTAAAGCAATTTCATTGGTTATTTTTAGAAAGATATCATATATATATAATACGTATGTCTCTGTATACTATATAACAGAGAGTGATGTGAACCGTGAGCCAGAAATTTACAGGAACTATACTTACAATATTTAGCTTGCACTGATTAATAATCTGAATAGGACTAGAAATAAATGTACTAGCCATTATTCTCATTTTAATAAAAAATTAAATTCATGATCCAAAGAAGCAGCTACTAAATATTTCTTAACACAACTGCATCTACAGTCCTAATAGTAGGTGTCTTGATATATCATATTCTGGGTAGTGAACAATCATAAAAATTCCCAACCCAATAGCATCTGTAATAATCACTATAACAGTAATTATAAAAAGTGGGCTTTCTCCATTCCATTTCTGAGTCCCAGAAGTAAGACAAGGAATTCCAATAACATCAGGCATAATCTTATTAATATGACAAAAACTGGCACTAATCTCAATTCCAAGTATCATCAATTAACCCAAATGTAATATTAATTACTGCTATATTATCAATTCTGATAGGAGAATGAGGAAGACTAAATCAGGCATAACTATACAAAATTCTGGCCTATTAATTGCACATATAGACTAAATAATGTCCACTCTAACCTACAACCTTTCTACAATAATGTTACATCTACTAATTACAAAATATTAATAATCACTGTATTCATATTTATTCAATTTAAATATAACTCCCATACATTATCATTATTACATACATGGGGTAAGTTATCACTAATAACTCCCATATCTTTATATTTCTATTATCTCCAAAAGACCTACCTCCTCTTACACGATTTTTACCAAATGA
The DNA here is from genome assembly GCF_000001405.40 of Homo sapiens. Classification (NCBI taxonomy): domain Eukaryota; kingdom Metazoa; phylum Chordata; class Mammalia; order Primates; family Hominidae; genus Homo; species Homo sapiens. The sequence goes on along the minus strand of NC_000021.9, from coordinate 35,891,422 downwards.
CTTATTAGCCAAGAATTAACAAAAAATAACAGCGTTATTATACTAACATTTATCACCATCAAAGCCCTACTCAACTTATGTTTTTGTATGGGATTAATCTATTCTACATCATTAAAGACGTTCCCCAAAACCAATAACATAAAAACAAAATGACAATTTGAAAATATAAAATAAACATTCTTCCTTCCCTCGCTTATTTTGTTATCAGCCTTTTTCTTCCCACTTAAACCAGTATTCTCAACATTGGATTAGGAATTTAGGTTAGGCAGACCAAAAGCCTTCAAAGCCCTAAGCAATATTTTATATTTTATTCCTGAAAAATTAAGGACTGCAACACTCTCTATCTTACATCAATTGAATGCAAATCAAACATTTTAATTAAACTAAATCCTCATTAGATTGGTAGTATCCAACCTCAAGAAAATTTCATTAACAGTGAAATACCCTAATCACCTGTCTTCAGTCTACTTCTGCTGTTGAGAGAAAAGGGCAGGGGAAGCCCTGGCAGAATTGAAGCTGCATCTTTGAGTTTGCAATTTGATGTGACTATTCACCTTGAGGCACAGTAAAAAGAGGGTTCAACCTCTGTCTTTAGATTACGGATTAAGGCTTCCTCAGCCATTTCACTCTTCTACCTATATTGATTAATCATTGATTATTTTCAACAAACACAAAGATATTGGCACATTATAGTATTCGGTGCTTGAGCCAGAGTAGTAGGAACTGACATAAATCTCTTAATATGAGCCAAACTGGGTCAACCAGGAGCCCTATTAGGCAATGATCAAATTTATGTCATTATAACTGCCCATGCATTTGTAATAATCTTTTAATGGATATGCCAATTAAAATAAGAGGACTTGGTAACTGATTAGCTCCCTAAATGACTGAGCCGAGATACAGCATTCTCTTATAAACAATATAAGCTTCTGACTTTTTTCACCATCGTTTTGACTTCTGCTTGCCCCTTTACTAGTAGAAGCTGGAGCTGGGACAGGATAAGCAGCTTTAGTTGGAAATTTAGCACACGCAGGAGCCTCTTACAATTTTCTCATTACGCTTCGCAGGTATTCCATTAATTTTAGGAGTTACTAATTTTATTACAACAATTATGAATATAACACCACCAGTCATATCCCAATATCAGACATTTTATTATTCTATAAAATAAGAACATTTATTCCTTTTGTTGTCATATTATTGTATTTTATGTATGTGTAGTGTATACTAACTTAAAGGAAAAAATGTAAACAAAATCGAAGTCATGGGGAAAATGGCATCTTGCTTTAATCTTCAACTTAAAGTTATTCTTAACAATCCATTTATACCATTATGTCAAATTTTAGTCATCCCTGCAGAATTTGATTAATGAAAACGGACAAGGCAACACCAAGGAGTTAAGCACAGAAAGTGATATTGATTAAAAAGTTGAAAGTAAAATCTACTGTGGCTAGAACTGAACATTCAAATCTGTCTCTCCAGAAGAAAATCTAACTTGAATTATAATGGTTCATATTTTGACTAGTTCATACCATATCAATGAGCAACTTATGACTTGAAAACACCTTTTTCTCAGCTGAATTTGACTACCTAAAATCCTCCTGGGCATGCTGTTTGTCATGTCTTACTGCTCTGAAATAATCATCTATTTCTGAAAACCAGAAAATGAGTTTGCTTGTAAGGTAAATTTCAAAAAATAATTTGGAGAAAACACAAACAGAATCAACTGTTTAAAGTCTTATCCTTTTCTTCATTGTACAACAGCTACTTCTACCAAAAAAAAGAGTATGTGAATACTTTCTAAGAACTCAAAAACAAGAAAACCAAAATCAGAAGGTGCATGAATATATGTACACATGTATGTACAGACTTAATGTCTACATCCCCCAAAACAGATTTAAACAGGTAATCTCAACATTCTAAATTCAGAAGGCAGAGATAAGCAGTTTTGTTTCTAAATCAGTGGTATTACTAGCTGAAATGTTTAGTAGAATACTGCACCTATAGTTCAGCAGTACTTTGATTATATCCCATTAAAAAAATCAAAATAATTAAAACATTCTTCTAATACCAAATAATTCTCCCACTTTTTATTTATTTTGACATACTGATATTTCCATAAACTTGCAAGTGGAAGATAAGCTGTTCAATAAAAGCTTTCTTATATATATAATATACAGAAATTATTTTAAAAGTCTGTTCATATAACAGATTATTTTGGTACTAACAAAAACTTAAGATACAAATAATTGGCTAGAAATGAAACCATCACTAACCCAAGATGCACAGGGCTTTCCTGCACTTCATTTCAGGAAAAAATTCCAAGTAATTCTTACTGTGTTAGAAGAATAAAGTACATTTGTCATAGTATATATTATCGTATTCCCTTAAAGCAGGGACTATTTAAAGTATTTAAATTAAACAATGTCCAGGCTTACTTTTGTCTGTACTTTCAGTAATAATCATATCACTGGTTACACACAATTCTCTCCTCATGCAAAAAAAAAAAAAAACCCAAAAAACAAAAAAACCCTCAGTTAATTGTTTTCTTAAGTCTAATTAAGCCAAAAAAACTGATAATAACAATTTAATTAGCAAGCTGTAAATGAGAGAGGTATAGAAATTCAGCAGTTAAACTGTATTTCCTGCCTATAGTACTGCTGCTACTTAATCTATTTGCTTCGTGTATTAGAAGAATTCATAGGCATTGATGGTCAAAATAAGAATTTCAATATTGCAGCAAATGACAGAAGAGTGAGAGAAAGAGTTCCTAACGTTGTGACAATCTTAATGATCCTTTAAAAGGTAAAGGATTGTGTGCCTATGTGAGGAAAGGGGTAAGAAATAAAAGCAGGAGGTTAAGACAGGTATTTAAAGGGAATGCTGAGATAGCTACATTAGAATATTTATTGAAAAAAAGCTGCTCTGAAGTCTGCCCAGTGTACCAAAAACATAAAATAGAAAAAACCAAAACAAAAAACAGAGGAGACATTAGTGCAAGTTTAACCTGATAATTTATTTGTCGGAAAAAAGCTAGTTTTGACAAGAAAAAGTTCAGACCTTTCCTTGTAAATACAAAGAAACACAACAGGAATTTTAAAGGTAGTAGGCCAGAAAATGCAACGGTAACTCTTACAACCCTTTTCAATTAAACAGACAAATCAAGTTGAAGACAAGCGTTAAAATACTACTCAGCCTGAATATTTATCAGTCTTTATATGCTGTTCAGTTGGCTTTTGATTAAAACAACAACAAACTTTATAAGAGCTACCACCACATTTAGAGTGATGACAATAAATGTTCCCCCCCAAAGACATTGTTTAACCTCTAAAGCATAAAAAGTTATATGATATCTTATACAAATTAACCAGTGTTTTTTACAAAAGTAATGCAGTTTTGGACTGATGATATTACACTGTATTTGTGGTAAAGTACTATGCACAAGAATATATTTTAGGCATTATCAGTCTCTATAAGGTTATCATTTAATTCTTGGCAATATATAATAACTGGTATGCATTTTGGTACTTCAGTCATGAATTGTGGAGAACAAGAAGCAATGCATTATAGTAACAGGGTTTATATCTAACAATTGCAGCGTTGAACAAATCTCTTCTATGAACTTCGTGATTTCTTTTGCTGTTGGTCACTTGCAGTAGATCCTTGATTTGATTTTTCCGTATTCATGCTTTCTCCATCTACAGTCTCTAACATTTCTTCATCTTCGTCATCATTTAGGTCTTTTGAAATTGTCTAGCTAGTTTGATGATATTGAGTCCTTCATTGTAGTGAAACTTCCTTTTCATTTCAAATTGTCGCTTTTTTTCTTGTTCTTCAGGTGAGAGGTCACTATCCTCCTCTCTGCTGCTATCTTATTCCTGAACCCTATACTTTGGCTCCGAGCCTTCAAGCAGCAGCGAATTTCTTAGCTAAGATATCTCGTTCCATGGTTTCAGTGGTCTCTGTATCACTACATACATCTTCATCATCACCTATAATACGATGGGAAGAAGTGCTTGGTTCATCTATTTTCATAAACCATAGTCTTTGTCTGCTGGATGATATGTCGCCAGGATGTTCATTTCATCTCACTTCTGGAATTTTTTTGCTCAGCTCCTCGTCCACACTCCCGTGGAGCTGTTAGGCCGACACCGCCGTAGAGGAAGTCATAGAGGAAGTTGTTCTTGAGGTTCTCCTTGATTGGCCGGTGCGAGGCTGTCCAGGCCGCCAATGCCGGGACTTCCGGCTCTTGGCTCAGGGTGGCTGCTCGGCGTGGAGTCCGCGAAGAGAGGGGTCGGACACTAGCTGAGACCCGCAGGCAGCCGCAGAGCACGCTCAGGGCTAAAGTAGCCGCACCCGCTGTCTAGGAAACGGTTACCTGAGCGGTTGTCAGGACACAACGACCCAGACGCCAGAGCCAACGCCAAACGGGTAGAGGCCTCTCGAGCGCCCTTAACCACCGGCATTTGACTCGCAGCCCGCGGCGAGACTTCGGCCTGGAGCCCCCGCGCGGAGCGACGCCGACGCCGAACACATTTATTCTTATTTCGAATGAGCCATTTTTTCCCCACTGGAAAACCTCCCTTCAATTAGAAAGATGAATTTCAAAGGTTCTGAAGAGTGGGTTAGCAACTTTCGTCAGAGTCATCTTGGAAAGGTGAAATTGATGGTTCCATAGGGGAAAAAAAATTGGTTTCCCAATCTGCTTCTGAAAAGGAATTCTTCTGGCTGAATAGGTTGGTAGCTTGAGTCGAGTAACCTTCCTTGGGACGGGCTGCATTCTTCTGCTGTTTGATCCATGGAATCTTGGCCATTTTTAGGGCAGCCTAAGAGTGTGAGTCTGCTCTGGGACATATCGAGAGGCTGTGCTGTACATGGCAGTCCTTGGGCAGTTGGTCGCGATAAGGATGTTGATGCAGACAACGTTCCATGTGGTTCCCCTGGAGTTAGCTGTACTCCTCTGGGAAGCCCCCAGGTGACCATTCTTTCAGAGTCCTCCGGAGGATGTGAAAAACCAGGAAAGCCTCCCTAAGGTCACACCTGCCTGAATCTGGTATCCATCTGGGTACATTCAGTCTCTGGGGACATCTGCTGGCCTAGGTTTATGGGTTGATGGACAATCAGTGGATAATGGAATCGGAAGCCTTAAATCAGACAACTTTCCAGGTCTAATCCAAGCCCTTCATGCTATTGATGAGGAGATGGAGTCCCAGGTAAGAAAAAGAACTGAATGATGTTTAGAATCCAAGTGTCCTGACTCGTGCTTCAGGTCACTGCTGAGTCAGGGGTTTTCAAATAGCAGTGACCTTAATCACTTGGATGCTTGTTAACCATGCAGATTCCTGTGCTACCTCTATGAGATTCTCGTTTTCATGAATACTCTGGGTTAAGATTATATAATTAAAATATAATGTGAGCTATATGGGTAATTTAAATTTTTCTAGTAGCCCTATGATAAAGGTAAAAAAAAAGTTTAGTAATATGTTTTAATCCGTTGTAGCCAAATTTTAACATATAATCACTATAAAAAGTTATTAATGAGTTAGTTGACTTTTTTGGGGTACTAAGTCTTTGAAATTTGGTGTGTATTTTACAACACATCTAATTTATTTATTTGTTTATTCTGAGCCATTCTTCCTGATGTTCTCCCTCCCCCTACCCCCAACAGGCTCCAGTGTGTGTTGTTCCCCACCATGTGTTTATGGGTTCTCATCATTCAGCTCACAATAATAAGTGGGAACTTACAGTGTTTTGTTTTCTGTTCCTGCATTACTTCACTTAGAATTATGGCTTCCAGCTCCATCCATGTCCCTTCAAAGGGCATGATCCTTTTTATGATATATATATATACCGCATAGTATATATATACTGCATAGTATATTCCATGGTGTATATGTACCACATTTTCTTTATCCAGTTTATCATTACTTTATCCAGTTTATCATTACTTTATCCAGTTTATCATTATTATATACATGGTGTATATGTACCACATTTTCTATATCCAGTTTATCATTGATGGGCATTTGGGTTGGTTCCATGTCTTGCTATTGTGAATAGTGCCACAGTGAACATATATTTGTGTGTATTTTTAAAATAGAATGATTTCTATTCCTTTGGGTATATACTCAGTAATGAGACTGCTGGGTCCAATGGTATTTCTGCCTCCAGATCTTTGAGGAATCGCCACACTGTCTTCCACAATGGTTGAACTAATTTGCATTCGCACCAATAGTGTGAAAGCATTCCTATTTCTCCACAACCTCACCAGCATCTGTTGTTTTTAGACTTTTTAATAATCACCATTCTGACTGGTATGAGATGGTATCTCATTGTGGTTTTGATTTGCATTTCTCTGTTGATCAGTGATGTTGAGCCTTTTTTCATACACTTTTTGGCCACATGTATGTCTTCTCCGGAGAAGTGTCTGTTCATGTCCTTTGCCCACTTTTTAGTATTTTTTTCTTGTAAATTTGTTTAAGTTCCTTGTAGACCATGGATATTAGACTTTTGTCAGAGGGATGGATTGCAAAATGGTTCTCCCATTCTGTAGGTTTTCTGTTTACACTGATGATAGTTTGTTTTGCTGTGCAGAAGCTCTTTAGTTTAATTAGATCCCATTTGACAATTTTTGCTTTGGTGCAATTGTTTTTGGCATTTTCATCATGAAATTTTTGCCCATGCCTATGTCCTGAATGGTATTGACTAGATTTTCTTCTAGGGTTTTTCCATAGTTTGGCGTTTTACATTGAAGTCTTTAATCTATCTTGAGTTAATTTTTGTATGTGGTGTAAAGAAGGAGTCCAGTTTCAACTTTCTGCAGATGGCTAGCCAGTTCTCCCAGCACCGTTTATTAAACGGAATCCTTTCCCCATTGCTTGTTTCTGTCAGGTTTGTTGAAGGGCAGATGGTTGTAGGTGTGCAATCTTATTTCTGAGTTCTCAGTTCTGTTCCATTGGTCTATGTGTCTGTGTTTCTACCAGTACTATACTGTTTTGGTTACTGTAGTATAATTTGAAGTTGGGTAGCATGATGCCTTCAGCTTTGTTGTTTTTGCTTAGAATTGTCTTGGCTATTCAGGCTCTTTTTTGGTTTCATCTGAATTTTAAAATAGTTTCTTCTAATTCTGCAGAGAATGTCAGTGGTAGTTTAATGGGACTAGCATTGAATTACTTTGGGCAGTATGGCCATTTTCACAATCTTGATTCTTCCTATCCATGAGCATGGAATGTTTTTCCATTTGTTTGTGTCCTCTCTGATTTCCTTGAGCAGTGGTTTGTAGTTGTCTTTGAAGAGGTGGTTCACTTCCCTTGTTAGCTGTATTCTTAGGTATTTTATTCTATTCGTAGCAATTGTGAATAGGAGTTCATTCCTGATTTGGCTCTCTGTTTGCCTGTTGTTGATGTATAAGAATGCTAGTGATTTTTGCATATTGATTTTGTATCCTGAAACTTTGCTGAGGTTGCTTATCAGCTTAAGAAGCTTTTGGGCTGAGGTAATGGGGTTTTCTAGATATAAGATCATGTCATCTGCAAACAAAGATAATTTGACTTCTTCTTTTTCTATTTTAATACTTCTTATTTCTTTCTTTTGCCTGATTGCCCTGGCCAGAACTTGTCTTGTGCTGGTTTTCAAGAACTTCTTGATTTCTGCCTTACTTTGATTATTTACCCAGGAGTCATTCAGGAGCAGGTTGTTCAGTTTCCATGTAGTTATGTGGTTTTGAGTGAATTTCTTCATCTTGAGTTCTAATTTGATTGCACTGTGATCTGAGAGACTATTATGATTTTAGTTCTGTTTGCATTTGCTGAGGAGTGTTTTACTTCTGATTATGTGATCAATTTTAGAGTAAGTGCCATGTGGCAATGAGAAGAATGTATATTCTGTTGTTTTGGGTGGAGAGTTCTGTACATACCTGTCGGGTCTGCTTGACCCAGAGCTGAGTTCAGGTCCTGTACAGCACATCTTGGTTTGGATTAGCCACATTTTAAATGTTCAAAGGCCACAGTGGTTGGTGGCTGTTACATGGAACAATGCAGATCTACAGCTGTCTCTTCCTAATCAGTGGAGCTCTTTATTAAGAGGCACAAGCTGCCAACAAAGTAATGAATTTACTGTTGCTAGATTCATTCAAGCATCTAGTGCTGTGAAGTTCAAAAATTCGAGAGCCCTCCACCTGAACCTTGTTAAACTTTGTGGGCTTATCATTAATTCAGCACATCCGTGGACAGGGATGTGCTTATACAGCAAATATGCAGGAAACCATTGGCCATCAGATGACACAGACCTTTTGAAGCCACATGCCACTCACAGACCACCGAGCTTTGTGTTTGCACGTGCAGACTATTGTGCAAGCACTGGAACTCCATGTGCCGAAGGCACAGGCATCCAATGAAATATTTGAGTGGAATTTTCAACCAAAAGCAGCTGAAAGTTTTTCCAATTTAATCTGTAAACGCAGTCGGGGGATTTTTACACATGAATCAACTCGTTTACTTTGACAAGCCCTCTCTGTGCTCTGTCCGTGCCCAGTCTTCGGCTCACAAAGGTGCTCTGTGTGTAAATTTGCAGGGGGTAGGAGGAGGTGCATGGAAGTTCAAGGCAAACTTCTCTGAAAAATGCGGCATCTGGGAGCCAGGGTGGAAACGCAGGAAGGGTCCCCTGTGTGAATTTCCACCCTCCCTCACCAGAAGTGCTGTTCAAAGGGTTGAAGGTGGATTCACATTGGAATTCTATCTAATAAGATAGATGAGACTTACACTTCTGTATAAGTATTAATATAATTAATATAATTGGTGATTATATTTGAAGAATAGTTATAAGGATATTGATTTTTAAAGTCTGTGTCTCATCTTTTTCCCATTCATCTTATGCTTCATTTTGATACAGGAAAAAAAAGAGCTGTCAGAAGGATACCAGGTATCTTGTGCCTGGTCTGTGCTTGCAGGAATGTTGTGTTGTGGAGCCCATTTAAGTGGCATCTCCTTAAATGAAAGATGGGGAGTCACAATCCATAATAACAACGCCATCATAAGAACAGTGACCAACATTTATTCAACATTGATAATGTCCATGACCCTTGATATGGAACAACTCGTTTCATCCTCACAATCACCCTATGAGGTAGACACTGATACATGTCCCCATTTCACTATGGAAGAAGCTGGGACAGCGAGGTTAAATGCTTTGCCCAGGTCACCCAGCTGGTAAGGGGCAGAGATGGGGTTCAAACCCAGGTGAAGTCTTAGTTCTTTACCCAAAAGATCACAATCTGTCATGATTGGAAGCCTCCTTAAAAGTCCTCCCACCAACTTCCTACTAAGGTAAAAATCTCTTTGACCTTCCAGGCAGATGGTCATCCAGCCCATCTTGAATGCATCCAGTTGCTTGAATGCATTGAGCAACAGGGAGCACATTACTTTGTCAGCAGCCCATGCCTTTTAAGAAAAGCTCCAACAATTGGGAAATTCTTCTTTAGATGAAGCTATTTCCTACGATTAGTAAGATTTGATCCCCCTTCAATGCTCCTGGGGTACAGACTTCTTGAAACTGCTATAAGATAGAATTATACATGGTGGGACTTAAATCTCTGTATGCATGTGTTGTGTCGAATCCGTATCGACTCCAGTGGGTGTGGTACTAGATGCAAGAGGCTGAAGAAGAGACCCAGAGCCAGCAAATGAGACATGGGTTTTACTGGGGACTTACGTGCAGGGGAGAGAGTCCAGTGGTAGCAGGCTAGACAGGAGAACTGCATGGCCTAGTGGGGGCAGGCTGAGCATTATAACTGCAACTGCTTGCAAAAGGCATGCAGCTTACATCACATTTTCTTTTAGCACCCTCCGACAGTCTTCAACTGGCAACTTTCACTTACCCCAAAACAAAGGGCCTTGATTCCCAGTATGGCCTGTGTTCCATGGGCCAGGCTCGGAGCTCAGATGTTCCTCATAGAAAAGGAACAAATCTATGTGTTTGGCGCTGTCAGATTTCCTAGCTCAGAGCACACATTTAGATGTGTCTGCCATACAGGGTCAGTCTCAGGGAGTCTACGTTATTGCTCTCAGATATGTTTACCATACAGCATATTAATTGGAAGTTAGTTTTGAAGAACAGTGACAAGGATATACATCATTTAAATCTGCCTCTCACCTTTCTGTTTCACCACCTTATGCTCCATCCCATTGAACGATTTACTCTGGGTCCATGTTATGGGTCTCAGGAGGTCCCACATCCACACCTCTGCTCTTGCTGCTCTGAATATTCTCCAGCACCTGTTTATCAGCAAATGCTGCTGCTTCTTTGAGCCTCAGTGCTCCCTGCTATGAAGTCTGCTTTGCTAAGGGGAGAAGTTGCTGTTACCAATGAGAGCTAGGTGATTGTTCACTAGGGAGGATTCAAATCAAGAGGTGATGTTACATCAGCAACATGGTGGAATAGGAGGGTCCTGACTATCCCTTTTCTGACAGATGCACCTAATGAACACCTACATATGGATCAATACTCCCTGAGAGAAAGCAGAAACTAGGTGAAAGACTCCTGCATACTGAACAACTGAGAAAGATATTCACATTGAAGCAGGTAGAAAAAGCAGAGACAGAGTCTGGTGGAGAAGAGGGGGGAAGGAAAGATGTTGGTCAAAGGATGTACAATTTCCATTATTAATAGATAGGAGAAGAGGCCAAGGCAGGTGGATCATTTGAGATCAGGAGTTTGAGACCAGTCTGGCCAACATGGTGAAACCCCATCTCTACTAAAAATACAAAAATTAGCTGGGTGTGGTGGCGTGCACCTGTAGTCCCAGCTACTTGGGAGGCTGAGGCACAAGAATCGCTTGAACCTGGGAGGTGGAGGTTGCAGTGAGCTGAGATTGTGCCACTGCACTCCTGCCTGGGCAACAGAGTGAAACTCTGTCTCAAAAAAAAAAAAAAAAAAAGGAGAAGTAAGTTTTAGTGATGCATTGCACAGCATTGTGACTATAGCTAGTAATAATGTAGGGCACATTTCAAAATTGCAAAGAGTACATTTTAAAAGTTGTCATCACAAGAAATGATAAATAGGTGAAGTGATGGATATATTAATTAGGTTGATTTAATCATTCCACAATGTATACATATATTAAACATCACATTGTACTTCATGAATATATACATTGATTATCTGTTAATTAAAAAATTTAAAAAGCCATAAGCCCCAAACACAATTAAATCAGGTGTAATTCTTCAGCTTATTTCTTTTTCAAAATTGTTCTGGCTATAATAGGCCCTTTGCTTTCCATACTGATTTTAGAATTAGCTTGTAAATATCTACAAATATATTGCTGGCATTTTGTTTGAGATTGCATTGAATCTATAGATTAATTTGACATTTTAACAATCCTGAGTCTTTCAACTCATAGACATGGTGTTTCTCCCCATTTTTAAAAGATTTTTAAATTTCTGTCAGCAATGTTTTATAGTTTTTAGTGTATAGATGAATGTTCTTTTTGTCAGATTTATCCCTAAGTATCAAAAAATTTAATGCTGTTGTAAGTGGTTTTGTTTTTTAAATGTCTATTTTTGATGTTTGTTGCTAGTATTTAGAAATACAGTACTTTTTTATATATTACTTTTTTATCCTGTAATCTTGGTAACTCATTTATTCTAGTAGCTTATAGAGCCCGTAGAATGTTCAGCATTAAAATGTTGAATTATTATGTGTAAGTAAATAAAGACAATTTACCCCTTCCCCTGAAAGAGGTGATGTCCCTTCTCTAGACCTAGAGAAAATATTAAAGTTGTTTCAGCATCTGTGTCATGCTGGAGGGTGACCAGGTTTCCTTCATAGCTATGTGACTTTAGGGAAATCTCTTCACATCCTGGGCCTGGCTTCCTCATCAGCAAATGGAAGAGCTTGAATCGGTGGGTCTTATCGGTTAAGATGTTGCCTCTTAGACGCCCTGGGCAGCTTTTAAAAATGCCTGTGGTGGAAGTGCTCTGTTAGACCTGTGAATGGGTAAACCCACTGTGAATGGAATTCTCAGTCTGTGTGAAGAAGATGATAGGGTTTCATGGGTGCTGAAGCCTGGCAATCAGGATCCTGGCTGGGAGAGGGACGTCTGCCAGCTCTGCAGAATCCTGAGAAGGGTCTGAGGCCATCTGTGCATGGAGAAAAGGCCTCAGCACTCACAGCTCATTAAAAATGCCTGTGGTGGAAGTGCTCTGTTAGACCTGTGAACGGGTAAACCCACTGTGAATGCAATTCTCAGTCTGTGTGAAGAAGATGTGGGGTTTCATGGGTGCTGAAGCCTGGCAATCAGGATCCTGGCTGGGAGAGGGACGTCTACCAGCTCTGCAGAATCCTGAGAGGGGCCTGAGGCCATCTGTGCATGGAGAAAAGGCCTCAGCACTCACAGCTCCCCTTGCATGCCAGTGGTGAGAGCTGGGGAGGTGGCTGAGGACTGGCCACGATGGCCATGGCAGCTTGAGTCCTGGAGAGGGCCCCGCAGACAGGGTCAGAGACCCCCTACCCTACAGAAGGGCTCCACACTCTTCAGTTTTGAAACTGCCTGGGCATCCTATTGGTAACATGGAGGCAGCACAGCATCCAGTGTCTCCTGTTTGGGAATTTATACTCCATCAGTCAGAGCACTGGGGGCTGAGCCATCCCAAGCCCTGGAGTATTCCCAAGCATCATCCTGGTGCTCTGGTTTTAGCCTTTTGGTACTTTAACATTCAGTACATTGTAGCAGAGCCTGCACCCCAGTCTGCCTTTGTCCCCAGACTGAAACAAGTAATAGGACCGCCTAAAAGAGAGAGACCAGTGGCAATGACAGTGGCAGCAGCCTCTCGAGAGGGTTCTTCCCAGCAGTGCTATTTCCAAATGGGATGGGTCCTGCAATTGATGTGAGGGCCAGAGCAGCTGCAATGACCCATCTCTGTCCTCTCTCCCATCGTACTCGTCTTCCTGGTTCATGAAGGTTCAGCATGAGAAAGAGGAGGGCCAGGTGCAGTGAAGCTGTCTTCGCAGCATGACAGCTTCCATATTCTCTGCCAGGGTACCGTAGTTCCCTCCCTGGACCTTTGAAGGGCTTGTATCCAATGCCCTTTGGAAATGGGATGCAGCCTGTGGACATGCTTTGAAAAATTAAGAGCATTGTATAAGCCTCAGGGTTATTTTGCCCAACCGGCATTTATTTATCTGGAATTATTGACTTTTTCCTGTTATTATAAAACTGCTCTTCAAGAATGAGTCGAGGTTCTCATAACCACTTAGAACCTCCTGAGAACTGCCAGCTCTGCTGCTGAATGCTCCACAAAAATGATGAGCAAGTGCTTTCAGTCATTGGAGATGCATCCGTGCTCCCGAGAGGACTGTGTCTCCTGCCATGGATATGTCATGTGGCAGGAAAGAGTCCGTGAGCCAGACTCTACCTGATGGGGCCATAGCCCAGCTTTACTGTTAGCTGTATCACCTGGAGCAAGCTACCTAACCTCTCTGGTCTATTTCCTCATCTATAGAGTGGGGAAAATGGAGGTACTTACCTCGAGGAGTTATCAAGATTAAATGGGTAGATCAGGTAGAACACTAAGAATAATTCAATCAGTGTCAGCTGTTGTTACCAATATTAGAAGAATGGCTTATGGTAATCACACATACTGGTGATTATCTGAGCCCTGTGTAATGGGCTGGTGACTACATCACCCCATTTATTCCTCCCAGCCACACAGCAAGGACAGAGGCATCCATTTTACACAGGAGGAAAACAGAAGCCCTGAGAGACTAAGTTTCCTGCTATGCTAGTGAGGCACAGAGTGGGGATTTTTAAAACCCAGAATAATTTATCACCTGTAACCCATTCAGAGTTCACCTATTGTTGTCAATGATATTTTAAATAATTAATTAATACAATCTGTGTGTCTTTGACATTTGCTACATTTTTTTTTTGTAGTGTGAGGAAAGTACAAAGGGAGGCCTCCTGGGCAGCCTGGGCTGTTCTGGAGGCGATTGGGCAGCTTTACTGGCCTCTATGATTAGGCTCCATGCCTGTAGTCCTAACTGCCCACTGCACAGTCCCACCCCGGTCTCCCCACAGATACCCCAACTTCTGCAGGTCCCCGGTGAATCTCATTGCCTTCCTCTAAGCCTTCTCCTCCCATGGTCACTCTTTCAGATTAATGGCCTCACCACCTGCCCCTTCATCCAGGCTGCAAATGTTGGCGCCATCTTTCACTCTTCACTCTTACCTTCCACTTGAAATGGGTAGCCAAGTCTTGAGGACTAACCTGTACAATGTCTTTTGACGGTCTCTTTCCATCTCCACTGTACCATCTAACCATCAGTGTTAGGTAGGGTATGCATTGCTGGTACAATAAATAGATCTCAAAGTAAAAAATGTCACAGAACCAATAGAAGGTTAGTTTTTGGTCACGTAACAGTACTGGGTGAGTCAGCTGGTCACCAGTGTGGCCCTGTCCATGCAGTCATTCAGGGATTCAGGCTGCTGAAGGCTCAGCCGTGTTTATTGGGCTTCCAGGGCCACCCTGAGGTCAGCTTTATGCCTGCCAGCTGGAAGGAAAAAGGTAATGAAGAGGCCCTCTGGGAGCATTGATGGGTAGGTCTGGTAGTCGGGCATGCCCCTCCTGCTCATCTTCCACAGGGCCACACCCAGCTTCAAGGGAGGCTGGGCAGCATGAGCCACCAGCACACCCAGACTCAGCCACAAGGCTCTTCTCATCTCTTGCCTATTTTTTTGCAGTGGCCTCTGGACTAGTGTCCTTGCCTGGTCTCACTCCTTATCCAATCCATGTTGCCAGAGTTAACTTCTAAATCCTAATCCTGTAGATCTCCTGTTGCCTTCAGGACAACATCCTTAACAAGGCATTCAAAGGCCTCCGCAATGGGATCTCAGAGTAACTTTCCAGCTTTTCTCCTGCTCCAAACCTCCAACAGCCATAGGCCAACCCTAGAAGACCCCAGGCTCCTTCCTGAGTAAGACATGCCCACTCACCAACCTGTGCCTCTGCTCTCAGCTGGGCACCCTTCCTCACCACCATCTCTCATGGGCTCAGTTCTGCTCATCCTTCAAGGTGTTGCTCAGAGGCCACCTTCTTTGTGAAGTCCTCCCCAAATTGCCATCAGTTGGAAGGTATTTCGCCCTCCTTTCTACTCTCCCAATGCACACTTCTCCAGCCACAGGGGAAACACAGTGCATTATGTTTTCTAGTAGAGCTCCTGGTTGAACCTCTTGCTAGATGGAAAGCTCACCTTGTATTTTCCCCTCTTAATGCAGGATAAATCCAACCTTCTTAGCATGACACTCCAAAACTCTCAAAATATATTTTCTTTTTTTATTTTACTTTAAGTTCTGGGATACATGTGCTGAATGTGCATGTTTGCTACATAGGTATACATGTGCCACGGTGGTTTGCTGCACCTATCAACCTGTCATCTAGGTTTTAAGTCTTGCATGCATTAGGTATTTGTCCTAATGCTCTCCCTCCCCTTTCCTCCTACCCACTAACAGGCCGGGTGTGAGATGTTCCCCTCCCTTTGTCCGTATGTTCTCATTGTTCAACTCCCACTTATGAGTGAGAACATGCGTTGTTTGGTTTTCTATTCTGGTGTTAGTTTGCTGAGGTTGATGGTTTCCAGCTTCATCCATGTCCCTGCAAAGGACATGAACTCATTCTTTTTTTATGACTGCATAATATTCCATCATGTTTATGTGCCACATTTTCTTTATCCAGTCTATCATTGATGGGCATTTGGGTTGGTTCCAAGTCTTTGCTATTGTAAATAGTGCTGCAATAAACATGTGTGCCTGTGTCTTTATAGTAGAATGATTTATAATCCTTTAGGTATATACCCAGTAATAGTATTTCTGGTTCTAGATCCTTGAGGAATCACCACACTGTCTTCCACAGTGGTTGAACTAATTTACACTCCCACCAACAGTGTAAAAGCATTCCTATTTCTCCACATCCTCTCCAACATCTGTTGTTTCCAGACTTTTTAATGATCACCATTCTAACTGGTGTGAGATGGCATCTCATTGTGGTTTTGATTTGCATTTCTGTAATGACCAGTGGTGATGAGCTTTTTTTCATGTTTTTTGTCTGCATAAATGTGTTCTTTTGAGAAGTGTCTGTTCGTATCTTTTGCCCACTTTTTGATGGGTTTTTTTTTTCCTGTAAACTTGTTTAAGTTCCTTGTAGATTCTGGATATTAGCCCTTTGTCAGATGGATAGATTGCAAAATTTTTCTCCCATTATAATCTATTTTCAACAGATATTTATAGGCTTCATTTTTGCCACTCTTGCTGTGATCTGGTCTGGCCACCTGGAAACACCTGTGTCTCCATCACCCTCTGCCCTTTCATGTTTCTGTGCCTTTGTCTCTGCTGGCCTTTCTCTCTGGAATGGCTGTTAGGCACCTTCACCGTCCAGTGAAGCAGTAGCCACATCACAAGCAGTGTTCCTGGCCTTCCTTCTATAGCAAGTGTCTGCTCTTCTGGTACAGCCTGTGCCTACTTCTATTCTAGTCCATCACTCACAACAGAGGGGAATTCCTGGAGAACTAGAATATCCCTATTAGTTTCTTGGAGCCTCACTGCAAGCACAATGCTTGGTGCATAGTAGGCACTAAGTGAGCATCTCTGAATGAATGCCCCACCTATCGAGTGAGCCACGTGCTGTCTGTCCTTGCCTCTGGAAGTCTGTGCAGATAGGTGAGTCTAAATCTAACGATAGTGCCATCAGGACTTCTGGAATGAACAGTTTCTTTTGTCATTCGATGCCCTTGCTAAGGTGGCAGAATGCAAGAACATTTTTCATATGTCAGAGAGGACAAGGGTAGGTAAAAATCTGGGGAAAAGCCAAAGCACATAGTGAAATACCAAAAAAAAAAAAAAAAAACAAAAGGAAAGAAAAGAAGCCTAGGAAAATATATGTGAGAAACAAAGTTCACATTCTTGAACTGTTTCTTCTTTTTTTAAAAAATAAATTGAAACATCTCCAGAGTACAGCCTTAAGAAACTTGGCTCAGGTGTATTTAATTTTCCAGAACAATCTACTGATGATTATCATCTGGGAGCATGAATTCTTAACCCTTAGGCTGACACCTACTGTTTGTTAACCACCCTGAAAGCTTTAGGAATTTTGGCAAGGCAAGAAAATGTCAGAGAGGTAAAGATGAAAGTTTAGCAAACTTAGAAGAAAAGGGCTCTATGTTGGCTTGGAGGTAGCTCAGGTAGAGACGCTGGAGTAAGACAGGTGGGATAAGAGAAGGCTGAATGTGCGACAACATCACCTGTAATTCATGGGATTTACTTTTCAAACATTTTCTCCATCTTACGAGCCGGGGCAAGAGAAACCAGCTGCATATCCATTTTTTACTTTTCTATAATGCCGGAGTTTAGAATGCTGTTGTTCTGCTTGAAATGCAATGTCAGGTTATTGTTGACATTGCTTTAAAGTTGAAAATGTAAAGGTAAACAGAGAAATACACTTTCCCTTTTCGTGCTGGAAAGAACAGAATGATAGCTGTTTTGGGGGGGGTGCCAGTTTTTCTGCAGGATGGTTTTCTCCTTGCGTTACTAGGGTTTCAGTTCCTTCAAGATGCCACATGAAACCTTTATTTGAAATGTAGGCAGACATGTGAGAGAAATGTTCATTTTCATATATTTCTTTTTCTTTTTAAATGAACAAGTAATTACCGAAACCAAACAAAGGCATGACTGGAAGTCATTGCAGCATTTGGGCAAACATCCTCCTGCAGTCTCAGCTTGGAAGCAGATCAGTTTCTGCTCTCTGCTGAGGAATTCTTTGTTGCTGGGTGGGACAGATCTCTACTCATCTTCCTTTTGGAACACGATGTGGCTTTTGTGACATACAAAACCTTTGCCTGGTCTCACTCCCTTGGATACCTTGGAGGAGGGCTGAGGACTATTTCTCCTCATTCATTAGAAATTTTCAAATGGGTTTTAAGATGGGGATGGAGCTATGTGATTTGTAAGGGATATAAAATACATGGATATTTTTTTGAAATCTCCTTGCTCATTTTCTTTTCTTTTCTTTTTTTTGAGATGGAGTCTCACTCTGTCGCCCAAGCAGGAGTGCAGTGGTGTGATCTCGGCTCACTGCAACCTCCACCTCCCGGGTACAAGGGATTCTCCTGCCTCAGCCTCCTCAGTAGCTGGGACTACAAGCTTGTGCCACCATGCCCTGCTAATTTTTGTATTTTTTAATAGAGACAGGGTTTCACCATGTTGGCCAGGCTGGTCTTGAACTCCTGACCTCAAGCAATCCACCCGCCTCGGCCTGGCAAAGTGCTGGGATTACAGATGTGAGCCAATGTGCCCAGCCTCCTTGCTCATTTTCTAAAACTATAGATAAGTACAATTTCTACCTCATGTTCTCTGGCACGTATACATTTTGTCCTGATAGCTTTAGAATGTTTTGCAACATTTTCCTCTTTTCTTCCAAGCACTTCCACCCCTACTTGCTCCGTCGGAAAGCTGAGATTCCAAGGGGTGACATGAGGGGAGGATACCCAAGTGTTTGCACCCTTTCTTCCTACAAATTTGCTGTAGTATTTTCCTGGGAAACAATATCCCTTCTGCCCTTCCTTTGCCATGCTCTGAGATTTTGTCCTACAGAACCTTTTTTAAAAAATAGATGGGGTCTGGCTATGTTGCCCAGGTTGGAGTATAGTCCTGTCCGTGGGCATGATCATAGCACACCACAGCCTGCGTCTCCTGGGCTCTAGCCATCCTCCTGCCTCAGTTTCTTGAGCAGTGACTACAGGTGCATGTCACTGTACCCGGCCTTATAGAAGAACTCTTTTTAAGGTTACACTCAAATTCCCCCATCCTCCTATTAGATGTGTCATATACCTCTTTACATTCGTTCACTCATTCATTCATTCAACATCTATTTTCACCAAGTGCCTTCTTTTTACCAGGCACTGGGCTTGGCAGTGAGGTTATAATGGTGGGCAAACCAGACATAGTCCCTGCTCTTACTGACCTTACAGTCTAGCAGGGGACACACAGTGACACATGGGCACAACGGTGAGGGAATCAAAGTGGACTGAAAGGAGAGCAATGAAAGAAAGAGATACAGTTCCATGAGCACATGGGACCATATGGAACCAACGAACCTGACCAAGAGAGTTTTTTTGGGAAGTGATTTTTACATGAAGATTTGAAGGGAAAGTAGGAATTGTTCAGATGGAAGAGGGAGTTAGGAGAAAGAGAGCCTCTGAGAGGGGAAGAACATGGATGAGTAAATACCCTTTGGCATGAGCGGGTGTATAACTGAAGTTCTCTGGCTGGAGCTCAGGGTGGGGAAGTCTGTGAGGTCAGAGCATGATGAGCATGGTAAAGGAGAAGGCCATGCTCAGGATTTTCTCCTTTACTCATGGACAGTGGGAAGTCCAGATGGGTTTTAAGGTAGAACTTTGAGAAGATTATTCTGGTCACTGTGAGGAAGAGAATAGGACAGGGCCAAGGCAGATGCTGGAGGGCTAGTTCATGCAATAAATATTGGTCTCCTGGGTCTGTAGGTTGGTGGCCATGGAATTGGAGAAAAGCAGTGAGACCTGATGGTTATTTGCAGTGCAGATGGACAAGAGTCGGTGATGGGTTGCCTTTCATGTGTGTTGCAGAGATGGAGAAAATGGTGCCAAGAATGACCCCTCAGTTTCTACCCAGTGAGACCAGATCCAGGAAGATGCACTGAGAGAGATTCAAAGGAGGTGGGGAAGAAGGGCTGAGATTTGAGAAGGAGATGATAAGGTCAGACTTGGACATGTGGAATTTGAGATGTCCAGGTGGAATTGATGGTTTGGGAGTTCATAGGCAAGATCTGTGCTGGAGATATGGATTTTAAAGCCATCAGTGAACATGCAGTTGGACGTTCAAAATTCTCCTAGCAAGCCCAGTTTGATTAGTTGTATTCAAGGGAAGATGTTGTCCCAAATCTACAAGGTAAAAAAATTATTTCACATGTCTAAGTTATCTGTTGATGAGAAAGCAATTGTAAGCCTCCACATTCTTCACTCCTGTCTTCACTCATAGAAGTTACTAACAACTTTCAGCCTTAAATCAGTACTTCTTGGGAAGTCTTTCTGTGCCCTGGAGAAATTCCTTCTACAAATGATGCCACCTCCAAGTCTTTGCCCAGAAAGGAAATAGTGGCGGTGAACATGGTGATGGATTGGAGAAGAAGCCTGTATGGTTATAACATGGTACATCTCTCACACCCAGATATCCTTACACAAGCATGGAAGGGCCTAGGTTTACCCACTGGTGCTGCATGAATAATGCCCTGCTGTCAGCTGCAGAGGCTTTAAAACCATTAAAAAACCAACCTGCAAATTTCTCAAAAGTGAAAACACATTACTTTTTCAACACTTTCAAGGGTCTTCAAACTATTTAATATTTTAGAAAAATTTAGCTCTATAACATAATAAATTATACTCTAAAACTTGGGTCATTGATGTGTGGCATATTATTATTACTACCACCACCATTACTGATCATTAGGCTAGACGTTAATTCACTTAAACCTATTTTGTAGGTAATTTCTCCCATTTTTTTCCCCAATGAGAATATTAATGCTTTCAGAGGATATGGAGGTAGTAAGTGGCAGGATAAGAATTTGAAACAGGCGTGCCTGACTCCACAGTCAGTCACCCTTAGCAGAGATGAACCTTATGTTTGGGGACTTGAACATTTTATTACTTTCTTTTGCCCCTAGATAGTTCACTCTCTTTCTATAACTGGTCCCTTTGAATGAGCTTTTATCTGGTTTCTGCTTTATTTAAACAGTCGCGATATAGACTAGCCACCTGAAAAACAGTGGTCTAGGGTTTTGGAGGTGATGTGTCAGCCTACCACTGCTCCCTCCTTTCCTGAACTGTGTGTGAAAAGTACTGGAAGACGAAAGGTACCGTAGAAATGCTTAATATTATGGTCTTCATCTGGAACCATGAGAGAAAGTGCTGGTTGGAGACGAGTGAGCTTGTTTTCTCTGAAACACTCAATTTTTGTCTCCTAGGTGACATATGTGGAATCCGAACCCTTCCATGGTGAGAAAGAGAAATCCCATGTCTCTGAAAAATAGACTTTGAGAGTTGATTGGTTAGAGAGGTTAGCTATTGTGTGGATCTTCAGGTCAGGGGTTGGGGAGAGTGGGGAGAGTAAGAAGAGGAGAGAGAGAGAGAGAGAGAAGAGAAGAGAGCAAGAAAGAGAGAAACTCCTTAGTTATTTCTTTCAGTTAGGAAATAAGGACACTTGATGTGTGGAATCTGGTATTTACCATACAAGGTGATTTTTGCCACAAGGGCTCTCAGAAAAATGCCTTCTTGTTTTCTCCGTTGTCCACACCCACCACTGATAATCAGCACCACTTGGGTGATTCTGGAAGCTAGTCTGGACCAGCGACCCTGCTTCATATTTGTAGGAGTGGGTAGAAGAATAGTTTCTCCAGTGAAAACTATTAGAGGAATTTATAGGTTGTCAGGGTGTAATTAGCTATGAAAGATATTGGCAAGGGCATGAAACTAACATTCCTCTCTCATCTCTTAACCCTGCCTCCTTCCAAAACTGGTAGATCCTCTCTGCATCCTGGCATTCTTGTGTTGTTCTCCTCTTTGAATCTCTGCCCTGGCTTAGGTTCTCTGAGGTCTGCTATGTTTTCTTCCTGTCCGTGTTTCTGCGAACTCTGTTAATCGATCCCTCTCCAGTTTGGCAGTCTTTGTCTCTCTGACCTTTCTGCCATTTTGTATCCATTCATGCATGGATGTGTATGATCGGAGGCCTAGAAATATATTTTATTTGATGCTGTAGAAGGTCAAGTTTGGCCTACTTAGAGGATATCAGCATTAATTAAGAGAATAGGTCTATTTGCCCATAAACATTTGAAATATAAATATTTGGAAAACAAAGGCTACTTTGACATTTGAGGTTCAATTGTCATGAGTTTGCCCAGGTACTCATTTTGAATAAAACTAAGATCCCATGGAAAATTATAGCTACTGCTTTTCTTTTGGAGGAATGGTTCTCACAGACAGAACCTGCAGAGGCAGTAGGGCAGGGATGATGGCTCATAGATATTTCCACCCACTCTGTGAAACAGGGCCTGTACGTGATAGGCACTGAAGTGAATACTTTAAAAATAACGAGTTTGCTGGTTCCTGAAAAGTTAAATATAGAATTACCATAAGGCCCAGCAATTTCATTCCTATGTATTTAAAAGAATTGAAAACAGTTACTCAAACAAATGGATGGACATGAATGTTTATGGCAGCATTATTCACAATACCCAAAAGGCAGAAATAACCCAAATATCCATTAATGGATGAATGGGTAAAAAAATTGTGGTATATACATATAATGGAATATTATTCAGCCATTAAAAAGGAATGAAGTACTGACACCTCCTACAATGCATTGAAAACTTTATGCTATGTGACACAAAAAGCCACTGTGTTAATCTGCTCAGGCTGCCATTGTGAAATATCACAGACTGGGCAGCTTGAAGAACAGAAATTGATTTCTCCCAGTTCTAGAAGCTAGAAGTTTAAGATCAAGGTGTTGGCAGGTTAGTTTTCTCCCAAGGCTTTTCTCCTTGGCGTGCAGATGGCTGCCTTCTTGTTGTGTCCTCACACGGCCTTTCCTCTGTGCACTCACATCCCTGGCGTGTGTTCCTCTTCTGATAAGGACACCACTCCTATGGGATTAGGGCCCCACCCTTATGATCTCATGTAACCTTAATTACCTCTTAAAAAGCCCCATCTCCAAATATGGTCTCATTGGGAATTGAGAGCTTCAACATGTGAATTTTAGGGAGGCGTAATTCAGCCCATGATAGTCACACTTTGTATGATTAAATTTATATCATATATCTGGAATAGGTAAGCCCATAGAGACAGAAGGCAGATTGGTCATTGCCAGGATCTGGCAGGACTGGAAACGAGGTGGTAGCAGTGGGAGAATGGAGAGTAACTGCTTTATGAGTCCAGAGTTTCTTTTGGGATGATGACAGTGTTTTGGAACTAGACAGAGGTGGTGGCTGGTTGCACAACATTGTGAGTATACTAAATGCCATTGAATGTTTTATTTTAAAATGGCTGATTTTATGTAGTGTGACTTTTACCTTGTAATATAGTTTTTATAATGCTGCTTTGGCCCAGTTTTGAGGACTTGGCTAGAAGCTGTCAGTTCCCCTTTTTGAGCAGCTGATGACGTCAGTATTCCCAGCTACCTCTTGTATTAGTGATACGGTTTGGCTCTGTGTCCCCACCCAAATCTCATCTTGAATTGTAGCTCCCATAATTCCCACGTGTTGTGGGAGGTACGTGGTGGGAGGTAATTGAATCATGGGGGCGGTTTTCCTCATACTGTTCTCATAGTGTTCTTGTGGTAGTGAATCAGTCTCATTAGATCTGATGGTTTTATGAGGGGAAACTCCTTTTGCTTGGTTCTCATTCTCTCTTGCCGCAGCCATGTAAGACGTGCCTTTCACCTTCTGCCATGATCAGGAGGCCTCCCCGGTCACGTGGAACTGTGAGTCCATTAAACCTGTTTTTCTTTATAAATTACCCAGTCTCAGGTATGTCTTTATCAGCAGGGTGAGAAGGGACTAATACAATTAACCTCTCAAACTTGGAGCCACTATCCACCTGCCATAATTATCCCAGGGGCAGATACCAGGTAACTCAGGACAGCCCCTATGGCTGGGAGTCCACTGAAATGATTCAGACTAGCCAATGCTAAGCCTGCTTACCCAGACTCCCCCCCACCTCCCTGCTTCTTCTCAATGAAGACGCTTTCCTTGTTCCTACTCTCTCCTTCTGTCGACCCTGGTAGCCAACACTTCCCAGAGTGGCCCAGTGTGACCCGCTGCATTCTCCCCACAGGGCTGTGAGTAGCAAATCTGTAAAACTCTTTCTAGTTTATCTCTCCTGTTTTGCATCTGGCCTTACCAGACTTTACCCAAGGTAATACAGTTAAAACATGCCTTAATAAAAAAAATTAAGACCACAACAAACATCTCCTGAGCATTTGCTGTGTGCCTAGCAATGTGCTAAGAGTTTCCCAGGATTTTGTGAAATCCTTATAACTCCTTAGTGAGGCAGGGGATGCTTATCCTCCCATTTTATAGATGAGGACCCTGACTGAGGCTGAGATAAGTTAAGCAACACATTCTCTCTCCAACAAGCATCTGAAAACTTGGATTCTCAGAGTTACATATGATTTTTGGTTGGAGGTAGAGTTGTTTTTGTTTTGTTTTCAATTGCTTCAATTTTGAAAGAATGCTGCTCTACTCTGAATTTGGACACTGGTTGATAAGTGAGTCAGAGGCTTTGGTTCTGGTTTTTATTTTTTGAGATGGAGTTTTGCTCTTGTCACCCAGGCTGGAGTGCAATGGCACGATCTTGGCTCACTGCAACCTCCGCCTCCCGGGTTCAAGCGATTCTCCTGCCTCAGCCTCCCGAGTAGCTGGGATTACAGGCGACTGCCACCATGCCCAGCTAATTTTTGTATTTTTAGTATAGACAGGGTTTCATCATGTTGGCCAGGCTAGTCTCGAACTCCTGACCCTGACCTCAGGTGATCTGCCCGCCTCGGCCTCCCAAAGTGCTGGTATTATAGGCATGAGCTACCACGACCCGCCTTTTTTTTTTTGGAATGTTTGTAAAGAAGTAATTCTGGGTGGATTCAGAAATGTGCTTTCAAATACTCTGGGGGTCATGAAATTTAAAGGGGCAGTAAGACTTCTTTTTTCTTTTTTTCTTTTTTCTTTTTTTAGACAGGGTCTTGCTCTGTCACTCAGGCTAGAGTGCAGTGGTGTGATCATGGCTTACTGCAGGTTCAATCTCCTGGGCTCAGTCGATCCTCCCACCTCAGCCTCCTGAGTAGCTGGCACCACAGGTGTGTACCACCACACCTGGCTAATTTTTAAATTTTTTTACAGAAACAGGGTCTCCCAGTGTTGCCAGGGCTGGTGTTAACTTTTGGCTTCAAGGAATCCTCCCTTGAAGGCCTCCCAAAGTACTGAGATTACAGGCGGGAGTCCCCGTGCCCAGCTTGGGCAGCAAGACTTCTTAGTTAGGGTCTCATGATTGGAGGGTCCCTGGAGGGCAGGCAGGATGGTATTAGGGTGGGCACAGGGATCATTTAAGATGGTATCTGGTTCTGAACTCATATTTGACTGGTCGATCAACAAGTTACCTTGTAAAATTTTCATTTATAAAATTTTAGCATATAAGCTCATTGTATCTGTGACTAGGGACTTAAGTGTCTTCACATACACAGGCTCTAAAATGTCTGGGTTGATCAGATTTTGCATGATCTGTTTTTTTGCTTTGTAGTTTACTGTACATGATTTTATGAAGACTTTACTATTAGGACCTGCCTATGATACTGGGATACTTTTTTCTTTCTCCATTCATTTGCCCACTCACTCACTTGCTTGGGCAATTGATAGCTCACTCACTCCTAGATTGATTGAGTCATTTAATCTATATGAATAATACATGAAAAGTTGCTAGTATAAATGCAAACAGAACAAAAATATATTGAGCAAAACATAAACCTGCTCCTGTACTGAGTCTCCTGGTTCCCTCCCCCTCTTACTCCTGGCCCCTCAGTGCCACCCACCATTCAGAGTTGGTGGTTTGGTATGAAAGTTTCAAGACTTCTAGACATTTCTTTTTGTAGATGTCTATCATAAGGGTTTCACCATGTGGTATCCCTAATCGTAATGGATTCACTTTTTTTGAAAATCTTTTAAAAATAACATTTTTTTCATTTTTATCATTTTTGAAAAAAACCCCATCAAAAAGTGGGCAAAGGATATGAACAGACACTTCTCAAAAGAAGACATTTATGCAGCCAACAGACATGAAAAAATGTTCATCATCACTGGCCATCAGAGAAATGCAAATCAAAACCACAATGAGATACCATCTCACGCCAGTTAGAATGGCAATCATTAAAAGTCAGGAAACAACATGCTGGAGAGGATGTGGAAAAATAGGAATGCTTTTACACTGTTGGTGGGAGTGTAAATTAGTTCAACCATTGTGGAAGACAGTGCAGTGATTCCTCAGGGATCTAGAACTAGAAATACTACATGACCCAGCGATCCCATTAGTGGGTATATACCCAAAGGATTATAAATCATGCTACTATAAAGACACATGCACACGTATGTTTATTGCGGCACTATTCACAATAACAAAGACTTGGAACCAACCTAAATGTCCATCTATGATAGACTGGATTAAGAAAATGTGGCACATATACACCATGGAATACCATGCAACCATAAAAAAGGATAAGTTCATGTCCTTTGCAGGGATGTGAATGAAGCTGGAAACCATAATTCTAAGCCAACTATCACAAGTACAGAAAACCAAACACCACATGTTCTCATCATAGGTGGGAGTTGAACAACGAGAACACATGGACACAGGGTAGGGAACATCACACACCAGGGCCTGTCGGGGGGTAGGGGGCTGGGGGAGGGATAGCATTAGGAGAAATACCTAATGTAAATGACAGGTTGATGGGTGCAGCAAACCACCATGGCACATGTATACCTACGTAACAAACCTGCACGTTCTGCACATGTACCCTAGAACTTAAAGTATAATGATAATAAAATAACAATTGTTTTACTTTTAAATTCATTTTTAGACCATTTTATTTTACTAGAATTTTGTCAGTTACTCTAGAAATTTCCTTGCTTTTGCCCAAAGTAATCACTATCCTGGCTATTATATTGATAAATCCTTTGCATCTTTTTGTATTAATTAAAAACACGTAGCTCTAAATGCTGTAGTTTTTCCCATTAAAAAAGCCTATATGTGTGTGTGTAAAATTTTAATACATAATTTTATATATGTCTTTCTGTCTGTCTGCTGTCTCTTAGCTTACAGGTTTTCCTCCATCTATTTTTCTTACAGTTTATGTATTGAAGAACCTGGGCCGTTTGACCCACGGAGTGGTTCTCAATCTGGATTTGGCTGATTGGGCACTCATGTTGCAGGTTAACATGCTCCTCGGTTTTCTGACCTCCTAGAAGTTGGCAGCTGGATCCAGAAGCTTCAACAGCCTCAGGTTCAGCCTCCTGGGCTGGCGGATTGTAGGTGAGTCTGTGTTCTTTCACATGCCTGTTGGCTCCTTGTTTTTGATGTTGGCAGATGTGATGCACATTGCCTAGATCCATTCTTTCACTGCAGGGTGCAGACTGTTGATTTCTGATTCTGTCACTCTGCTTTGATTTATTAGCTGTAATGATTTTATTAGAAAATTCTTTCTTTCATCTACTAGTTGGTTATTTACTGGCTTAGTTCATAAGGAATCTAAAATAAATGTTTTACGTTTTCCTTGTATTTACTAAGTTTTCAAGATAATGCTGTTGACTTTCAAAAGTTTATCAAGTAGGTTTGAAAAAATACCTTTATGAACTCATGGGTTTAAACTTATTTGATCAGTTTTAATCCATTGCAATTCTCATCTTTATGAGAGTTCAAATTGCCCCATCCTTGACCAGAGGGAGATCTTCAGGTTGAGCTACTTTGACCAGTGGCTGTTGAGTCTTTTTTTTTTTTTTTTTTTTTTTTGTTTGTTTGAGACAGGGGGTCTTGTTCTCTCACCCTGGCTGGAGTGCAGTGACGTGATTTTGGCTCACTGTAGCCTTGACCTCCTGGGCTCAAGCAATCCTCCTGCCTCAGCCTCCTGAGTAGGTGGGACTACAGTTGTGCGCCACCATGCCTGGTTAATTTTTTATTTTTTGTAGATCCAGGGTTTTCCCTTGTTGCTTAGGCTCATCCCCAACTTCTGGGCTCAAGTGATCTTCCTGCCTCAGCCTCCCAAAATGCTGGGATTATAGGCATGAGCCTAATTAATATGGGATATTAATTATCAATCTAGAAAGACATAAATGTATTGCTTGGAAAGAAGAAAGGATCCATTGACAAAGAAGAGATACAAAGATTTGATCTTGATTTATCTCAGGTAGATGTCAACTTCTGCCATATTTTCTTGATCATTAACTGAGACCTCATCCCTCTTCTTCCCCTACTTTTTTCCTTTAAAGCCAAATAAAAATAAACAGAACTAGTATTATTTTGCATTGAGTATCCCAAGTAGATTTAGAATGTTGGTTTCAAAGTAAATAAACAAGAGACGGATGCAATGGAATTTCATAACCATGATGGACTTTGGGGTGTAATAATTTTCTTAGGCAAGCTTATAAAAACAGTGTTTTCTCCCTGTAGTCTGTCCTTAGGGACTAATGTTCTAAAAAGAGAGAACAATTTTCCAGTAAAATTAACTCTGTGAAGATTTTATGGATTTTAAAGACATACCACTTTGTGTGTGTGTGTGCAAGGCTCTTATAGACAGGCTGCTGTGTAGCAGTGGGGACCTCCATGGTGAGTTATGTTCTTGTCCTTATGTCATGGGAGCAGGTAGACATAAATACTTTCATGCATGGAGCTTCTGGATCCTTTGTCTAAAATTCTGCCATCTTTTCTAATAGATTGCAAGTTCTCTTTAAAAGTGGAAACACCCCTTAAAGATATGAAGCAAATCTTCATCATTTGGAAGGCAGTATATAACTCACAAATGGGTTGTCTTCAAAGGTTGTTTATAAGGCACTGGCTTGAAACTGCATTTATCTATGGACCTATGATAGGTTCTTAAGGCAGCAGATTAACACTTACCAAGCCCACCATATTCATTTTGGTAGCACTGAAGCAATACTATAGACCCTAGCACCAGGCGTGACTGTGTTCTGGAGCAGTGGTTCTCAACCAGGCCATTGAAGGCAATTTCTTAAAAGCCCTGCCGGCCTGGGTACCTCACACCACTCCTGCACTAACCTACTTAGAGTGTGGCTCTTTGCAGCTTACTCCTGTGCTCAAGGTCATGAATGCTCCTTACTCTCAAACAGAGGCCCACTCTTCAGGTAGTGTTCAAGGCCATCAGCCACATGCTTCGTCGTTCCTGTGCCACCATGTGCTATTTCCCCATATGAACACATGCCATGTTAAGCTTTAGTTGAACATGCCCTACCCTCCTCGGTTTCTCACCTTGCTTGCTGTCCTTGGCACCAAGAATTTAGTTCCCATTTGTGGCTGCCTAATACATAACCTCTTCTTTGCTGGCTTATTTCATATGCCACCCCCTTTTCTGATTTTTCCCAACTAGAGCTCACTCTTTCCTTCTTGATATTTTCGCATCCCACTCTTACGTTATCTGTGTTATGGCACATAATACTGCCCTTACAGGGTAATGTTGGTGGGCTGTTGTCCAGCCCAGTGCATCCCTAGAGGGCAGGGTCTCTTGTTTTATCGACCTATGAGGATCAGTGCCTAGCAATGTGCTTGGGATATGGTGGCTGCATGACAAATTCTGGAGCTATTTCACTGCCTCTCTATTCCACAACCACTTGCATACATACTGAGAGCAGGAGGGCAGCATGTGTGGGTGCTGGTGGGAAGCCAGAGAGGGAAGCTATCTGTATTGCATTCAAACATTAATGTCCACAGAGAGCTCTAAGTGCTGTCTACCTTTGGCTTTGAGTCAGATGTAATAAAACAAAATCAGCCATTATGAGTAATGCTTTTCAACTTTTGTTGTAAGGCTCACAAAAGATGTTTGCTGTCCCTGACTGGTGTCAGATGCAATAAATATAATTAGTCTCTGGAAACACATAGATGAAATTACTTTAATCATGGCTTTCATTTGTTTCTAGCCCCTGAATCTCATGGGCATGGAGCAGACCACTGGCTTTTGCCTTCGGAGGCACCTCGAGCCCGTCTCCTGGGTTTGGCTTTAGGGATAGTGTCTCTTTCTGGGAATTTTAAACTTCAAAGTGGAAAACCCTGGGCTCTCCACATCCATCTCCTGGGGACTTACTGAAAGAAAGTTTATTTGCCCAGGAGAGGTGACCTTTCCTTTCATCTCTGACTATGTTTTCACATCTAATAAAGTCAAGATGGAACTTGGCACCTGTTTTCCTCAGGACAAATTCAATGAGGACACAGTCCTGGAAGTGAGTGGCACTGAGTTCTTTCCTTCATCTTCGTATCACCAAAGAACTGCTCTCCATAGAACACTATGGATCTGGAGCGACTATCAGGTACAAATCATCAACTTTAGGAGTTAGAGGCATCCTTAGAGTTCGTTCAGGCCAATAGCTCCATTTGATAGATAAGAAACCAAGGCTTGGTGAGCTGACATGTCTTGCTGGAAGCACATCGTGTCTGGGTGTCAGAGGCTGACTGAGAATCAGCTCTCTTCCAGGATTGTTTCCACCTCAGGTGGGACTCTATTATTTCACAGATTCCATGATGAAAAGGTTTGGCCAAGAAGAGCATGCATTTATTGCATTCATTTAACCAATATCTGTGGAAGGCTCACTCTAGGGCAGGTACTTTCTAGGTGTATAGGATACAGTGATAAACAAGACAGATACAATGCCTGCCCTGGTGAATCTTCCAGTTTGCTGGAACAGCCAGATATAAGAATTGTTTAATGAATTTTGATGAGTGTCATGATGGGAAAGGGTAGGGTGCCTGGAACCTCTAACTGAAGGATGTCAGGATCAGGCTGGTGGGGAGCCTGAGAATGCTCCAAGAGGGGATGGTGCATGCAAAGGCCTGGGTTTCAGCCAGAGCGTCCTCTCTGGCTACATTCAGGTCCACACTTCCTCTAAACACCTTCATGGCCACACCCTGCTTCTCGCCCCAGCCTCGCCTCTCCTACCTGCTAGCTAACATACCTTCAGCATTCTTTTTTAAAAATTTGTCCAGGGTTTCCTTTATTTTCATGCCTTTGCACACCCTGACCCTCTACTGAAAATGTAAATTGCTTTCAATTCCACTTGTGCTTTAGGATTCAGCTTTCAATTCAATTCCCCTGGGCTGTGTGGCTGATTATTCTTTTTGATATCATAGCACCTTGCAGGTACCGCTATTGGACTTTATAATGTTTAATGTAATTATCTGCTTGCTTATCTAACTTGTTCCTTGCTGGTTTATGAGCTCTTAAGTGGGGGTCAAAGGTGTGTCTTATTTATCTCAGTATACTAGAACATTGCCTTGAACTAATAGTTACTTCCAATGAACGCTTGTTGTATGAATAGATGGAGAAATATCAGTCTCCTGACACCAGTCCGGGTCTCCTTTCTCCTCCTTCCTTTCCTTTCCCTTTTCTGCCTTTTCTATCCTTCCTCCCTCCCTCTCTTTTCCCTCCCTCCCTCCCTCTTTCCCTCCCTCCTTCTTTCCTCCCTCTCTTCCTTCCTTCTTTCCTCCCTCTCTTCCTTCCTTCTTCCTATCCATCCAACAGATGTTTTTGAGAATCTACCATAGGCTTGGCCTTGAGCAACTCATGCCCCAGTGGAAGAGTTGGATGGGTAGTTAGATAAATAATCATTTAGCACAGTATTTAATGTTAAAGGAGTTTTTAAAAAGCTCCAGAGCACCAAGGGTGGATCAACTGTTTAGAGTCATCCAGGACGGCCTCCCGACCCGAGAGGTTTGCCAGGTGAGGAAAGGGAGCAGGAAGCATGCTGCTCTGGAGACAGCAGAACATGCAGAGAAAGGCCCTGAGTTGTGAAAAGTGGAAGTTGACTGTTCTTGGAATGGTGGGTATGTAGGGCTGTGGGGGAGTGAGGGAAGGAAAGGGTGGGTAGGAGCAAAGGCTGGATGGAAAATGCTCTTGCTCACCTTTCTAAACAATTTGGGTTTTATTATGTAGGCACTGGGAATCCTACTGAGGTTTTTAAACAGAGGAATTCTCCCCTGTTTTGTAGGAAGCTGTAGGTGCCTGTATTTATGGGTTACATGAGCTGTTCTGATACAGGCATGCAATGTGTAATAATCACATCAGGGTAAATGGGATATCCACTCCCTCAAGGATTTATCTTTGTGTTACAAATAATCCAATTATACTTTTAGCTATTTAAAAATGTACAATTAAGTTATTTGTGACTATTCACCCTATTGTGCTTGCAAATACTAGGTCTTACTCATTTGTTCTAACTCCTTTTTGTATCCATTAACCATCCCCACTTCCCCCCGACCTCCATATTGCCCTTCCCAGCCTCTGGTAACCATCCTTCTACTCTCCATCTTCATGAATTCAATCAATGTTTAGTTCCCACAAATGAGTGAGAACATGGGATATTTATCTTTCTGTGCCTGGCTTATTTCACTTAACATGATGTCCTCCGAAGGAGCTGCCTTTCCTCCAGTGACCACCCCAGGCCTTTCTTCTCACTCCACCTGTATCCGTGAGCAAACCCTGCTGATGCGTGCTACCATGTAGCCTCCCTGGGATTATCATAAGAGGAAGTAACATCTGCCATGTGTCCCCTGCCTCTGCATTCCCCTTCTTTTTCAGCAAGGCCTGATCTGAGGACACAGGCCATTACTAGCACTGGGTAGAGATCAGCACAGCAGGAGAGAAGAAAAGGGCAGGGGACGCAGCCTGCACATCTGCAACCATCTGTCACCTTTACCTCTGATGAAATGGGACTTTTAAAACGATAGTCCCATTTATGCTCCGTATTAGGCATCTCACTTCCCTTAATAATCCTTATTAGCCAGATAATCTGTTGTTTGGCACTGACTTAAACATATGCTTACTGAAGTTTGCTATTTTAGAGCTGACGAAAGCACTCATTCTTCCCTGGGTTCCTCTTGTTGTTGTAACAACAATGCTAAATCCTCACTGACTGATTTGAGGAGGCTGTTGAACTTGATAGTAACAATGACAGAATGGAGTGCTTATATTAGGCCCACAACCCATTGAAGTGCTGCCACTGCATAATTAATCAGGCCAGCTAAAATTCTACATCATTGTAATAATATTTACTCTGAAAACTCACAGTTGGACTAAAGTTTCTCTTGCAGGCTCTGCTGACATCAAGGAATCTTAAACTTCCTTTTTGACAGGGAGGTTTATTAGGGCCTTATTTTGGCAGTCCAAACACAATTCCTCTTGCAGGTGCTTATTGAATACAGGGACTCTTAGGGGTTGACATTGGATTAGAGATGATCTGTTCAGTTGTTTCCAAACCTGGCTGAAACATAGAATCTACTGGGAAGACCTCAGAAATTTCTGGATTGCTGGGCTTCGTCTCTGGGAGCCTGATTCAGGAGGCAGGGTGGAAGCAGAAAATTGCAGATATGTTTTCTTAAACACCCAGGTTGTTCTTCTAACAATGAGAACTGCTGATTCCATTTTGAGGACACTGAAGGCTACAAGGTTGAAGTCACTTGGAAGATGAAATCAATCCTGAAGTCTCCTGGATTTTTCTGAGTGGAAGAGAAGCTGATACTAGGGACTTCTGAGAAATACTTTTAAGAAAAGTCCCTAGTTTTGACATAAGGGCAGCACTTTCACAGTATTTCTAAGAGTGGATTTCCTAACTGTCCTCAGAGAACCCCTTGGGTGCTTGTGAAGTGTGCAGGTGCCTGGGGTCTCCCATTGTATTGAAATCTCTGAGGTGGGCCCACGAATCTGTACTTAAATAAACCCCTCAGGTATTTCTGACACATATTCAAGTGTGAGAGCCGTTGGGTTTCTTCTGTCTCTTTTTTTCTTTTGAGATGGGTCTCACTCTGTTGCCTAGGCTGAGTGCAGTGGCATCAACAGAGGTCACTGTAGCCTCGAACTCCTGGGCTCAAAGGACCCTCCCACTTTAGACTTCTGAGTAGCACTTACAGGTGCATGCCATCACACCTGGATAATTTTTAAATTTTTTGCAGACACAGGGTCTTGCCATGTTACCCAGCCTGGTCTCAAACTCCTGGCCTCAAGCGATCTTCCCACCTCAGCCTCCCAAAGTGCTGGGATTATGGGCATGAGCCACTGTGCCTGGTGCCTTAGATGAGCTGGCATCTCCTCGTTCATGGTGGATGCTCAGTGCCATATGTTGAGCTCATCAGAGTTGAAATTTGCAAGCACTGACGCTTCAGGGATCATCCTGCCTCTCTTCTTGCTTCATTTAGCAATGTAAGCTTCACATTCTGTAAATGCTGTACTCTGGTGCTTTCCATGTGCAAAGCTCTTTCTCTTTATCATCATCTGTCTCCCTGCATCATTCTTGGGCTGCTCCTTATCTCTTTCCTGGACTCCTCTTTTTCCACTGGCCCCTCCTGGGTAATCAGTTGCATGACCTCTCTTGTTTTCCATGGTGATAGCAGTGATGATTTCCAAATGTCTTTCACCAGCCCAGACTTACTTCTTGAGCTTCAGACCCACATACACAGCAGCTTGTCAAGCACCTGCCTTTTGAGTGGCACACGGACCCCTCAAATCCACATGGCTGAATGGAGCACATGATCTTTCCCCAGCACTGGTTCTCGTCCTCCCTCCTATACTTGAGTTGGTGGATTTGCCTCTTTTTTCTTATTTATTTTTTAAAAATTAATTTTTTTATTTTTGTGGCCTATATTTATGGACTACATGAGATATTTTGATACAGGCATGCAATGTGTAATAATCACATCAGGGTACAAATCATCCAATTATACTCTTTTAGTTATTTTAAAATGTACAATTTTTTTTTTTTACTGTATTTACCCCATTGTGGCTTGCAAATACTAGGTGTTACTCATTTGTTCTCATTATTTTTTGTACCCATTAACT
Organism: Homo sapiens; assembly: GCF_000001405.40. NCBI lineage: Eukaryota > Metazoa > Chordata > Mammalia > Primates > Hominidae > Homo > Homo sapiens. Next base: position 35,856,765 of record NC_000021.9, on the reverse strand, counting down.
ATCCCCACTTCCCCTCGACCTCCCCACTACCCTTCCTAGCCTTCCTTCTACTCCCCATCTCCATGAGTTCAGGTGTTTTACTTTTTAGCTCCCGCAAATAAGTGAGAACATGTGATGTTTGTCTTTCTGTGTCTGGCTTATTTCACTTAACATAATGTCCTGTGATGGAGCTGCCTTTCCTCCAGTGACCACCCCAGGCCTTTCTTCTCACCCCACCTCTATCCATGAACAAACCCTGCTGAGGCGTGCTACCAAATACCCCTGAAATGCACTCTGCTTTTTCTCTCTGGTGCCACTGTCTCACCCCAGACCCTCATTGTTCCTCTCTTGAACCTTGATAGCAGCTTCCAAGTGAGTCTCCTTCCCACCAGGCTTGCCCTTCCCATCAACCTCACTGTCTCCAGGGTGACATTTTAGACGTGTGACCACAGTGCCCCTTCAGAAATTCTGCACTGCCTGAGGATGAAGCCCACCTCCTTTGTGTGGCACTCAAGTCTTCTGAGTTCTGGCTGTTCCTCCATCTAACTCCTGCTCATTTTCCCCCTGCCTGTGGACCTTATATTCTGACTATTTTCAGTCGCGCTGCTCCCTGGAGCCATAGAGCATTTTCATAGGAAATTTCTACTACCTTGAGTGCCTTTCTGTCACTATGTCCTCTCTCCCCATCTGTCCATCAAGGGAGTCCCTAATCAGCCTTCTGGCTGCAACTCGGTGCCTCTTAAACCTTGGCCAGACCTCTGGTGTGGCCCCTAGTTTGTGTGCCATCCCACCCTTTCCACATCTCCATCATAAATCAATGTGTAAGGGTTTGTTTCATGCCTGTTGTGCCTCTTTGACTTGATTCATCGATTACCTCCAATGCTTGGAATGGTGACTGGCTCTTAGTAGGTACTTAATGAACACTTCCTGAATGAATGAATGAATGAATGGATGAATGACTCACGGTTTCTGACTTTTGGAATCATATATCATAAGCAATCTATACCTATATTTTTGCCATTCTTCCAATTTTTGAAACACATGTCATGAATTAATGCACTGGCAGTAGAGTTCATAAAAATAACTATGCATTCTGATTAATTGACTCATGTTCCCTATTAATTTTCCTGTTAAAGGGTCAGCCAGAAGCAGGAAGTGAAGCAAATACACTGTGGCGTGGATCAACATTACAACCTGTCCCTTGAGCAGTTAATAGGAAGGGGTTTTAAAAAACAACCAAAGTTACTAAGCATTACTTCATCTTTTAAAACATATTGGGTATTTTTTTTTAACCAAAGGAAACCATATTTCATCTTAGTAAGTAAGAATCATGCTGATAATGGGAAACAAAAATTTTCCAATATTTCAGCTAAAATTATAGTGTCAGCTGTAAGTTTAAGAGTTTAAGATGCCCAAATGGGACTACATTTTCTTAGTCCTCTTGATGTCCATTTTGGCACTGGAATAAAGGAACCCTGAGTGGCTGCAGCCAAGTCCCACTGAGACGCAGGGAGCAGCATTAGATGCAAGGCAGGTGGTGGGAGACAGAGGGCACAGCATATCAGCGATGCACCCTGGGAAATGATTAGGTTTGAGCACAACAGGTATAGACCTCAAAGCCCAGAATGTTGATTGACTTGTCACTCTGGGCTGGGCATGGAGTTTCGTGTTTTGTATCACCTATGCCGTTCAATTCACTCTGAAACTCTATGAAGCTATCACTAATTTCTTAATTTTACAGATTCAGGAACTGTTAATTGATTCTCTGTAGTTCGGGAAGTAGCTAAGGAAACATAAACCTGATTGATTCTGTTGTTTAAGATTCAAGACAGCATGGCCATGATCTTGCCTGATTTCAAAAGCGGAGAGGACACCCCATGAAATTCCTCTGGCTCCCCAGTATACTGTCCCTTAGTTTTTTCAGAATTTGTGCCTCTTGGGTGCCAAGGAGACCCCCACCCTTGTACAGGCAGCTGTATTTGGCTGCACAGCTGCCCAGATGGGGACGGCTGCCTTCCCCATCTGTGTGAGAGATGGTTTGTGGGCCCGGCACCGTCTGTGTGAAGCTGACAGTGAGAGAATGGAATGTGGTGTCTGGCCTCAAAATGCCCATTACCTGTACCTCTGCCTGGCGCTGGATAGATGGGAAGTTCTCATCATCATGGACCGACAGGGTGTTAGAGTGGGAAAACCTTAGGGTGTCATTTCCTTTTATTTTACAGGTGAGGGCATTGAGTCCCTGGGAGGTTAAATTGCTTATTGGAAGTCACGGGAGCACTGGGTGTGGAACGTGACTTTCCTGATGCGCCTGGGGCTCTTGCCCCTATGCTGTGGTGCTCTACCAGATGCCAGGTCCACACCCCTGCTCACTGGGCACCGCCTTCCCTCCCGCCAAGCAGACAGGAAGCAGCATTTTTATCCTTTGGAGCCTAATTTGGTGATGCTTTTCCAGCACCCATGGGGTGTGCTTTCCCTTGAGGTTGAGTCCTTGTTTCCCATGCATCCCACAGGGTGAGACTCTCACTCATGGTCAGGTTCGAACACTCCTTCCCACCCATGTCTCCTCCTCTTTCTGGTTTCATCAATGGTAACCCTTCCACACCAGTCTTCTGGTGCTCTTCAAACACAGCTTGTAAATTTTTTCCCTTGCTGAAGTGATTTTCCCAGCCAATACATCCTCCTCACACTCCTCTCTCACTAAGGAAGGCCCATCTGGCTGTGTTTTGAGCCTGAATACGAATCACACTACTATTAAGACACCCTCTCCAAGGGCTTCAGCCCACAGTGAATATTCCTCATGCGAATAGTCACAGTGAATGGTCCTTATGCCAGAAAGTTCTTGTGAAAATAGGGTGTTCATCTTTGAAACTTGACAGATCTATTGCTAGTCTAGTGTTTTCCAGATTATTTTTGGAACATGTATTCCTCTCCCCACACACCTCTCTCCGTACCCCACTCCCCCGTAGGAGGATTCCGTGGTCAAGTCAATCTAGGAAGTGCCCGCTATTTGATCTGCCTCATGGAGATTCATCTAGCATGTTAGCACTTTCAAGGATCTGAGAAGTTCTGCATTATAGAAACTGTCTTTGCCTTTTTAATCCTGCACCTCCCAAATTTATGTCCTTAGAATCTTCCACTTGTGTGACACTATTAGTCTCCCATTGAGTGCTTTTTGTGGAACGTTCTTCTGAAAGTTTATGACACATGATTATGACACATGATTAGAAACGTAGACGTCTTATCTTCCCAATCATACTGTATGTTTTTGTGTTTATCTCTCCCCAGTGTCCAGAAGAATGACTGTTTATTTCTTTTTAAAAATTTTGTGTGGTGGCAGAAGGGCTAACCAAGGGTTTCCTGTTCACTCATGTGAGTTTCTGGTGGAGAAAATAACTTTTTTCATGCTGAGATATGGCAAAGATGAAGCATGGTCAGCAGGAAAAGTAGAAATTGTCCCAAGATGAGAACGAGTTATAAACTTGTCATGAACCGTAAGTGAGGTTGGGTCTAGAAAGGCCAAATCTACTGTCAGAAAATCTCAGTGGAAAAGTCAGAATTTGAGAAACTCTGATTTGAAGAAAGGCAAAGTATAACTGATGTAAGTATTAATAAACCCCACAAAGCTCTGGACTGTGAAAAACAAAATTTAAAGATGAAGACAGAGAGAGAAAAAAAATGGAACAGAATAGGTGGTTATAAAACACTCGTTTTACTGCAGTTTCAGAAACTTTCCTGGGCCGAGCTCCCAGATCCTCACTCTGCTACCAGGAGCTGAGGCTCCAGCTATTAAAGCTCCATTCTTGCCAAAACCTCCTTCTTTTGCTCTTTTCTTGCTTCATGTTTCACTAATGACCTTGAGTAACTTAGGTCTCTATCTGTTCAGTTCAAGTTGGTGCAGCAGCTATTTATTGAGCATTTAAGGTGTGCCAGGGCTGCAAAGATAAATGAGACATGTCTTTTTGCTGGAGTGTGAGCCAGAGGTGGGGAGAGGGAGCTGTTAGACACAATAACAGGTAATTTGCGTGTGGTGCCAAAATAGAGAAAGGCCGGGGAGGTGCCCGACCCAATCTGGGGACCTCAGTGATTCTTTCTACAGGGTGGACTTCTCCATGAGGTGTGAAAGGCACAGAGCCAAGGTCCTGTGGGACTTTTAGAGACCCATGAAAATGTTTTCATTTCTTCTAAAATCAGAAGAAAAAATGAACATGCTCCAGCCCAGATTTTATTTGCCTCTATACCAACACAGTTGTGGAGCCATTCTGGATATTTTTTACGGAGAATGGGGCCCACAAAGACAAAAGTGCCAGGGGCCCATGAAAGTCATATGTGGCTACCTTAGTTTCCTGGGGATGCTGGGACAACGTTCCAAAGACTGAGTGGCTTAAACAACAGGCATTTATTGTCTCATGGTTCTGGGGCTGGAAGTCCAAGATCAAGGTGCCAGTAGGGTGGGTTCCTTCTATGGGTCATGAGGGGGAGTCTGTTCCAGGCCTCTCTCCTAGAAGCTGGTGGTCTCAAGAAGGCACCCCCTGGTTTGCAGATGGCCACCTCTTCCCTGTGTCTTTACATCACCTTCTCTCTGTCTATGCGTTTGTCTTTTCACATAGCATTCTTTTATACAAGAAGTCCAGTCATGTTGGGTTAGGGGCTCACCTGTGTCGGTATGACCTCCTCTTAACTTATTACATCGGCAACAACCCTGTTTCCAAATAAGCTCACATTCTGAGGTCCTGGGGGTTAGGATTTCAGCAGTGGATTTGGTGGCGGTAGGGAGCAATTCAGCCCATAACAATGGCCCTGGGTTCCTGGGAGCGCCCCTGCCTTTCTCCTGCTTTGTAACCAGTGGGCTGGTCTTGAAGTGGGAACAATGAAGGCCCCTCATTTCTCCCCCTCCTCCCAAAATAAATAAAAAAGAATGACCAATTGTCCTTAATGCCATTTTGCTCATGGGTAGGGTTTCCTTAAGAACACTGAAAAATTATGTTGCAGAATTTGATTGGAACATTTTATGTATTGACCTCACTTCTAATCAAAGATGGCCAGATTAGCAATCTAAAAAGGTAATCTTGGCCAGGCGTGGTGGCTCACACCTGTAATCCCAGCACTTTGGAAGGCCAAGGCGCGTGGATCACTTGAGGCCAGGAGTTTGAGATCAGCCTGGCCAACATGGTGAAACCCCGTCTCTCCTAAAAATACAAAAATTAGCTGGGCGTGGTGGTGCATGCCTGTAATCCCAGCTACTTGGGAGGCTGAGGTGGGAGAATTGCTTGAACCTGGGAGGCGGAGGTTGCAGTGGGCAGAGATTGTGCCACTGCACTCCAGCCTGGCGACAGAGTGAGACTCTATCTCAAAAAAAAAAAAAAAAAAATCTTTACCTAAGAAGAGCTGAGTGTGACATCTTCAGAAAGTTAAGCCTTCTCATGGACTCCTCAGCATGCACCGTCCCCAGAGAGGCTGGCCTCAGAGGGTCCTGGTGTGGAACTGCTGGCAGCTCCTTGGGAGCTGTGTATTTTCTTCCCATTTCTTAGGGACAGGCTCTGAGCCAGGGAACACATGCCAGTGAGTGGTGATAAGGACTTTGAGCAAACCCACCGCAGTTCCCACCCTCAATCCTCAGGGTCAAGGTTGAAGGGGGCCAGAGCACATTTTTCACAGGTTCCGTGTGCTGTTTTGGGGAAAGTGCCAAGCAGTCGCCCAGGACAAAACCTGGCCCCAGAGCCCCCAGCCTGTTTTGAATTTCCATCTCTAATGCCACCTTTTGCCCCGGGAGTCCCAGAAGACACACCCTGGCTGAGGAGCCCTGCTCAGCTGGTGGTGGTTTGAGGCCAGCCAACTCCACTTCTCACTCCCGCCCCTGCTGAGTCTGCAAATATTTCTGGGTGTCTGGTCCTCATTAGGGTTGGCTGAGCTGACAGTGTGCAGGCTTCCCTCTGAGTTGCCACCTCACCTGTGGTTGACCAGACTCCCCCATCTTCACTTCTGAAGAAAAGGCTGCAGGGGAGTGCACAGGCGGTTGCCAGAGCTCGTCCTCTGGGATCTGGCGCCATGTAACTCGGCTGCCGCTGTCACCACCTTCTCCTGGAGGCCAGCTCACCACAGGTCTCTGGTGCTGGCTGGGGCCTCACCAAACTCTCTGGAGTGCAGCTACCTGAGTTTTCTCCGGGAGCCCATCAGCTGTCTGGGTTCTCTCACAGGTTGTAAGAGAAACAAACTGAAAATGTGCTAACTCCTTTATCACCTCCTACTTTTTCCAGGCTCTTTTTTGAAGTTCTCTGCGTATTCCCAGGCTTGCACTTCTCAGTCATTTTCATAAAAATAAATCCGTGTGGAGCTCAGGGTGAACATCTAAGCTTTAACATCTTTACACTTAGATCCCCTCTTGCAGTTGGAAGGGAGCAGCTGTAATTAAGAAAAGTACACAGGAAAAAAAAAAAAGGTTTCAGTGTGTGTTCTTTCTTTCTGAAGCATCTGAGCCGTTTTGCTATTAACAGCTGGAAATATTTCGAAAAATCCAGGGCATTTCCAAACATCTGACTACTCAGCTGGGTAAAAATACAGTCTAAGTATTTCCTTTTGCATTTGCATCACTTCGTGATTAGTCAGGACTTTCTTCCCCCCTAAAATGGTTTCTATTACAGCTGTGTCTTTTTTTATTTGGTGACCCAATTACATGACTCTTCAGCATGGAAAAATTCACATTATTAGTTTAAAAATATATCGTTGAACCTCAGTAACAGGTTTTGTGAGGTTTCGTTTCATAAACTTTTATAAAGTTTAATTTTGTCATTTCGTTCTAGAGTAAAGGAAAAAGGGCTGTGGCAGAATTTTCAGGTATTTTGAGATAGGACTGAGGTGGGAACTAGAAGGCGCTGTGAATATCCCTTTTGAGTTTTCCCCTTTTTATCCATTCACTGTTGTAAGGGAGAAAGCTGGCATCAGATTGAAACATTCCTGGTGATTTGAATGAGAGCAGTCTGGCTACAGAGCTTCCTCATCTTGGGTGATTTAAAGTTCTCATTTTTCTTTACTTGAAGGTACAACCATGAGTGTGTGATCATCCCGTTGCTCCTCGTGTCCTAGGAGTCCTCTTAACAGTGAACTCTTCAAAAGATTATTGAGTTTGTTATGTAGACACATTCCAATAGTTCTGGAAAAACATTGCCTCAGATAGACTATAATCTGGAGATTTACATTCTTTAGAATTTCCTAGTCAGGAGATATTTTAGCACACAGGTTCTTTAAAAATAAATTATTTATAGCTTCAATATTTTCTTTATAATTTGTTCCAACTTGTTCATCATCATTGAAGCTAGTATTCTACTCCCCTTTTCAAGCCAAGGCGTCTGTTTCCAAGTGAGAATTTAAAGACAATTCCTTGTTTGATTCCCTCCCCGCTTATCTTTTCTGGAAGTAGATAGATTGTGTCAGTGGTCAACACCTCTGCCAAAGTCAACTTCTAAAATAGACATAACGTAAGAGCAGCACACAGCTTGGCCTTGTTTCCTGGTGGAGCTCTGTCTCCAAGCATTGGGTTCTATAGGATTGGTTTTGCCAGCCATGAAGCCTGCAGAACTACATTCGTCAAGGAAGCAAAAGGATTGCTTTTGTTCACCTCATCCATCAACTGCACAAATGCATTATTTGGTACAACTAGGTATAGAAGTATCAGAAATACTTTTCCCTACTGCAAATGCATTTAAAAAATAATGCTTGCGTGGGATGTGCTGGGGACACTTTGTGTCATGTCTGAGGTTACATGGTACTGCTGGTCTCCTTGTGGCCTATATGAGACTGATTTGATTCTTTCTAAACAGAGCTCAGGAAACATGGAGGCCTCCGTGTGATTCTTCTAAGGGTCCTTGCCTTCATCGTCAGGACTTAAGGCATCGAGGAGTGAAAAGGCAGCTGGGACCCATACACGGCCGCTGTGGCTGTGCTTCTGGGGACTTGGAGGCCGGGAATCAGTAACAGAAACCAAAATAAATGATCTGGTAGCATGGAGGGTAGTGTTCAATATCAGTATCTGAAATTTGGAGACTGACTCACTGCCAGTATTTTAAGAAATGAAAAGAGAAAAACGTTAAAAAGATCACTCAACTTTCAAGTTAAGGGTAGTTGAATAATCCACAAATGGATCTACAGGTAATTAAAAAAAAAAAAAAGAAAAGAAAAAGAAACGGGCACGGTGGCTCATGCCCGTAATCCCAGCACTTTAGGAGACCAAAGCGGGCGGATCACCTGAGGTCAGGAGTTCAAGACCAGTCTGGCCAACTTGGTGAAACCTGTCTCTACTAAAAATACAAAAAAAAAAAAAAAAAAAAAAAAAAAAAAATTGGCCAGGTGTGATGGTGCATGCCTGTAGTTCCAGCTATTTGGGAGGCGGAGGCAGGAGAATTGCTTGAACCTGGGAGGCGGAGGTTGCAGTGATCATGCCACTGTACTCCAGCCTGGGTGACCGAGCAAGACTCTGTCTCAAAAAAAAAAAAAAAAGGAAACATTTCAGCCTTGAGTAGTCCTTAGTTGTGTCTTCTGTATGATATCTAGCCAGGCTTGAGTAACTGATAGACGTCTACAGCTTATATTGGGTAGAATTATGTTTCCCCAAAAGATACGTTGAAGGCCTAAGACCTGGTACCTGTGAATGTGCCTTTATTTGGAAATAGTGTCTTTGCAGATAACAGCAAATTAAAGATCACAGGATGAAATCATCCTGGATTTAGGGTGAGCCCTAAATCCAACGACTGGTGTCCCTATAAGAGAAATGAGAAGGAGATTTGAGACCCAGAGACACACAGCAGAGTAGGCAATGTAAAAAATGGAGGCAGGGCATAGAGTGATGCATCTCCAAGCCCTGAATGCCAAGGGCTGCCAGCTGCCCCCAGAAGCCAGGAGAGAGCATGGAGCACATTCTCACTCAGAGCCTCCAGGAGGTACCACATCTGCTGACACCTGACTTCTGGCCTTTGGAATGGGGGAGAGGATAGATTTCTGGTGTTTTAAGTTGCCCAGTTTGTGGTAATTTGTTGCAGCAGCAGCCCTAAGTAACAAACACGGAATTGTCAAGGGTCTCAGAGAAATCCGATCTAAGAGCCTTATTTTATGTTTGAGAAGCCTGGTGACTTGCCCACATACACACAGTAGGTGCACAGCTGAGCGCAGGCTAAATGCTTGGCTGTGGACTCTGAGCTCAGTGCTCTGCCCACCCACTCACAACCATTTATAGCACACCTGTAGTAGTCAGGGTTCTTTGGAGGGAGGGACAGAATTAATAGGATAGATATAAAGGGGAGTTTATTAAAGAGTATTGACTCTCATGATCACCAGGTGAGGTCCCACAATAGGCCATCAGCAAGCCAAGGAGAAAGGAAGCCAGTCCAGTTCCCAGAGCTGAAGAACTTGGAGTCTGATGTTTGATGGCAGGAAGCATCCAGCACAGGAGAAAGATAGAGGCCAGAAGACTTAGCCAGTCTAGTCTTTCCATGTTCTTCTGCCTGCTTTTATTCTGGCCGCGCTGGCAGCTGATTAGATCACACCCACTCACATTGAGGGTGGGTCTGTCTTTCCCAGTCCACTGATTCAAATGTTAATCTCCTTTGGCAAACACCTTCACAGACACCCCCAGGAACAATACTTTGCATGTTTCAATCCCATTAAGTTGACACTCAATATTAGCCATCACAACGCCCAACATGTGCGAATTGGGGGCCATGTGCAAATGGAAGTGCAGCTGTCAGTCACATCAGCTTGGCTGTTAAGGAACTTCCAAAGGAGCCCGATATTCAGAAAACAGTGGGAAAGGGTGCTTGGTGGTTTCATTGGAGAGCATCATTCTACATACTCAGGATGAGTATGTGTGGGTGGAAGGATCAGAAAAGGCTCATTTTGGAATTGGCCTTCAAGGTTGGGCTTTAAGAGATGGAGTTTCAGTGTGAAGAGGTGATGGGGAGAAGGGGCCAGGCAGGGGGCAGGGGTGGGGGCGGTGCACTCTCACCTTCAGGTTAGAGTATGCAGGAGGAAGAGGAGACTCCGAAAGGAACTTAGAGCCAAATGCAAAGGAGAGCAAATGCTGCGGGATGGCCTGTTGCCTTCCACTTCTTTCCAAATATAATCTGCGTTATTTAAAAAGCATTTTTTTTTTGTAGAGGTAGAGTCTTGCTATGTTGCCCAGGCTGCTCTCAAACTCCTGGCCTCAAGCGATCCTCTCACCTCACCCTCCCAAAGCACTGGGATTCCAGGTGTGAGCCAGAATCTGGGTTTTGATCAAGTCCCCACGCTTTCAGCACAGCCAGCGCCTTGGGGAAAGCTGAGCTCACTTAGCCTGAGAGGTGGCCCAACAGCGAATTATTCAAAAGATTATTGCCACTCCCCTCACCAGTGGTTGGCGGAGTGACACACATGTGAACTAAATTTTGGCCAATGAAATGTAAAGGTAGTTCTGGTTAGGGGGAGGAAAGAGGCGTTGACTTGGAAATGTCTTCTCATGCCTGACGGCAGGTACAGAAAGAGAAACTCCCTTCACCCTCCAGATAGCATAGTGTCTGAATGTGGTGTCTAGAACTGGGGCAGACATCTTACTACAGCTTGAAGATGAAGCCAGCACTGGGGATGACAAACGAGGGAAAGAGACAGGGTCCTTGACGATGGTGCAGCACCACTGATGCCCACACTGCCTCTGGGCTCCTGTTAAATGACATGAATATGTTTCCTTATAGTTTCAGCCCATGGGAATCAGTGCTTCTGCTACCCATTGGTGAAAGCATGATGGCCTTCCTGGAGGGAGTGGCACCCAGGACATCTGAAAGATGAGAAGGAGAAAAGGGAGAAAGGGGTTAACGTGTTCTAGGCAGAGAGAACAACATCTGTGAAGGCTTGAAGGAGTGAGACTATCACCCTTGCATTTGAGACACTGAAAAAATGTAGCCTGTCTGGCACTACATGGGGCTGGCGACACATATGAAAATGGGAAAGAAGGAGGAAAACTAGAGAGGGAAAAGGCGAGCAGACAGAAACAGGAGCCAGAGTAGAAACAAGGAGAGGAGGTTATGAGGTTTCGTGTGGGGAGACTGAGGGTGAGGTATCAATTAGGGGAATGTTAAATTGTTTTCATTTACAGACATAAAATTAGATACTTGAGCCAGGCAGTGGCACCATTGGTGGATGGAAAAGGTGCCAGGCTCAGCATCTGACCATCAGTGAGCCTCAGAGGGGACAGAGACTGCAAAGCCGATGCAAAGAATCTTCGATGACTCAAAAGGTGCAGCTCTCATGAAAAGCCAGTTAGGAAGGGGGCCTGGGTTGGAGTAGGGGGAGGTGGGGGAGAAGGGGAGAGAGGCAGTGGCCCTCAGTTGTGGGTTTCCTGAGTGTGAGGTGCTGATGGGACACACACACATAGTGGTGGATGGGCCTCATGCAGCACTGTTAGCAGGCGAGACTCCAACAGCTCTGAGCTCAAGGGGCCATCTTGGCTACCTGGACCATCCACAGGACTGAATGGGGGTGCAAGTTCTGTTCCCTCTCAGCTCCCCATCTGCAGGTGGTGACAGACAGGGTTGAGCGCTGACTGGCTCTCTCCATGCTGACCCTCTTGGTCCTGCATCCAGCTTAGGTCCTCTCCCCAGCATTTCCTCCCTTTTTGGCCTGTTCAGGGTCTGGGCGGGGCACTTGGACCCTCCTCTATTCTCTCAGGGCTAGAACTTTAGATCCCAGGGCAAGGCTTAGCCTCCTGAGTTACAAAATACCCAAGTCTTGTTAATCAAAAGCCTTGATTTTCAAGATGATCATCCCTGCTCTGTTACAATGTAAAGATCTATCTGGGAATTCCATGCTCTTTGTGCCCACATTCTGCTGGGCTGGTCTTTGAATGTCTAGTTTTAACGGGCGGGAAGCCATAGTTCATGTATCAAGTGGCTACCGCAGCACAGGTAGCAGCCGGGGAGATGGAAAGAGATAGAAATGAGGCCTGCTAGGGCGAGACAGAGGGAACAACAGAACTGTGGGTTGATCAGAGACTGAAATTCAGAAATGCCCTCAGCCCTCATGAAGTCCACAGCCATGGAGGCCAAATGCTTCATGTCATCCCCTCTCATTGTCCGAGGCTTCACTTAGGGTTTGGAGGTGGGAAAGAGGTGTCTCCCTGAGCTCAAAGGCTGTTTTTGGGGGCCTGAAACCATACAGGATGTACAATAGGAGTGCAGGTGGTTTGGGGCCAACATCCCAAGTGGAGCGCCAACATGCTCTCTGGTTCTGGGAAGATGTGGAGGAAACCCTTTGGCACCAAGCAAATAAACAAACACACACCCAAACAAAACAACATGAAAAGCCCCATGCTGAAAACTTTCCACTTGCCAACATGTTTTTGTCGCTGCCAAAGGTTTAGGATTGCAACATTTGGGCGTCTTTGGCCACAAACCCGAGGACTCTGCAGTTTTCCCAAAGCACCTAAAATAAAGAATTCTCTTTGGCAAAAACAGCATGTTTGTAAACAGAAAGCCTTTATTTTTGAGAAACTCAATTCCTCCTTAGGTGCAGAGTATTCAGAATAAAGTCCCAAGGCTATTTTTCATGTGCTTTTCCTACTCCAGATTGTCACAGGCAGGTAGAACCTATCTCTCGTTTGTGTGTGTGTGGTTTTCATTAACTGGGTGTGTGTTTGGAATGCGGGCTTGTCAGCCAATTGTGGATTTCCTTCTAATGCTGGAGAGAAAGGCTCAGATGAGGCCCTGGATTCTTCCAGACTTGGGTTTCTTCTGCCACAGGACCATGAAGCTGGGAGCTTCCCAGAGAGAGAGGCCGGCCTTCTTGATTCTCATCAGAAAACTCACCCCACTCACCTGAAAGTAGAGGCTTTACCAAGCAAAGATCTGAAGTTGGAGTAGCTTGTTTTCTAGTTGCTTCTTTTAGCAACCTCATTGCTAAAAACGAATTTTCTTTTCCTTCCCAGGAGTCCAGGTGTCACTATTTTCTTTCCCTTCTCACTGTCAAAACCTGTTTGCAGAGAAGGCTCATGACCTTCTTACTTTAGAGGGTTGTCCAAGATCACTAGCTACATTTTATACAGGATTCTCACAAGTATTGGTTTTAGTCAGAGTTCTCTAGAAGATGGATGGATCTATCTATCTATCTATCTATCTATCTATCTATCTATCTGATCTGTCTTTATCCATCCATTCATCTCTCTCTCTCTCTCTCTCTCCATCAATCTATCTTTTGGATCTTGAAGCTTAGAACGATCCTTAAAGACCTATAGGATACAGGAATATGGCCCCTCTCATATCACCATTTAATTAATTTGGTCCCGGGAGAAACCAGACAGATCCTGGAGGATGATAGACTCCTGCCAACTCAAACAAGTAGCAGCCCACAGCTGGCTGTGGTGCATCTATCCAGCCATCCATCCATCCATCCGTCTACATATCCATCCATCTATCAATTTATCTATCTATTCTATCTGTCTGCCTATCTGCCTATCTTATTTATCCTATCATTATCTATCTATCTAATATATATCAATTATCTATCTACCTATCTGTCCATAGAGAGATATAAGAGGGGATTTATTAGGGGAATTGGCTCACTTGATCATGGAGGTTACAGAGTCCCATGATAGGCCATCTGCAAGCTGGGGAACCAGGCAAGCCAGTGACATGGCTCAGTTCAAGTTCCTTGGTCTCAGAAGCAAGGAAGCCAATGTTGTAACTCTCAATTCCAGGATGAAGGCCTAAGAGACTGGGGGACACTGGTGCGAGTCCTAGAGTCCTAAGGCTGGGGAACCTGCAGTTGTGATGTCCATGGGTGGGAGAAGAAGGATGTCCTGGCTTTGGAAGAAAGCTCAAATTTGCCCTTCCTCTGCCTCCCGTTCTGTCAGAGTCCCCAGCTGATCAGATGGTGCCCACCACACCAAGGGGGTCTTCCCTCTCAGTCCGTGGACTCAAATGCCAGTCTCCTCTGGAAACACCTTACAGACACAGCTGGGGCAGCCCAGTTATTCTAGTCAAATGCCAAACCACGTGGGTTTCCTTTTCAGCAGAAGAGGGGTTGACACTCAAAGTCAACCATCACAGTATTCAAACTTCAAAATATCCTGGTCTAAAATCCTAAGACAAAAGATGGAATTTTGTATTTGTGATATTTCTGACATTGGCCACAGAAGGAAGTGTACACACACACACACACACACACACACACACACACACACACACACACACACACACATATTTATTAAGGTGAAATTCAAATAACATACAATTAACCATCTTAAAATGAACAAACTAGTGGCATTGGTTGCATTCACAATGTTGTATGGCCAACACTTCTGTCTAGTTTGAAACATTTCCATCACTCCAAAGTAAAGCCCCAGACCCATCAAGCAATTTCTCCCCATTCCCTCCTCCCCCTCAGCTTCTACAGGCACCAGTCTGTTTTCTGTCTTTGTGGATTTATGAATAGCTCATACAAATGGAACCATACAACGTGTAGCTTTTTGTATCCAACTTCTTTCACTTAGCGTCGTGTTTTCGAGGTTCATCCACATGTAAATCCTGCGGAAGAGCTTTTCTTCTGCTTAATGCTGATATATTAGCCCATCTTCATACTGCTATGAAGAAATACCCGAGACTGGGTAATTTATAAAGAGAAAGAGGTTTAATAGACTCAGTTTCACAGGGCTGGGGAGGCCTCACAAGCATGGTGGAAGACGAAGGAAGGGCAAAGGGACTTCTTACATGGTGGCAGGCAAGAGAGCGTGTGCAGGGGAACTGCCCTTTATAAAACCATCAGATCTCATAAGAACTGCCCTTTATAAAACTGTCAAATCTCGTGAGACTTTTTCACTACTGCAAGAACAGAGCAGGAAAATCCTGCCCCCATGATTCAATTTCTTCCTACCAAGTCCCTCCCTCCACACGTGGGTATTATGGGAGCTACAATTCAAGATGAGATTTGGGTGGGGACACAGCCAAACCATATCAGTTTGAGTAGGCGTTTTAAGAAACGCTGATGGCCGGGTGCAGTGGCTCACGCCTGTAATCCCAGCACTTTGGGAGGCAGAAGCAGATGGATCACCTGAGATCAGGAGTTCAAGACCAGCCTGGCCAACATGGCAAAACCCTGTCTCTACTAAAAATACAAAAATTAGCCAGACATGGTGGGGTGTCTCTGTGGTCCCAGCCACTTGAGAGGCTGAGGCAGTAGAATGGCTTGAACTCAGGAGGGAGAGGCTGTAGTGAGCTGAGACTGCGCCACTGTACTCCAGCCTGGGAGACAGAGTGAGACCCTGTCTCAAAAAAAAAAAAAACAAAAAAAACCCAGGAAATGCTGATGCTTTCTAGGCCCTGGAAAGATCACCTCACCAGAGGCTATGGAGGCCAGGCTCTGTTCATGGAACCACACTCTGTCTTCTCACTCTGCTGTGTCCTGGCGTTGGCTCTGAATTAGATTCTTGGGACCTCAACATCGTCTCTTGCTCCTGGACCTTGCTACTTTCTTTCCAGCCTTTGCTTCTCACCTCCCAGATTGGCCCCCATGGTGTGTACTCAGAACTGATGCTGCCTGTCACTGAGGTTGCCCTGCCTTGGCTCTGTATATTTGGATTCAATAGATCTTGAGAGAAAATGAACCTCACAGACATCAGAGAAGAAGAGAAGACAGGAAGTGGACCTGTAAATCTCCAGCCCTTTTTATCTCGTTAGGTTGCTTTGAGGTCTCCTGGGAGAGAGGCAGGAGCAGATGGTGTCTTAATGCCTGGGCAGGAAGAAGATGCTGAATTAGGATCACTCCTAGAAAAGGTGATGAGTCAAAAGGTTTTTACCAGCACCTTGGGAGGCTGGGGCAGGTGGATTACTTTAGCCCGGGAGTTTGAGACCAGCCTGGGCAACTTGGTGAAACCCCATCTCTACAAAAAAAAAAAAAAAAAAATTAGCTGGGCATGGTGGTGCACATCTGCAGTCCCAGCTACTCGGGAGGCTGAGGCACAAGAATCACTTTAGAGGTTGCAGTGAATCAAGATTGCGCCACTAGACTCCAGCCTGGGCAACAGAGCGAGACCCTATCTAAAAAAAAAAAAAAAAGTTTTTAGTGTATACCTGAAGTAAATTCATTATCAGAATTTAAACTTAAAAATGATTTGCATATGGCTTTTTGTCTTTCATGTTTTATTGTATTTTCACTAAAAAAAACAAACCTTAATATGTAATCAGTTCTATTGCTATTTTTGACTTCACCTGTTTTGATCTTTTCCCTAATTTGTATAGTCTCACTATGTTTTTAAACATTTTTGAAGTCATAGAATTTGTCTTTCTGGAATTGGAAACTTGCATCTACTAAATTTTAATAACTTTTCTGTTGAGCTGATTGTACTTAGAGAGCACTTACTATTCAAGCAGCCCTACAGAGCCACTAGGTGGTGCTCACATGCTATTGTAAACAGATTCAGCTGTTGAAGTTAAATTATTTGGAAAAACACTTTGTCTTCATTTTAGGTAAATGCAGAAATTGGCCCTATATACTGTATGTGCTTTTTGGATTACAGATTTTTCAGCTCCCTTCTCCTTTATTGACTGCCTTTTCCACTATGGCATTATGGTTAAGCAGAAAGACTCTAGAGTAAGACTAATTTAAAACACTGGCTCTGTCATTCACTTACTCTGTAACCTTGGGTAAGTCACTTAACTTCAATTTTCTCATCTGCAATGGGATTAATAATAATACATACCTCCTGGAGTGGTTGTGAGAATTTAAAGGTAAGTATATATTAAGCACATAATGTTATATGTGTTTGCGTTTATTATTAATGTTTTTGTTTTTGTTATGGCATTGCTAATCGCTTAGACAAATGTTTCCTAGTACCAGTCCAAGGACCAGCAAAATCAGAATCACTTAAGGATCTTATTTAAGATGTCAGTTTCTGAGCTCTATACCTGGAGCATCTATTTGAGTCACTTTGGGGTAGGGCTTAGGTATGCACATTCTTCAACAGCTTCTCAGTTGATTCTAAGGCTCAGCTAGATTTGGGGATATTGTTGTCTACCCAAGTTCAATCAAAGTGTGTGAAGCTAATAATATTTACATACTAGCAATTTCCAATTCCCCTTCAGTATGTAGTGTGCATAGTCCAAAGCTCTGTCCCCTGGATTTCTTCTCTCCACTGTCATTCAAGGCCAGCTCCTGAATGAGGCAGTACTGCGGTCACTGGCTATTTTTGGCTTGTATCCTCAAACTCAGCTGACTTATGGGTCAATGATACTCTGACTTACTGATTTAATCTTGGGTATTTTCCTCCTCCATGGGCTGGTCATAAGGGACCTCCCATGTGGCCATAGGTGTGAGCTCAAGAGAGGCACTGATGCAATAATGATGAATAATATGGGGTCTGAGCTACCTGCTTGCATAGCTTGCTATGCCCTTGATGAGGATATACCGTTTCCATCTTTCCATCAATTACTGCTGCACTTGCCCAGCTGTGTGGCTTTGTGGGTGTGACAGGACCTGGCTCATCATGAATGGCTGATACTTGGTGTCCCGTGGTCAGATATGCCATGTCTTCCAGGGCCCAACAGCATGCTAGGAGCTGTTCTTTCCAAAGTTATATCGTTCTTGCTATAGTTGGCACAGTGTTGCTCTAGAACTCTTAAGTGTCTGAGTTGTGATTTGCCAATGTGGATTGCCAGACACGACAGGGTATCTTTTTCCGTCACCACTACCTCTAATGCCTTAGCAACTGCTGGGTCCTTTGGCCAAGCTGTGGGGCCAGTCGCCTTGCAGCCTGGACCTTTTGCTGTTTTGGTTCCTATTCAAAACTGGCAGCCTTTTGGGTCCCTTGCCATGTGGGTGTGATCAATATTCCCAATTGTGGAATTAATATTTCCAGAATCCAAAGAGTGTTGTGTTACATTCTTTGTTTTAGGGGAGTAAAATGTAGAATTTATTCTTTACTTTGGCCAAGTTATCCTGGCATGCTGCAGATCCTGGACTTTTAAAAGTGTACTAATGTGGCAGGCCCCTGAAGCTTCATAGAACTTTTCCTGCCTCTTTATTTATTTTATGAGTCTGACTTACAAAGGTCCCAGCACACTTGCCACTTCTTGTTCATTGGGTCTGGTTTACAAGTGTCATCACCACGATGATGTTCTGCAGAGGTCCAAGTGGCCCAGGTGTCCTCAGACAATATGATGACATGGTAGGGAGAGTTAATATAGCCCTGGGTCAGTGCTCTAAGTGAATACTGTTGTGTGTTCTGAGTGACTGTGAACTGTTTCTGATCCTCCTTTCTGATAGAGATGAAAAGAACACAGTCCCCAGATCAAAGGCTGCACAGCATGTACCTGGGGCCTGTGCTTTAGTGAAGATACAACATATGGCAAGGAAGCTTCAGAGCCAGCTGTGGGCTGCTACTTGTTTGAGTTTACAGGAGTCTGTCATCCTCCAGGACCTGTCTGGTTTCTGCAGGGACCAAATTAATTAAATGGTGATATGAGAGGGGACATACCCCTGCACCCTTAAGGTCTTTAAGGATAGTTCTAAGCTTTAAGATCCAAACCTCCCCTAACCCCTACCCCAGAATGTGCTGTTATTTTTGATTTACTGTTTTGGCTGGGGTGGACAGTTTTAGAAACTCTCCCTTGTCCTTTCTCACTGATAGCTCTTATCTCACACACCAAGAAATCTGTGGAGGTGGAGAATTGCAAACACCCTCTATTAGTCTGTTTTCATGCTACTGATAAAGACATACCTGAGTCTGGGTAATTTATAAAGAAAAAGAAGTTTAATGTACTCACAGTTCCACGTGGCTGGGGAGGCCTCACAATCATGGTGGAAGGTGAAAGGCACGTCTTATGTGGTGGCAAGCAAGAGAAGAAGTGCCAGCAGGGGAAATGCCAGACGCTTGTAAAACCATCAGATCTCGTGAGAACTCACTCACTATCATGAGAACAGTATAGGGGTAACCACCTCCATGATTCAATTATCTCCACCTGGTCTTGCCCTTGATACATGGGGATTATTGCAATTCAAGGTGAGATTTGGGTGGGGACACAGAACCAAACCATGTCATTCTGCCCCGGCCCCTCCCAAATCTCATGTCCTCACATTTTAAAACCAATCATGCCTTCCCAACAGTCCCCCAAAGTCTTAACTCATTCCTGCATTAACCCAAAAGTCCAAGTCCAAAGTCTCTTCTGAGATAAGGCAAGTCCCTTCTGCCTATGAGCCTGTAAAATCAAAAGTAAGTTAGTTACTCCCTAGATACAATGGGGGTACAGGCATTGGGGAAATACAGCCATTCCAAATGGGAGAAATTAGCCAAAACCAAGGGGCTCTGGGCCCCATGCAAGTCTGAAATCCAGCAGGACAGTCAAATCTTAAAGCTCCAAAATGATTTCCTTTGACTCCATGTCTCACAACCAGGTCACACTGATGCAAGAGGTGGGTTCCTGTGGTCTTGGGCAGCTCTGCCCCTGTGGCTTTGCAGGGTACAGCCTCCCTTCCGGCTACTTTCATGGGCTGGTGTTGAGTGTCCGCTGCTTTTCCAGGCGCATGGTGCAAGCTGTTGGTGGATCTACCATTCTGGGGTCTGGAGGATGGTGACCCTCTTCTCACAGCTCCACTAGGCAGTGCCCCAGTGCCCTACTATGAACCAGAACTGGTTCTGGTTGTTACTTACTACCTGGGAGGCAAAGGCATATAATAGGGAGGCCATGAGGGTGCTTCAAGTCTCTGTGTATCAGTGTCAACCATTCTGGGTCTGAAATTCCTTCAGATCTGGAAACTAGGCTGAGAGCCCTGGTTTATTATTGGGCCAGTTGTCTTCAGCTTCCTGACCACCAAACGTGAATTCTTCTGATGCTGTAGATTGAGTGATACTTGGGTTGCAGCTCTGCCTGGCCTCTAAGGGATGCTATTCTCTAACAATCTTTTCTTAACTATGCCAGATGACTTGCAGAGGGTAGCACTCTGACCTTGACCCTCGGGATTATTGTCTGTCTGGCTTCTGATAGCTGTGCATAGTTGCCTGGTTTCTGATATTTGGAGATCCTGTCATCCCCATTGTTAGATGTCTCCTACCATCATTCCTGGCCCACAGAGAATGGCAACCACTGAGGTTTTCAGTAATGCTGGCACCTCTTATTGGCACACTTCTTTGTACTTTGGTAAGTGACATACCCGCTGGACCCTCCCACAGAACAGCCTCTGGTACATTTTCTGGCCTTAAGAGGTGTACCCACTATAGCTGTCCACTCTGGGTGTTTTGACTTTTCCCCCGCATCTGCCATGATAATTCTGGCATTCCTGCTTCACTTAATATGGCTATTGCTTGCTCCTGGCTTCCAAGAACTATCCCAGCATCATGCTGATACCATCTCATAATTTTTGTTGAGATATTGTATCCTCTCTACACCCCTAGCCTCCATTTATATGTTGAAGTCCTAACCTTCAGTAGCTCAGAGTGTCACTATATTTGGAGATAGGTCTTTAAAGAGGTACTTAAGGTTAAATGAAGTCATATAAGAGGGTCGCAATCCAATGACTGGTGTCCTTATAAGAAGAAAAAATTTGGACACAGTTACCGGGGAATGGGGGATGACCATGTGAGGACACAGGGAGAAGATGGCCACCTCTAAGCCAGAGAGAGAGGCCTCAGAAAACACCAACCCTGTCCGGGTGCGGTGGCTCACGCCTGTAATCCCAGCACTTTGGGAGGCTGAGGTGGGCGGATCATCTGAGGTCAGGAGTTCGAGATCAGAGACCAGCCTGGCCAACAGGCTGAAACCCCATCTCTACTAAAAATACAAAAATTAGCTGGGCGTGGTGGTACATGACTGTAATCCCAGCTACTTGGGAGGCTGAGGCAGAATCACTTGAACCTCAGAGGAGGGGTTGCAGTGAGCCGAAATTGCGCCAGTGCACTCCACCTGGACGATAGAGTGAGACTCCCTCTCAAAAACAAACAAACAAAAAAGAAAACACCAACCCTGCTGCCTTCTGTGATGGTTAGTTGTATGTGCCAGTTGACCTGGGCTGAGGGATGTCCAGATATCTGGTAATGTTATTTCTGGGTGTGCCTGTGAGGGTGTTTCTGGAAGAGATCAGCATTTGAATCAGGAGACTGAGTAAGAAAGATCTGCCGTCAGTGGTGACCAGGCAGCATCCCACTGGGAAGGCACTGAGGGCCTGAGTAGAACAAAAGGCCAGAAGAAGGGAGAATTCTCTCCCTCTTCTTGAGCTGGGACATCCATCTTCTCCTGACCTTGGACATCAAACCTACTGGATCTCAATCCTTTGAACTTGGGGACTTACACCAGCACATACCCTGATTCTCAGACCTTTGGATTTGGACTGAGTTACACCAACAACTGTCCTGGTCTCCAGCTTGCAGACAGCAGATTGTGGGACTTCTCAGCCTCCATAATCATGTGAGCTTTCCCCCAAATAAATGTCTTCATTTATTCTCTCTCTCTCTCTATTGTCTATCTGTCTAATATGTCTCTATTATCTATCATCTGTTATCTATTTATCTATCATCTATCATCTCTATTTATCTACTTACCTATTATCTATTCTGTCTATATTATCTATCTAATCTATCTCTATTATCTATGATCTGTTATCTATTTATCATCTATTTATTATCTCTATTATCTCTCTACTTAACTGTCATCTGTTTATTATCTATCATCTATCTATCTAACCTATTATTTATCAACTATCTATATATTATCTATCTATCTGTCTGTCTATCTCTCTTGGTTTTATTTCTCTGGAGAACCTTGACTAATAACCTTTATCTCAGACATCTAGCTTCCAGGACCATGAGACAATAAATATCTGTTGTTTTAAGCCCATAGTTTGTGGTACTTTGTTGCGGCAGCCCTAGCAGATGAATGCAGGTATTACATCCTATATCATGAGAGAATGTTCCAGTGTTAATAAACTCTTCCTTATCTGACTTTGTGTTCTACCCCCTTGACCTAGAGCCCTGAGGACCGAGTCCCGCCACCCTCTCCTGGCTCCCACCAGCACATTTGCGGGACTTGCAGATCCTTCAGGGTCTATCCTCTTGACATTAGCCTGGGGGCCAGAAGAGGAAGAGGAGGTTGATCTTGGGTGTATAATGTCTTGTGGGCAGAGGTAGAAGAGGAAGAGGGGATAGATCCTGGGTATGTGCTATCTTATAGGCAGAGGTCTCTGCAGAGTGTCTTCCAGCAAGAGGGAGGTGCGAGCCCTCCCCTGGGTGAGCCTGTTCTGGAGCCTCAGAGAGTTCAGGGGTTCCAGGGATTCAAGGTCCCCTATATCAAGATATCATTCCTTCCCAGTGGGAGCTCTGATTTTGGCCATAGCAGACTTGTCTAGTTGGGGGTTAAAATTCTGTGACACTCTGCTGTTTTTGTAACTAAATTCTAAGCCCCATCCTTAGCTTTTTCTGCCTCTTGAGTATGAGTAACAGAGTCCCTTCACATCCTGGCCAGGAGGCCCCTGGCTTTCACTCATAGCCTTTAATTCATGGTCAGTGTCCTCAGCCTTTTCTTGTCAGTCCCCCAAACGTCATTTGTCCTCAGCAACAGCCAGGCAATCTCATTGACTTTATCACTCCTCTTTCCTGTGTGTATTTCTCAAACAGCTGATGCTCAGCTCAGCACAGGCTCCTGCATTTCCTGTCCCTGGTAACCCTCCCCCAGTTCACTCTGGTGAAAGTCTTAACAATTCCATTGTTACTTTTTTATTTAATTTTATTTATTTTAGAGACAAAGTCTCACCCAGTCTGGAGTGCAGTGGCACAATCACAGTTTACTACAGCCTTGAACTACTGGGCTCAAGCGATCCCCCTGCCTCAGCCTCCCAAGTAGTTGGGACTACAGACATGTGCCACCACATGTGGCTAATTTTAAAGTTTTTTTTAGAGATGGCATGTCACTATGTTGCTCAGGCTGGTTTTGAACTCCTGGCCTCTAGTGATCCTCTCACCTTGGCCTCCCAAAGTGTCCACTGCTACTTTGAGTGAGGGGCTATGTGATGGGGTCCTCATTGCTGGCTAGGGAGTGGGCGATATGGCTCCAAAATCCTAGCCTGGATTTCCAGGAGGCAGATCCCTGGGGGATACTGGACTGCTGGAAGTTTGTTTGGGGCCACTCCTGTGATCAAGGAGAAAAGGAAACAGGAGGTGACAGATAAGAATTTGATAGTGCCACTGTCATCCTATGGGAAGCTGGCGTGGCCTTCAGAGTCACGCTGAGCTGGGGCTGGAGGCTCAGACCATTGTGCTCCTGGTCTGTTGCTCATTGGACACTGGCTGTCACAGGAAGAGGGTGTAATCCTGGGTAAGGTGGCTCCCTTCAGCCAAAGGCAGCATCTGCAGAGGATAGCTGAAAGCTGCCACTGACATCCCTCTAAGCCCTGGGGAAAGGCATCCTTTAGTTCTGAAGGAGGATGTGGGGAATGCAGAGAACACGCATGACTGTAACCCAAAGGTTTCATTGGGGGAACCTTGAACTTCACGTGGGTAAAGCTTAGTGCTGATGCCTCCTTTGGGTGACTGGAACTGAAATTGTGCCATAAACTGGAAGTTGCACTTGGACAAAGTGTATTATCCAAGATTTATCCATCCTATTTATTGAATGCAAGTCCTTTTTTTAAAAATATTTTTTATGTTTTATTTCAATAGGTTTTTGGGGAACAGGTGGTGTTTGGTTACATGAATAAGTTCTTTAGCAGTGATTTCTGAGATTCTGCTGCACCCATCACCTGAGCAGTGTACACTGTACCCAATGTGTACTGTTTTATCTCTTGCCACCCCTCATCCTTTCCCCCAAGTTCACAAAGTTTAATGTATCATTCTTATGCCTTTGCATCCCCATAGCTTAGCTCCCACACATCAGTGAGGACATATGATGTTTGGTTTTCCATTCCTGAGTTACTTCACTTAGGATAATAGTCTCCAGTTCCATCCAGGTTGCTGCAAATGTCATTATTTTTTTCCTTTTTATGGCTGAGTAGCATTCCATCTCATATATATGTATACACACACACATATATATGTATACCCACATATACACACACACACACACACACACACACATATATATATATGTATATACACATTACATTTTCTTTATCCACTCATTGACTGATGGGCATTTAGGTGGTTCCATATTTTTGCAATTGCAATTGTGCTGCTATAAACATGCATGTGCAGGTATCCTTTTCGTATAATGACTTATTTTCCTCTGGGTAGATACCTAGTAGTGGGATTGCTGGATCAAACAGTAGATCTACTTTTAGTTCTTTAAGGAATCTCTACACTGTTTTCCATAGTGGTTGTACTAGTTTACATTCTCACCAACAGTGTAAAAGTGTTCCCTTTTCACTGCATCCTCGCCAACATCTATTATTTTTTGATTTTTTGATTATGGCCATTCTTGCAGGAATAAGGTGGTATTGCATTGTGGTTTTGATTTGCATTTCCCTGATCATTAGTGATGTTGAGCATTTTTTCATATGCTTGTTGGCCATTTGTACATCTTCTTTTGAGAATTGTCTATTCACGTCCCTAGCCCACTTTTTGATGGGATTGTTTGTTTTTCTCTGAATGCAAGTCTCTTCCATGAAGTCCTGCTATTCTGAAGGCTCAGGCCATACTCAGCCATCTCAGTCCCTGGGACACTAATTCTCAGGTGTGAATCATTGCCTCCACCTGACGCTAGGCTGTCATCATGCCAGAAGTGACAGTGAGACAATCTAGCTGTCACTGCACACTGGGAGCTGGTGAAGGTGAATTGGGGAACTGCCGACATAGACACAACTTGCTCACACAGGTTTGAACTGCACAGCCTAGAGTCGACCACAACAAAAGCTTCCAAGAGGAAAGGTCAGACCCATGAAGTGCTATTTGTTTTCAGTGAAACTTCATCCCTCCCACTTAACGCCCGTCTAACCAGCCACGGAATCAATTACCACGTGTCAGCCCGAAACCTGACACAAGAAATGAAAGAAGGACACAGCCTCCCCGGGGACCCGGGTGGGTTGAGGAGTTGGGGGGCAGCAGGCAGAGAGAGAGAGAGAGAGGAGGTAGAAAACTCGGGGTGGGAAGCCGTGAGTGTACCGCTCTCGCTCAGTGTGAAGGGTTCATCCAGGCTGGGACTCTTGCCTGCCTTTGAGCCCCATCAGTGTGACTGGTCTGGACCATTGGGCGTGTCTTTCACGAAGGGTGGTTAGCATGCCCATGAAGTTATTTGACTTTGGTTACACTGGTTGCTCCATTTGATAACTGAAGACCAAAAGTTTCTAGCTGTGCATTGTTGCGTGGAGCTTCAGGAGGGAGAGCTCCTGGCAGATCTTGCTGGGCTGCGGTGCTTCTTGGAGT
The DNA here is from genome assembly GCF_000001405.40 of Homo sapiens. Lineage (NCBI taxonomy): Eukaryota > Metazoa > Chordata > Mammalia > Primates > Hominidae > Homo > Homo sapiens. The sequence continues at coordinate 35,831,438 of NC_000021.9, read as the reverse complement.
TGACTGAGGTGCTGCATTTCTCAGGCTTCTGCTAAATGTGGTTTTGGCTCCTCAGAGAGCACCCATGTAAGCTAGTGTCATTCACTTTCTTTTTTTTCTTTTTTTCTTTTTAGAGGTGGAGTCTCGCTCTGTTGCCCAGGCTGGAGTGCAATGGCACGGTCTTGGCTCACTGCAACCTCTGCCTCTTGGGTTCAAGTGATTCTTCTGCCTCAGCCTCCCGAGCAGCTGGGATTACAGGCATGCACCACCATGCCTGGCTAATTTTTGTATTTTTAGTAGAGACGGGCTTTCACCATATTGGCCAGGCTGGTCTTGAACTCCTCACCTCATGATCTGCCTGCCTTGGCCTTCCAAAGTGCTGGGATTACAGGCATGAGCCACTACGCCCAGCCTCTTTTTTTTTTTTTTTTTCCTTTTACCATTTTCCTTCTCTTATTTTACTTTAAGTTCTGGGGTACATGTGCAGAACGTGCAGGTTTGTTACATAGGTATATGTGTGCCATCGTGGTTTGCTGTGCCTATCAACGTGTCACCTAGGTTATAAGCCCCACATGCATTAGCTATTTGTCCTGATGCTCTCATTGCAGCACTATTCGTAATAGCAAAGACATGGAACCAACCCAAATGCCCATTAGTGATAGACTGGATAAAGAAAATGTGGTACATATACACATGGAATACTGTGCAGCCATAAGAAGGAATGAGATCATGTGCTTTGCAGGGACTATGGACTATCATAGTATTCCATGGTATATATGTCATCCTTGGCAAACTAACACAAGAACAGAAAACCAAACACTGCATGTTCTCACTTGTAAGTGGGATTTGAACAATGAGAACACTTTCTACATTTATGAGAGTCTCAAGAGGGGGCTCCAAGGGCTGCTCAGTGGGAACCCACAAAAGTTTTATGGATGAATCCTGGTGACAAGAAGTTAGCCTGGTGTGTTTCACCAGCTCTGTAAAAAAAAGAGACCATTTTCCAAAGGTAAGGATTTTGTTAATAAAGGACACCTACACTCTTAAACTTTATTTAACAGAATTTAACAGAATTGTAGTATCAAGACCTTCCTTATCTTTGGATAGATCATTAGATGAATATTTTCTAATTTGTTCTACGAGTTCCATTCTCCACTGGAATGTTTGATGTGTAAAACATTGATTGCACTGGAACATGGGGACAGAAAGCAGGATGCATCGCTCCTGATATCCATGTGGTCATCAAAAGACATTTCCATTGATGGCAGGAAATTCATGACTTTAATGAAAGGCAAAGATTGGGTGGGCATGGTGGCTCACACCTGTAATCCCAGCACTTTGCGAAGCCAAGGCAGGTGGATCACCTGAGGTCAGGAGTTCGAGATCAGCCTGGCCAACATGGTGAAACCTCGTCTCTACTAAAAATACAAAAATTAGCTGGGTGTGGTGGTGCACACCTGTAATCCCAGCTACTCGGGAGGCTGAGGCAGGAGAATTGCTCGAACCCGGGTGGTTGTGAGCCGAGATCGTGCCACTGCCCTCCAGCCTGGGTGACATAGTGAGACTCCGTCTCAAAAAGCAAAAAAAAGGAAGGCAAAGATTTTGCTTAACCCGGTGGTTAAAATTGTCAGTGGAACAGTAAGCAGCATGCTAATGAATAAGGCTATAAATTGTCCTTTCTGCTGTTGATGTTAGTTCTAGTTAGTCTTTTGATGTTAATACCTCTTTACAACATTACTGTAAGATTATTTCTTTTCTTTTAATCTAAATGGTTTTTAGTCGTTGGTTGTCTTGTCTGTAGAGAGATCTGTGGGCTTTCCTTCTTCCCTTTTCAAAGTGATACCAGCTACACACGTGTTTTTATTTGCTGTCTAAAGGGTAACAACCCTTTTATCTTTAAACTGGGTCTTCCTTTCCCCAGGTTTGGCGCTGCACCTCTGTCTCTGGGAAGCAATTATCCCCCGTCTCCCAGGTGCCTTAAACTCAGCATCAGTCATTTTTCCTTGATTGTTCACATCTATTCTCCGTTTTAAATGTGGGCACAAAAGCCCTGGAGTCACTTAAGCTTGAAACCTGAGAGACTTTCTCAGTCCACCCTGCCCCCACACCTCTATCCTCTACGTCTAAGTGGTCACCGATCTTGTTACTGATTTTTCATGGTCACCCTCTCACTGGTCCTGGCACGTGGCCCAGCTTTATGCCTCCTTCCCCTTTTCTTGCCTTCCTCGACAGCTTCCATGTTCTAACCTGTGGCTTTGCTCACCTGTTTGCATCCTGCTGGACTGTGCTTCCCTCCCCCACTGTTTTCCCTTTAACCAGTGAACTTTAAGACTTTAAGACTCACATCAGGCCTCACCTTTTATTTGAAAGGAATCAGGAATTACTTAATTGTTTTCAGAATCTGATTTGCTCTTGCATTTTCCATCTTCCTAGATTACACCCCTCTCTCTCCACCTGTCCCAGTTGGAAAGTCTTGAATCATTTCCCCTCATTCCAGATGGTGTCAGTTACCAGATATTGACATACTACTGAATTTTGGTTATTCTTTTTTGTTTCCATCATTACCTTCCAGGTGTAAGCCCACCTGCTTTTTGTGTAAGCCAGTGCATTTATCTCTTAGAGAATCTTTCCTCCTCTTTCTCCAGCTTCCATGTTGTCTTTAGGGTTACCCTCAGATTCATCTGTCTAAAGTGCTTTGTTCAAAACCTTCTCCGGACCCGTGTCCTGCAGAGAAATGTTCACTTTAGCATGGCATTTGGAGCTATTTACAATCTGATCTTAATTTATCACCTTAGCAACAGGTGCTCTCAGTCCCCAGACACCCTGCCTCAGAGCTGTGCCATCCAGTCTCACGCCTTTAGTCTATGGCCATATTGTTCTTGACTGAGGTCTTCTTCCCTGGTTGTTGAAATCTTACCTACCTTTTATGAGCTAATTTAAATGGAACTACCGGCCAGGCATGGTGGCTCATGCCTGTAATCCCAACACTTCGGGAGGCTGGAGATGGAGTCTAATACAAGAAACTGTCCCATATGCTCTTCAGAATCCTGAAGTTTACCTTGGTTCCCTTTAAAGTCTTTTTTTATGATTGATGAGTCATTTCAGCATTGTGCTGAATTCAAAGGCCCTCAATAAAAGATACAATCAAATATGGATGGGTCACCTGAGCCCAGGAGTTGGAGACCAGCCTGGGCAGCATGGCAAAACCCCAACTCTGCTAAAATACAAAAACTAACCAGGTGTGGTGGTGGGCGCCTGTAATCTCAGCTACTTGGGAGGCTGAGATGACAGAATCGTTTGAGCCCTGGAGGTCGAGGCTGCAGTGAGCCATGATAGCACCGCTGCACTCCAGCCTGGTGTTTAAAAAAAAAAAAAATTAAAACTACCATGTATAGAGCCTCCAGATTCCCCTAGTGAGAACAGAGTGCATTTTCCTTTGCAGCCTCCATCTCTTGCTACAGAATAAATACTTCTATTTTGCTATGTATCACAGTCTGGCCAGCATTATGGATATTTAGTTATCTATTTTCTTCTGGATGCCTTAGAGATGTGTTTTACTGCTGTTTGTGTGCCTCACTACTGAGTCCATTGTAAGCCATGGGAGATCCTGTATTTTAAATTGATATTTTGAAAAGAGAGTTCTTTATGTTTGGTTGGTGTTCCTTTTTTAAACTTCACTATCATCATTTCTAAAATCTCTATTAACATTATCAACACACACTGATTATCTTTTGCCTTTTTACAAATGTAATACAGCAAAACACTCAATACTTTGAAAACATTTTGAATTCATGTAAGTATGACTGAAAAATGTTTCCGAAATGTTGATTTGAAAACAATTGCTTGATGGATTTCAACTTTATGTTTCAAACTAGGGCCTATGTAGACTAAGCTGGAATTAAGCACCACACAGTTTCTCTGGATTTGGCCAAGCATGGCTCCCACCCAAGGGAGTTCACCTTGTTTTTCATTTACAGTGACCTCTGATGCTCAGGGAATGGATCAGTAGAAAAGAATAGCCTAAAACATATCTTGCTACAGAATAAATGAATGTCAGATGAAATGCACACACACATATGTGTGTATATTATATTTATATATATACACATATATATGAATCTGAACATGCGGACAGCAGATGATTTTTAGATGTGACTAACATACTCATTATGTCTTTAGAGCAAAATCCTCCACCAGGCTTATTGTCCTGAAGTTGAAATACAATAAGTTCACTGTCCAGTATGCTCCTCAGAATCCTGAAGTTTAGCTTGGATCCCTTTGAAGTCTTTTATTATGATTGATGAATCATTTCAGCATTGTGCTAAATTCAAAGGCCCTTAATAAAAGATAAAATCAAATGACTTACCAATCAAGAATACCACAAAAGACTGGAAATCAGGTGAAAATGTGGCATGAGCAGTAATACTAAACTTAAAGGCCTGTATCAATCACTATACATTTCCAAAAAGTTTGGAAACATTTAAAACTTTGAAAAGGTGCACATGACTGATTGCAGAAACTATCTGGGAAATATTTGAGTGCTGTTTGTGATAGAAATAAATTCCCGTTTGATACCCTTCTCCAGTAAATGTTTTATAATAGAGTTTGGCATCACAGAGCATGGGTGGAGAAAGATCTGTACCTTCCTGTTTGACAGCAGAGAGTCCCAGGAGGTGGCTGGGCTTTGGTCCCTGTGTCTGCGTCAGCCCCTGATGGGACAAAACTTGCTTTTTTTTTCTTCTATGAGACGGAGTTTCGCTCCTGTTCCCAGGCTGGAGTGCAGTGGCATGATCTTGGCTTACTGCAACCTCCACCTCCAGGTTCAAGCAATTCTCTTGCCTCAGCCTCCTGAGTAGCTGGGATTACAGGCGCCTGCCACCATGCCTGTCTAATTTTTTGTATTTTCAGTAGAGACAGGGTTTCACCATATTGGCCAGGCTGGTCTTGAACTCCTGGCCTCAGGTGATCTGCCCACCTCGGCCTTCCGAAGTGCTGGGATTACAGGCGTGAGCCACCACACCGGGTCAGCTTGCCCTTTTTTAGAGAGGCTGGTATTATGTTTAGATGGAAAGGGTAATTTTGACTTAGATTAAGAAGACTTAGATTATTACCCACAGGCTAAGATTTTGGTGTTCTTGGCAAGGACTGTTGAGGATATGACTTACCCTGTATTCCACTCTCAATACTGCAAGATGGCTGGGCACAAGACTGAAATGCTAACACCTCCGGGAGGGGGATTAATAAATTCCCGATGAAACCTACAACAGAAGAACTACCTTGTCCTCTATTTGTGAGAAAAGAGGAAGTCAGTGGGTGACCATGATTTTTCCCGGGAGAGCAAACAGACTGAGGTCTCCAGACCACCCTGGCAAGCATCCAGATCATACCAGGGAGGCAGCACATTCAAAAGAGGTTTTCAAAATGAAGATCAGCATCTGATCATTTTGTTCTCCAATTTTTTAAAACGAGGAATAATCAGCACATGATGTGTTAGGACAGCATATTAGTCAGGGTTCTCTAGAGGGACAGAACTAATAGGATAGATGTATATAGAGAGGAGAGTTTATTAAGGTGTGTTGACTCACACAGTCACAAGGGTGAGGTCCCACAATAGGCCATCTGCAAGCTGAGGAGAAAGGAAGCCAGTCCAAGTCTTAAAGCTTAAGAACTTGGAGTCCAGTGTTTGAGGGCAGGAAGCATCCAGCATGGGAGAAAGACGGAGGCCAGAAGACTAAACCAGTCTAGTCTTTCCATGTTCTTCTGCCTTTTATTCTGGCCGTGCTGGCAGCTGATTAGATGGTGCCTACCCAGATTGGGGGTGGGTCTGACTTTCCCAGTCCAGTGACTCAAATGTTAATCTGCTTTGGCAACACCCTCACAGGCACACCCAGAACAATACTTTGCATCCTTCAATCCAATTAAGTTGACGCTCAGTATTCACCATCACAGACAGCTCTTTGGCCCAGTGCTGCCATTACCCTGTAGACTTGTTGCAGTTTGTTATGCCCTGGATCAGATATCTTCACTGACCCTCGTTTCTGTTTAGGGGGCAATCCATCATCCTTAGCTGGCATCCAGGACCACCTAAAAACCAACCCAAACGTTTCTCTTACAGGCTCATGTCTCCTAGTCCTTGGCATTAATTCTTAATCTAAGTCAAAATGACACTTTCGAGGACCTTTAACCTGCCTGTCTCTGTACCTTTGCTAATGCCACTTACTGACCCCCAGAATGTTTTGTCTTCTTTGTTCCCATCCAATAGAAACTTCACGTAGAGTCAGAGACCCACTCACATCTCACACCTCCAGGAAAGCTTCCTAGACCATCCAAGATAATGTCACCATTTCATCTTCTTACCTCTAGAGTGCCCCCTGCTTTGACATTCTTGTACCATTTGGTCCATGCTGTCTTGTGTTGTCACCCTGTATATATGTGTTGGAAACCCTGGGCTGCTGAAAGGTTTTAGAAAATAAGAGACGCTCCCCTCCCCTTTTCTATTGGTCAGCACTTGGCATAATGCCTGCATAGGTAGCAGCTGCCCAGCATATTTCGTGGGGCACACTGGGTCAGTAGTTCACAGATAGACCCATTCATTCATTTCTTCCTTGAATACCTGCTCTGATAAGCTCTGTGCTTGTTCCTGGAAATATAGCCATGAGCAATAAAGTCATGGTATCTGTCTTCACGGAGCTTATAACCCCAAGGGGAAAACAAATAATCCCACAAATAACAATGATAATACTCATTGGGGCTCACCTGTACTGAAGGCCCCCTCTGTGCCAGCCCCTGTGCTAAATACTTTCCTCATATTATTTCATGTTATTCTCAGTACAACCCTGGGGGTAAGCACGATGACCACCTTCTTACAGATGAGGGGATGGAAACTTAGTGAGTCTCTTAGGTTAACTTGTCCCAAGGAGCCTGGCTAGTGAGTGGGATGGTGGGAGGTTGACCCAGTCTGTCTGGCTCCAGGGTCTGTGTTTTTTTAACCATCACATGATTTCAGTAATTACCAATATTACAGTGATGACAAATACCACAAACACCATATGTGCTGGTTTCCTATTGCTGTATAACAAATTACCACAAACTTAGTGGCTTAAAACAACACCGATTTCTTTTCTTACATTTCTGTGAGTCAGATCCGCCATAGATCTCACCAGGCTAACACCAAGCTGTTGCCATGACTGTGTTCCTTCTAGAGGCTCTGGGGGGATATCCATGTCCTTGACATTCCCCCCTTCTGGAGCCACCCACATTCCTTGACTCATGGCCCCTTCCTCCATCTGCAAAGCCAGTAATGTCACTTCTCTGATCCGTCCTCTGTCTTCTGTCCTCCCATCACCTTCTGATTGCAGGTGAGGAAGGTACTCTGCTTTTAAGGACTCTTTTGATGACACTGGGCCCACCTGGATAACCCAGAGTATGCTCCCCATCTCAAGACTCTTAGCTGAATCACATCTGCACTCCTTTATCTCATGTAAAGTAACATATCCATAGGTTTTAAGGATCAGGGCGTGGACATCATTGGGGGTCATTCCGCCTACCTTGTCCCGAGAAGGTGTAACAAGGGGAGTGGTCTAGAGAGGTGGGGGGTTCAGGCTTCCTAGGATGAAAGGACATTGAGGGTGGTGGAGTTGGCCAGATGGATGGGGAGGAGTAGGGTCATCCCAGGCTGAGGATGCATGAAACCCTTGCAAGGCCACAGAGACCTGATGGAGTGAGTGGGGGAGAGCAGCCCCTGCTGAGGCTGGAGACGGTGGCGGGGGCCAGGTCATGGGGAACATGCCTGGCAGGTTGGGAGGGATTCAGCCATGATTCCAGGAGAAATGGGCATTAAGTAAAAGGATCAAGTCAAGGTTCATGATAGATTTGCTTTTTCAGAAGGTCATTCTGGCTGCTGAGCAGAGAAGAGCTCAGCAGGAAGAGAGAGTGGATGCAAAATTAGGAGAATGCTTCAATAGAGCAGGTGGGAGATGCTGATTGTCTGGACTGGATGTGGCAGCACAGGTGAAGAGGGGATAGTTTGGGGTTTACCCAGAGTAACTATCAGGGCTTGCTATTGCTTAAATATGGAGGTAAGGGAGAGGGAAAGAAAGCATTAAGAATGACTTCCAGGTTTCTTAGTGGGATAACCAGAGGGATTGGGAGTGATATGATCAGAGCCAAGTGGCTGTAGAAGGAACAAAGGCAATTAATATAGAAAAAAAAAGTTCCTCTTGATGATAGGAGGCCAGAGTTGAGTGGGGACAACCAGGGAACAATTGAACACAATCAATCATGTGGATTATTTTTATGTATTTATTTAATTTTAAATGTTATTTTTACATTTAAACAATTTTTAAATTATCTTAATCATTTCGATTCTTTTAATGGAATATTTACAGAGACTATATTGCTTTAAGAGGGCCCAAATGCACCAAGTTGAAATGTTTTTGGGAAAATTATGCAGACCCAGATACTCTGATTGTGGGTTTGGTTTGATTTAGGGTATGAGATCTGTCATCATATTTCAGCCTCTCTGTCTTAATAACCAAGCATTCCTTTTGCTTCTTCTCAGGTGGCACCTTTATGTGCCACATGTATTTCTCCTGATTCTCAGCCCAGTGAAAATCTGATATTTTGGGCACAGTATACTATCCTTGATTTTTAATAAGATTCATTTTTTTCTTCAGTAAATACATGCAGAATTGGATATTTCAACAAAATTAACCTTATTTGCAAAAAGATTTTAGGGAAATATTGTTTGATGAATTGATTATAGGACTAAACAAGGAAGGACAATTACTTTTTCAATGCAACGTTGTATTTACAGAATTGCATTGCATGCACTTTTAACTTAACAGCTTACTTCATATACTTGTCCTGGGATGAGACTCCACAGTTTTCTTGTTTAGATTTCACAACATGACTGCATCTACTAACACAGGTTAAGTTTAGATGCCCAATATTAGAAACTAAGGGAGTAAATTCTGGCAAGCAAGAGCACTTTAGAATTCTCTACTGCTGTCCCATTCAACCCAGGGACTATAGTTGTCTAACATGTGGGATGGTTTAGATACCCAGACTTCTATGGAGAAAATTCCCTTTTGTTCGTTTTTTAAGCCTGTGGCTTAGTCAGTTTGAGCTGCTATGGTAAAGTACCATAGCTTGGGTGGCTTTTATAAACAATAGACATTTATTTCTCGTGGTTCTGGAGGCTGGGAAGTCCAAAATCAAGGTGCTGGCAGATTTGATGTCTGGTGAGGGCCCACTTCCTGGTTCATAGAATACTGTCTTCACTGAGTTCTCATATGGTAGATGTGGTGAGGGAGCTCTCTGAGGTCTCTTTTATAAGGGCACTAATCCCATTCATGAGGTGACCTGATTACCTTTCAAAGCCCCCCACCTTCAAATACCATCACATTAAGGGTTAGGATTTCCATATATATATGGAAGGACAATAAATTCTCAATGCAACACTGAATTTACAGAACTGCGTTGCATATGCAAAATATCTATGTGATAAACTGCATATATATTACACACACATATTTTTATATATATAAAGAGACTGGGTCTCATTCTACCACTCAGGCTGGAGTGCAGTGGGAATGATCATGGCTCACTGCTGCCTCGAACTCCTGGGCTCCAGAGATGATCCTGCCTCAGCCTCCTGAGTAGCTGGTACTAGAGCCATGTGCCACCATACCTGGCTAATTTTTAAATTTTTTGTAGAGATGAGGTCTTGCTATATTTGCCAGGCTGGTCTGAACTCCTGGCCTCAAGTGATCCTTCAGTCTTCACCTTCCAAAGTGTTGGAATTACAAGTGTGAGCCACCGTGCCCAGCCTGTCAACATATACATTTTGAGGGGACGCAAACATTCAGTCTGTAGCAGTCTGTTTCAGTGGTTCTTAAACTTAAGCGAGCAAAATAATTACTATAGAGGTCTGTGTAGATAAAGCTATGTATCTTATACTTGATTAGCAATTTAGGAAAATTTCAAGCATAATTTAGACTTTAATTTTTGCCTTGGGTGATTGTTTTAGAACCTAAACTCTACGTGGATTCTTGGAACCTGGCACAATCTGGGACTATCATTCCAAGTCTGATTTTGGGAGGCATCTCAGCACCTGCCTCTGAAAAGAAGAGGGGCTGAAGTTAGAGACAATGAGGAGATGCTCCATTGTGAAACTGATTAAGCAGATGGTGATAAGCACTCCGTGGGCATGCTGTGGTGAAGAGACCCTGGTGTAGCAAAGCAGCAGAGACTCATGTTTTTGTCATATGCCAGTGCAAAAAGGAATCAAGGTAGACCTAGGATATAAACAGTGAGATTTCACTGCATGTGAAGGATCTAGATTATCACCTAAGTGCTGTCTAAGCAAAGACTCGCCATGGTGTGAGTGGAGAGAAGTGTTGGGGAAACACATAGCTCATGGCACTCATGGTCATGCCACAGGCCAGACTCAGACCACAGATGCCTCGGCAGTCACAGGTATAGTCACATCACTACCTGCATGTTAACATAGATATATCAACTTGAAATTGTGTGGCTTTTTACTGTTTTGATTGTGTTTATTTTAAATATTATTTTAATTTTATAGTTGCAGCAGTGCTCTAATCAGAAGGAGTTTATTTCTAGTTTTTGATCATTTGTGTTTAAGAAATATTATAATTTAAAACAAGTTGCCCGTGCTGATGATCTGATACATTTGGTATTGAATAGAAATTACTCCAGGAGCACCCTATTAGGGTTCTCCAGAGAAACAGAACCAATAAAACAAACCCTTTACATATACATGTGTACACACACACACACACACACACACACACAGACCTATTGTCAGGAATTGGCTCACTCCATTACAGAAGAGGAGAAGTCCATGCTGTGCCTTCTGCAAGCTGGAGACCCAGGAAAGGCAGTGGTGTAATTTAGGAGAAGTTCGAAGCCCCGAGAACCACGGAAGCTGGTGTTGTAGCTCCCAGTCTAAGGGCAGGAGATCAGATGAGCTGTAGCAGCTCAGGTGGGTGGGCAGGAAGCAAAAAGGATCAATTCCTCCTTCCCCTGCCTTTTGTTCTGTGCAGGCTCTCAACAGATGAGATGGTGCCCACCCACAATGGGGAGAGCCATTTACTTTATGAATCCACCAATTCAAATGCTGCTCTCGTCTGAAACACCCTCTCAGACACACCCCAAAATAATGCTTAATTGGAGCACCCCCATGGCCGGTCAGGCTGACATAGGAAATGAACCACCACAGGCACATCCTCTACTCCACCCTCAAACTTACTGAGCAGGTAGGGTCTAAAGATGAGGAGAGGTAAGTGTGTGAAATTGGTTTCTTATAAAAAGGGTCCATGTATTACTCCACTTAATGGATGACTGCCTCATGCTATTCACAGAAACAATGAGAAAGTATGAAGTGTCTTCCTCAGCTGCATTTGTGTATCATATATTGGTGATGTGAAAATGGCACCAAGTGTTAAGTAAAAAACAAAAAGTTCTTATTAATTCTATAGCTTCCGAAGTTCTAAGTTAAAAACAGTCATTAGATCCTGAAACCTGCTACACAGTCTTAACACTATCCATATTACATACATTATAAAATCCACTTAGAAAAAACATGTAAAGTGAATTTCATATTTTTTAAAAAGCCGTGGAGCTAAAACTTCGTTTAAAAAAAAAAAAGCAAGCAAACAAACAAATAACAAAACTCAGAAAGGCTGTTGTCAATGTAAAACTTGACTCCTAAGCAAGGATTCCCTTGTTGAATACAAAGTAAAGAAGCAGCACTGGGTGTAGTGGCTCATGCCTGTAATCCCAGCACCTTAGGAGGCCGAGGTGGGCGGATCACCTGAGGTCAGGAGTTTGAGACCAGCCTGGCCAACATGGCAAAACGCTGTCTCTACTAAGAATATAAAAATTAGTCGGGTTTGGTGGCACAGGCCTGTAATCCCAGCTACTCAGGAGACTGAGACAGGAGAATCACTTGAACCCAGGAGGCAGAGGTGGCAGTGAGCCAGGATTGCGCCACGGCACTCCAGCCTGGGTGACCGAGCAATACTCCGTCTCAAAAAAAAAAAAAAAAAAAAAAAGCAGTGGTTTACGAGTGGGGTCTGAAACGTTCTGTGGTCGCTTAACACGTGGCGAGGATTGATGTGTTCACATTTACCACTTGCTCATCTTCAGATGCCAACACCTTGCTCATGCTCAGTAAATGCTTGGGAACCGAACAGAGTACAGGCTTCAGAAGTGATTTCTATTCAACAGCAAACGCATCGTTTAACACTTGACTCAGCCCATCAGCAGCACCTGTAATAAAAGTGCTGTTTCTAGGCACAAGGGCTGCAGTGCTTCCTCACTGATGTGAAATGGACCTGGGCTGCTGCCCATCTTGCCTCTGGGTATCTTTTTCACCATGGTTGTGTCCATCCCAGCCTGGCCCAGTTGTGGGTAGAAAGCCCATCTACCTGCAGGTTCAGTCCTGCTCAGTTCTTCAGCCTATTCCAACTGGTGTATAGGGCAGCCCATTTCCACCGGTGAATGGGATCTGCAGTGACTTCCATTCTCTTCTACTGTAAGTCTGGTGAGCCCCAGGTGTGCTGCCTACCCCATCTGAAAACGTCGCACCCTCATCTCTCCTGAGACCTTGGGTGAGCAGTCCCTAGGGGAGACTTCTTCGTCAGCCCCGAGTCTGCACACTAATTTCCCACAGACGTTGGAGCCCTGCCATGCCCCTGGCTAGGCGAGGATGCTGTCACCCTGACTGTTGCATCCTTCTGTCTCCATGGGCTCTCAGGGCCCCTGGCGCTGCACAGGCTGGATTCCTGGAGGAGTGTAGAGTCAAAAACCTTGGCTGTCCTCCTATCTCCTGCACAGGCTGAGGTCTAGGTCCAGGTTTATGTCTCAGGACTTGGCAGAGTTCCCTCTCCTCTGCACAAATGAGTTGACTTTTTCAGCTTCATGGGTTTTGCTCAAAGCAAAATAATCCTAATTACCTATCCCTGATATAAGAACTAGAGTTTTTCTAACTAAAAACACACTCGATACAATGGGAATATTATTTGTATGGATTCAGAGGTGAATCCCAACCTGTGGGATTGGTACATCTTTGGGGTCTCACTAAGCCATCTCACAACTGTTATGAGTCTGATTCTTGGTATTTGATGTATGTAAAAAAGGGAAATTGGACTCTGAGCCACTTCATAGATTTATAGTCCTTCACCATAAAGGTTTTTATTAGTATTTTTGTTGAATTTTTTTTAGAACAAATTTTATAGAAATAGTGGTCATGGAGCCACATTCCCAGTCACTCATTCATTTGCCAATGCAAGCGTGAGATACAATTGCTCTTTTTATTAGCACCAAGGAAATGGGGAATGACAACGTTGGCCAATGCGTGAACTTTGGGAGGAAGAAAAGTCTAGGGTGGGCCAAGCCACTGCAAGTCTGGTTTCTCAAGTTGACGTGGGCAATAAAAAGAAACTGAGATGAAAATGTTCTAGGAGAAGTCTGAGGATGGTGAATTCTTGCTCTTTTCTTCTTGCTGCGATGTCTTCCCATTATTCCTTGGTTGCATAGCCAGGCTTTTTCATTAAAAAGATCAAGTTACTAGACAAAGGGCACGGAGGGCCTATCTGTGTGGACAGATGAATCATTTGAGCCCACTTTGCAAACTACCACCCTTGGGCCTCCACTCCTGCTCTTTGTCTTTCCCATCCTCTCTTTGTGATTTCACTGCTCGTACTCCCCGTGCGAGAACCTAGTGGCCACAGGCATAGTTGGGTGTATATCTTTAGACTAAGCCCCATCCCTTTCATGGGCAAAGCTATCTTCCTGTGGGCTCCTGGGTGGGATATTGGGATGCCTCAGGGAGCTGGGTGAGTTATGATGGTTTGCATATTTGTAGGTCACTTTGAATGGGTAGTTCAAGGATGGATGGTTTATTAATATCATAGGCAGTGCTAGCCAAAAAGGAGGTCTGGTGTTTGGTTGGCAGGGATGGAGGATCACAGTAATTTCCTTTCCAGTTTTTATAGGAGAGGTCAAGTACCCAGACATAGTAGGAGGAGTGTGAGTAGAGAGAAAAGGCTGAGAGTTGGATGGGAATACAGGATTGGATAAGATATAGCGCTCTTGTAATGATCACAGACTCTTCCAAAAACATAAAGTTTCCCAGCATCTTCCTTTGCTAATGAAAAATCTGTGACATCTGCAATTGCACTTGTCTTTTAAATTTCCTTTGTAACCATTGTTTCACATAGTCTGGTACTTCATTAGTAATGATTTTCCTGACAGTTCCCTCAAACATCCTGTAAATTCAGGTAGAGGAAGATGGATTTTTAACTAATCTTTTTGGCATAAACATATGTCATATAGGAGACTAACTATTCTTTCTATTTTTCATTTGTTCTCTTTGGTAGTGTCCGACATTAGGTTGTCAGTACAAATTAAAGTGGCAGGTGAGAAATAATTGCTTTGTGATGTAAAGAGATGGGTAAAAATGGCTTTTTAACACAGTAGACGCTCTGCTCCCACATCTGAAATATTTAGGTAGGCGTCCACAAGTTTAGCCGACGGGCTTGTGGATATATTTATGGACCTGGCCCATCTTTTGGAAAATGGGGATTTGTACGGAATAATTTGGATTTGCTGACTTCATCGCTAAGGTTTCCTGGATTCCTGCCAGCCTCCTCTTCCTTTTGTGTGATGCGGATGTGGTCTTGCTGTCAATGCTAATCTTGTCTGTCTGCTGTTTGCTTTCTTCAGACAATCCACTAGCACCCTCCTAGGCTGTACCTTCCACCTTCTGTTTAACTGAACGTTTACGACTGTCCTGATTCTTTAAAAAAACTGCTTGAGGCTGGGCATGGTGACTCACACCTGTAATCCCAGCACTTTGAGAGGCCGAGACAGGAGGATCACCTGAGGTCAGGAGTTCGAGACCAGCCTAACCAACATGGTGAAACTGCATCTCTACTAAAAATGCAAAATTAGCTAAGTGTGGTAGCGCATGCGTGTAATCCCAGCTACTTGGGAGGCTGAGGCAGGAGAATCGCTTAAACCCGGGAGGTGGAAGTTGCAGTGAACCGAGATCATGCTATTGCACTCCAGCCTGGGCAACAAGAGAGAAACTCCGTCTCAAGAAAACCCAAAACACCCAAAAAACAAACAAACAAAACTCCTTGAAGCCTGGGCAACATATTAAGACCCCATCTCCATAAAGATAATAATAATAAAAAAAAATTAGCCGGGTGTGGTGGGGTGTCCCTAGAGTTCCAGCTACTCAGGAGGCTGAAGTGGCAGGATCATTGGAGCCCAAGAGTTTGAGACTGCAGTGAGCTGTGATTGTGCCACTGCTCTCCAGCCTGGGCGACAGTGCTAGATCCTGTCTCTTGAAAAAAAAAAAATCCATTTCAAGACCCAATAAGAAAGTAGAGCAGCAAACCCTAAGCCCAGAATGCAACAAGGCACACAAAAATTGAACAACTTTCCTTTGCCATTTCCTCAAATATTAACGTCAGTCAATTTCTTGGTGGATTCCAGGGTTTTTTTTAATCTATGTTATAATATAATTCCAGTGTGGGAGTAATGAAGCAGAACAGGCTTTCCCCACCCCAGTTAGTACCTGCAGTACTTAGGATTCTCAGTTTTTGGAGCAATTTTTATTCCCATGAAGCTTGGCCAATTGGTTAAGGGGTGGAACGTGGCCACATTAGTGTGGTCTTGATTAGTGTAACTTGGTGCAGGCAATGTGAAAAAACAGAAAGTTGCCTTTTAAAAGAGAGGGAGATTCTCTTGGGTTTTGCCGAAGGAGACATTTGGGCCATTAGCTGAGTAAGGTAAATTCTTTGGTTTAAAGTTTCATTTGAAGATTACCCTTTACCAGCAGGTAATTGAAATGGGAAACCTGGATTGGCCTAGTTGTGTTTTCTCACTGTCTACACAGATGAAACAGAACCAGGAAGAAAAATGACAGCGGAATGCTTTTTAGCTTTTGTTCCCTAGATTCATGTGGCAAGCTCTAAAAGCTCAAGTGCCAGGGCTGGAATCAGGAAATGACTTAAAACTTGCTCAGAGTGTACCTATGTGCATGCCTGCATTAGGGTTTCGGACTGATTTGTTGGAGGAAAACATGACTCCATTATTAATTTAGAATTGTTTTGCTGCACAGAAATTAATACAGATATGTACTTGAAAATTTTTGGTATATTGATTAATTAAACAAAGAATATTAATTGAGTACTTACTCTGTGTTGCAGGGTTGGATAATGAAATTATATGACACAAACCAGGGCCTGCAGGAGTTTGTGGTCTCAGGAGAGACAGACAAGGAAATAGTGAACAGGACGGAGTGTTCCCAGAGAGTTTTGTCCCAGAGGTCAGGAGGGAAGGAAGAGAAGAGGGTGTTAGCAGGAGCTTCCTGGAGGGGATGAAGTGGGACTTGAGCTGAGGCTAGACACTGAGCAGAGCAAGAGAGAATCCATGGCCTAACAGAGGGCCAATGGCCTGCACCAAATTGCAGTAAGGTTGGCGTTCTGGACGGCCTTCTTTAGGAATGGGGCATTCCTATTGCTTGTAATAAGAAGGAAATGGCTTCTGGAGTTCTATTTCTCTTTCTCAGAGGACATTCTGTTTGAACTAATGAATGTTTTAATCTCAGACATCTGGATAATTTACACTTTGATCCTTTTCTTCTTAAAGAATTATCTGGATATCTGGAAACTTATTTTTTCTCTGATATCTATTTAGTATGTGAACAGCTGACTCTAGCAACTCTTTTTATCTAGCTGAAGAGTGTCATGCTGTTTCCCTAATTGGCCCAAATGTGTCATATTATATTAATACAATGCCTAATATTAAAGAGCCCAGCATTCCTTGTGCGAATCTGATTATGGTGGGCCATTCTTCTAAAATAATATGAAATTCACCTTGTGGTATTTTATATAGAATTTTTGTGTCTATTGTTGTGAGATTGGTCTATAATAGGATTTT